>NC_000002.12:85055309-85360693 GCF_000001405.40 Homo sapiens
AATCCAGTATTTTTTTTCTTTTTATGCTAAACATGGGAGATCCTGGTTTTGTGTGAATGCATTATTTTGGATGTGAGAAATAAATGCCAATTATATGTACTTTCCCTTTTCTGCACAAATTCTGGGAAAATGTAAAAGCCTTCATTTTTTAACATGGTTTTAGGGAACAACTGTAAGTCCATTCAGAGCAGTTTAATTTAGATGATCACTTTTAACACTGCAGAAGACCTAAGGAGTCATAAGATTCCATCTCATGTAGAATACTGTATATTAATTATTTTTTACCAGATATTTTACAAATACCTCACCTCATCCTGTATGTAATCAATAATGTATTATTTTAGGGTAGAACGACACAGAATATCAATATAAAAATATATTCAAGCCCTTGAAATTCTTGTGTCCTTTTTCTTTAGTTTCTGAATGAAAATCTTATTACTGGATGTACTATTGAATAAAAATTAATTGCAAAGACTTTGATGGAGACAAAATCAAAATATACCACTGTTTATTTTGGCAGCACCTTCAAATTTCTAAGGACCAGATCCTGAATTTTGAGAATTTTTTGTTTCGTTGAGTTTTGAGTGTCTAGGATATAAGTTTATAAATGTTCTACAGTGCTTGTCTTTACTTCCTGTTTAGAAATCATTTAAATCTTTCCCCTCGAGGTGCTCTGGAAGAAGTTTAATTTCAGCTCTGAACAAGTAGAAATAACTGTGCTTCCTTGTATGGCTGCAATCATAAGACAGAATTTCTGTGGTTGGCTACCGTGAAATCTTTGTATTTATATTGCATTGTTTTGTTAAAAAAAAAAAAATCCACAGAAGTAGAACCTAGGTTTGCTACTAACAAAGTAGTGGATTCTTATAATTAGGCTCAGGTAAAGTAAGAGAAAACTTCTCTCCCTGTGGCCCCCAGAGAAATGAAGTAGGATAGCAGATTACACTATTAGAAATAATAGACGTAACAAAAAAAATCCAGCCCATTATCCCCACCCCCCATTTTCCCTCTCAATATTAGAAATTTCAATAATATGCTGACAGATTTTCAAAGGTCACCAAGGCTTTTGTGTTTTTTTCCGGTCTGTGGGCCACAGTTAAAAGAACGGGTAACAGGTTCAGAGTTCTCTTGATACGTCCAAGCCTTAGTTTCCAGGAAAAAAGCTAGGCTCCTCACTGCAAATATTAACGCTTTATATATTTACTCCATGGATGTTGGGGTAAGCACATATATCAATAGTTCATAGCTCTAGTTAAGGACAAAGTGGGTTGGGGGGTAGAAGGAGAATACTAGAGAGGTTACGGTAGCAGGTGGCTGCAGAAAAGAATCTTTTGAATGGGATTCCTGTAACAGTGTTCAGTACCAATATTAAGTCTACTGTAAGTGGGGTCTGATATGGCTTACTGATACAGGCATGTGTAAAAAACTAAGTGTGATGGAGGAATGGGTGCTAAAAGCTCTTAACAGTTTTGTAGAGAAGCCCTGCAGCCGTGTTTACTATATATGACATGCCTGTTTCTTAGTTTGCATGCACAGTTTAAGGGGCACATGCAATATTGGTTTCATGTGCAGTAAAAATTAAAACACGGCTGAGCGTGGTGGCTCACGCCTGTAATCCCAGCACTTTGCGAGGCCGAGGCGGGTGGATCACGAGGTCGAGTTTGAGACCATTTTGGCCAGCATAGTGAAACCCCATCTCTACTAAAAAATACAAAAAGTTAGCTGGGCATGGTGGCAGGCACCTGTAATCCCAGCTACTCGGGAGGCTGAGGCAGGAGAATCGCTTGAACCTGGGAGGCAGAGGTTGCAGTGAGCTGAGATCACGCCGCCATTGCACTCCAGCCCGGGCGACGGTGCAAGACTCTGTCTCAAAAAAAAAAAAAATTAAAACACTAGGTACGAAATTATCCCAGAATTATACGCGAAAGTTGGTGTTCATGCTGGAAAACAGTTACGGTTATCTGTGCTCTTTCTAAAGCTCAACTAGACACTAAAACAGTTCTCTCCTTGAGACCGGAAGTGGGATGGGGGTGGGCAGGTGGAAGGGAAGAGGCTGGGGAGGAGCCTCTCATCTCATCTCATTTCAGCCTCAACAGTAATTGAAACCCTATGCCTGGCCTGGAGTGGGTAGAGGTTAGGGTTAGAGTGCAGGATGGAGCAGCAGTCTGCAGACTTTCAGGTTGTGACGATGTCATGAAATTCTGTGCTATTAAACATGGCTATGTCTGAGTCAGTCATTACGGTATTCCAAAGCCAAATTCAAGTGACTGTTTTTCTGAATAGTATAAAAATCTAATTCCCTGTGCTTATCGGCTTCAACTGTGCTTACACAACGTTTGTTTCTAATTCGTACTCTTGCCTCTTGGTTTCTGTAGTTTTTCAACCCATTTCTGTCAGTGTTCTATAAATGCATACATTCGTTATTTAAGGAACCCTGCAGCAGACCTCGAATAAAATGTGACTTGATGTTTGTTGCCACTTCCTCAACTTGGTTAGCAAATTCAAGTTTTGAAAGACGATTCGTCTCAGAGAAGTTGATCCTGAACCTCCACGTCACATTTTAGTCGGTTGCTATTAGGTGGGTAATGCCTAATAACATGGGTTCCTCAAATCACAAAGGAGAATGCTCTCAAGTCCTCATGTTAACTTTAGTAAGTCAGTTAACTTTACAGCAACTAAAGAGATCAATTAAAAAGAACCCTTAAGTCTGACTGTCCCAGGTAACTTTACTTGCTGTACAGATAGTGCACAGATATGGATGAGGGCTGCACATGGCTGATTTGAAAACCCATGTGGGGCCGGGTGTGGTGGCTCACGCCTGTAATCCCAGCACTTTGGGAGGCCAAGGCGGGTGGATCACGAGGTTAGTTCAGGACCAGCCTGGCCAAGATGGTGAAACCCCATCTCTACTAAAAATACGAAAATTAGCTGGGCTTGGTGGCAGATGCCTGTAATTCCTGCTACTCGGGAGGCTGAGGCAGAGAATTGCTTGAACCCGGGAGGCGGAGGTTGCAGTGAGCCGAGATTGCGCCACTGCACTCCAGCCTGGGCGACACAGTGAGACTCTCCTCAAAACAAAAAAAAAAGAAAGAAAACCCATGTGGGCCGCATGTGCACAGCCTGGGGCTGCTTTCCACAGGCCTGGATAATGATGTTTCTCTTCAAGGAGGCCTTTACTAACCACAGGGAACCTAGCATCTGACTGTGTCCTTGGCAGACAGTGCATGTAGCCTGTAGAATGTTGGCTCCTCTGTCTATAGAAACCATCAGTTCGCTGCTCTCTCATTCATACATACTTTTTGAGTTCCCAGTAGGTACGAAGCTTTGTCTAAACATTATTTACCAACTGCGATTTTTACAGACTTCCCCTGTAAGAATTTTCTAAAAGAGCCTTTCTCCCTTACACAATTGAAACGTTTTCAAAGGTCATCAAGCCGGTTGCGTTTGGTCAGTCACGTGACCAATCAGAGCTGGTGAGTGAGCTGCTCCCTTAAATCTACCAAATTAGACTGACAGCATTTGGAATCTGCCTCACACATAAGAGATCCATATTCATTTAATAGTGAAGCCAGCCCAGAAGCATCCTCTTCTGTAAGCTGGATGGAGTCCCAGCTCTCTCTCCTTGTATATAAGGAGACCACACCCTGTATATAAGGTTTTCTTGAGGTAGATGCAGCAATATTCCTGGGGTAAGATTCTATAATACTCCTGTATTGGCAAGTGGACTGGACCAACAGACACAGGCCTCAGCCACTGTCGCTAGGGACTGAAGGAGAGTTCATGGATTCTTACCCCCTAGTCATGAAAGCTATTCTGGCCAGCCTTGAATCCATTTAATTTTGCCCACGAGAACCTTTCATGACAATTAACAAGACACTAGTTTCCCCATAAAAGTCCATTTTTAAATATATAGTATGCTAATTAGCAGTGTCTGTTGAATTGCCCTATCGGATAGCAGCCACCATGTGTGCTGACCACTCACGATTCAGACTTACCTTGGAAAATATCACACTGACGATACAGTACTTTAGAATAAATTGCATATTGTATCAGGCTCCGAGACTAATTTGTACTGAACCCTTGATATAGATTACCTTTTATAACATCACCACCTGTCATGAAGCTTATCTGTTTTCTGATTTGAATAAACTTTGTGTTGTGCACCTCAGTTTCCATTGCATTCACTGAGATAGCTGAGTGTGACTTCAGTGTTGTGTCATCTTAAGATGTCAGTAATGTTCAACACAGACTTGGTCATCTGTGGCACTGGTGTTTCGGCATTTCTATAGTTTTTGTTTTGTTTTGTTTTTTGAGATGGAGTTTTGCTCTTGTTGCCCAGGCTGGAGTGCAGTGGCACTATCTCGGCTCACTGCAATCTCCGCCTTCTGGGTTCAAATGATTCTCCTGCCTCAGCCTCCCAAGTAGCTGGGATTACAGATGTGTGCCACCACGCCCAGCTACTTTTTTGTATTTTTAGTATTTTGTATTTTGTATTTGTATTTTTAGTAGAGACGGGGTTTCACCATGTTGGTCAGGCTGGTCTCAAACTCCTAACCTCAGGTGATCCACCTGCCTCGGCCTCCCAAAATGCTGGGATTACAAGCGTGAGCCACCACACCTGGCCTCATTTCTATAGTTTTAAATCCCCTGTGAAATACCATTACTCCTATTGTCCCTGTCTGCGTCCTCTCCTGTTTCTGTGTGTGTGTGTGTGTGTGTGTGTGTGTGTGTGTGTGTGTGTGTTTTATTAATGCTTCCAGTGACATCTGCAGTTTCAGTTCCATTTGCCTACGGAATTTTCAGGACCACCCTGGTTACCACTGTTGCTGGTGTCTGAGCCTGAGGGGTGAACATGTGGCCTCTCTCCTCAGTCCAGAAAAGGACTTTGGAATACTGATTCTACTTACAGCTTCACAGGGCAAGACTAGAAAGAAGGACTTGAGAAGGAGCCCCCTGAACTTCAGCATGAACATAAGCCCCACCCACTCAGGACCGGAAGGGACAAGACTTGTTCCTTATCCATTTTTTTTTTCCCTCTTCAGAGTTCCTGTTGGCTTTTGGTGGTTGTTTTTCCCCATTTTGAACACTCAACTGCCTCTAGCCAATGGCAGGGTTTTTTTTGTTTTGTGTGTTTGTTTGGTGTTTGTTTGTTTTGTTTTTGAGACGGAGTCTCACTCTGTCGCCCATGCTGGAGTGCAGTGGCGCAATCTCGGCTCACTGCAACCTCCACCTCCCGGATTCAAGCGATTCTTCTGCCTCAGCTTCCTGAGTAGCTGGGACTACAGGCCCGCGCCACCACATCCAGCAAATTTTTTGTTTTTTAGGAGAGACGGGGTTTCACTATGTTGGCCAGGCTGGTCTCATACTCCTCACCTCAGGTGATCCGCCCACCTCAGCCTCCCTAAGTGCTGGGATTACAGGAATGAACGACCGTGCCCGGCCAAGCCAATGGCAGGTTTAAAAGCAAGTAGTGAAAATTACCTTTTAGTATCTACCTGAACAAATGCCTTTCACTCCAGCCTAGGGCTCTAGGGTTGTCCCCCAAGTCACTGTGTTCTGAGGAGGATGGTGGATTGTATTTTTTTTTTTTTTTTAAGACAGGGTCTCACTCTGTCTCCCAGGCTGGAGTGCAGTGGTGCAATCTCGGCTCACTGCAGCCTAGATCTCCTGAACTCAAGCTATCCTCCCACCTCTGCCTCCCGAGTAGCTGGGAGCTACAGGCACATGCCACCATACCCAGCTAATTTTTGTGTTTTTTGTAGAGATGGGGTTTCACCATGTTGCCCAGCCTGGTCTCAAATTCCTGGGCTCAAGCGATTTGCCCACCTTGGCCTCCCAAAGTGCTGGGATTACAGGCATGAGCCACCATGCCTGGCCGGATCTTTTTAAGAACACTTTTGGCATATTTCGATAAAACTTTTAATCCTTTCATAGTATTTTCCAAGTGTTCACCATTCTATGGTTATAAAGCCCCGAACAAGTCCACCTAAGAAAACCAAAACCCACCATGTCCACTCGCAGGCGCTTGTCCAGTGGTCCTGGGCAACACATTCTTTTCACACAGCTGTCTTTCAAACTGCCTTCAGCTCTGGTAGAGTCTGGCCACCAAGGATTGGGGTGGGTTGGTTGATTACTCCACGAATCCTAAAATGTAAAGGTTGCAACAAATAGCACTTTTCACATCTTATACTGTTGTAAGGCACACATTTTAGACATTGTTACATTTCAAGTAGACAGCATTTGATGAAGTGTTTGTAAGATAGCTTTTAGATGCTTATAAATTCTGTAGCCAGCCATAACAGATGTTGGCTGGGAGAAAGAATGGAATTAAGTTTGTAAAAAGAAGTGGTTGGAAAAATTACAATGAATCATGAGAATGGATGTGAATCTTCTGTATTAGAAATTAGGGTTCTCTCTCTTGGGATTCTCTCTCTTACCTCAAAAGTACCCAGATCATGCTTGGACTAGGAGGCAAGTCATGGGTAATAATTGGTAGGTCAATTCTGGGGAGGTAAAATTTGCGGAATTTCCTGGATTACTGACATTGCCTGCGCTGTGAAAGAAAAAGGGAAAATGGTGGTCTTGCTTGATCAGATGTTAGAACTTGGAATTCACGGTGGGGATAAGGAGATGCACATTTTTGTGTCAAGGGCAGTGGATGGGACTCAAAATCAAGCTGGGTTGGAGGTGAAGTTAGGGAAAACCTGGAGAATGGAACTCTGGAATTAAAGCTTAGAATTGGAAAGGTCTAATTGCTCTCTGGGTGCAGGAGTTCCCATGGAAACCTTCCTGACAAGTAAATATCCACCCAGAACAGGGAGAAGATAAAGTGCTGTGGTTACAAGCACAGATGTGAGTTTCAATCTTAGCCCTACCGCTTACTAGCTGTGTGATCTTGGCCAAGTTAATTAACTTTAATTAAACAGTATGCCTATTGTCTCATTCTTAAATGTAGCTAATCATAGTATTAAATAATGTGCTAATACAGTGCCTGGTGTGAAGTAACCATAAAAAAATGGCAGGTGCCTCAGAAGGCAACCAACATAACAGGGACCCAAAGGTGACCAATAGTGGAATTTGGGCCAGGAGCAGTGGCTCATAGCTGTAATCCCAGCACTTTGGGAGGCCAAGGCGGGCAGATCACTTGAAGACAGGAGTTCAAGACCAACCTGGCCAACATGGTGAAACCCTATCTCTACTAAAAGTACAAAAAATTAGCCAGGGGCATTGGTGGGTGACTGTAACCCCCACTACTCAGGAGGCTGAGGCATGAGAATCACTTGAGGAAGGCAGAGGTTGCAGTGAGCCAAGATCGCGCCACTGCACTCCGGCCTGGGCAACACAGTGAGACTCTGTCAAAAAATAAATAAATAAATAAGGAAAGAAAGAGTGGGATTTGCTTGGGAGCAAAGACAGAGCCAGATAACTTCTACGCAAACACAGCACATTGATTTAATTAGCCCCATCCTGCTTCAAATACTTCTAAGTCATTCTGGCAAAACTCCATGAGGGTCAGTGACCTGGTAAAAATCGTGGAAGCTCAAGTTTCTTTATCTGAGGAGTTCAAGAGCTGGGGAAGGACGGGAATCACCCTAGGTCAGGAGACCATAGGTATCAAAGAATAAACATCAACTGAGGCTTTACTATGGATCCCACCACCTCTTCATTTACTCAGTCAGTTTCTTGGGCATCTACTAAGTGCCTGGCACTGTTCTAGGCACTTGGGGTTCTCCAGTGAATAAAGCAAAGAGGTCCCCAGCTCACTAAATAGCACAGCTTCCCAGTTGCTCAGTCCAAAACCTGTTGGAATCATTTTCTACTCTTTTTCTTGAACCTCACATCCATTTCGTCAGCAGATCCCGCTGTCTCTATTTCCACACTTTTCCAGAAACTGCCCCCTTCCCACCATCTTCACTGCTGCCGCTGGCCCAGGCCTCCATCATATCCCCACAGGGTCATCGCTATAGCTTCCAAGTGGCATGCCTGCCCCCGCACTTCCATGTCCCAGCACAGCACCTGGGTAATCTTGTCAGAACCTACACCTCCAATCCCTCTGCCGCTCCTCCCTCTCAGAGGAAAGGCGGAGTCCTCACCACAGCCCCTGGCTCCCACAGGCTGTGGCTCTTATTCCTTTTTGGGGTTCATCCCCTGCTACTCTATTCCCTCCCCCAAGCCTCACTGACCACCTTGCTGTCCCTCGGGCATGCCACAGCTCTGGGACTTTTGCCTTTGCAGTCCCCTTTTCTTGGAAGATCCATATTTCCTTGCCTCCTTCTCTTTGTCGGTGAGGCCTTCTCTGACTACCCAAATGAAAACAGGGATCCCAGGCCCACCCGGTACACCCCAGCCCCACCTCCAGGGTTCCAGCTATTCTCCTGCCTCAGCCTCCCAAGTAGCTGGAATTACAGGCACCCACCACCACACCCAACTAATTTTTGTATTTTTAGTAGAGACAGGGTTTCACCATGTTGGCCAGGCTGGTCTCGAACTCCTGACCTCAGGTGATCCACCCACCTCAGCTTCTCAAAGTGCTGGGATTACAGGCGTAAGACACTGCACCTGGACTGTTTCTCCATAACTCTTATCACCATCTGACATCCTCCCTACCCCATATACACATTATGTGCACACACACACACACACACACACCCCTACATACACACACACATAGATGCCAGCTTCCTGAGGGCAGGGCTGTCCATTAGTCACCCTTGTATCTCCATGTCTATAAGGCATGGCACACGGTAAGTGCTCCATAAATATTTATGGGATAAAAGAATGAATGGTGTGGGCCAGACTCTGTTAAGAGTGTTTTTTATTATTTCAAAAGTGCATACCAATATAAAATACTCAGTCCCTGTGGAAAACAATTTGGCAGTTCCTCAAAACATTAAACATAGAATTACCATGTGACCCAGCAATTCCACTCCCAGGTATATCCAAGAGAATTGAAAACATATGTTCACACAAAACCTCCTACATTCATGCTCAGAACAGCATCATTCATAATAACTGAAAAGAGGAAACAACCCAAATGTCCATTCACTGATGAAAGGTTAAACAAACATGATCTACACAATGGACTATTATGCGGCCATAAAAAAGAATGATGTACTGACGCATGCTGCAACTTGGATGAACTTTGCAAACATGGTAAGTGAAAAAAGTCAGTCGCAAAACGCCACAGAGTATATGATTCCATTTAAATGAAATTCCCAGAACAGGCAAATCCATGGACACAGAAAGTGGATTAGTGGTTGCCAGGGGTTGGGCAAGGAGAGAGTGGGGAGTGGCAGCTCGTGTGCACTGGGTTTCTTTCTGGAGTGTTGAAGAGGTTCTCGAATTAGATAATGGCGACGGTTGCATAACTCTGTGAAGATATGAAAAGCCACTAATTTGTACACTTCGAAATGGTTAAAATGGTGAATTTTATGTAAAGTTTATCTCAAAAAAAAAAAAAAAGTCAAACATACCTGCGGTAGGTATTCTTAACATCCCCATTTTACTGATGATAAAAGTGCGTGTCAGGGACCAGCTCTGCCAGGTGCCCAGCAACCCTGCACATCTCCACCGGGCTCGACGGCAACCTGACCTGCGTCTTGGTGGAACACCCTGCAACTCCTCATGGAGCAAGGGGCGTTAAGTGGCCCTGTGCATCGCTGCCGTGAGTGGTCTCACCTGCCTCCCCACCCTTTTGGAACTGCTGCAAGGCCATTTCTCATCGATCTTCCTAGTTTCTGTTGAGCGCAGCGCTTTCCTCCTCTCTCCCCACTCCCACAAGTTACGTCTGCAGGTGCCTGCTAAGTCTGTAGAGTGCTCGGTTGCAGTTGAGAGCTGGCTGCTGCACAGCAGGGCAACCCACTGTCCATGCCATCTGGTGTCCCAACCTTCCAGCCTTGTGTCCTCCTGTGGGACGAGGGACACAAGGAGCGACATGTCATGCTGATTTAGCTTTTGCTGTCTGCGTATGTAACAACCTGTCCAAATCCATGTGGCTCAATGTCTCCCTACAGACAAATCTATGGAAGTGTGGCTGGCCAGCCCCACAGCTGCAGGGGTAATCTCTACGGCCCCGTTAGCCCCTGCTGCTTTGGGAATGCTTGATGCTGAGATGAAATAAATGTTCCTGGGGCCCACCACTGCTGGAGGCAGGATCCCATCCCAGCTGGTCTGACTCAATTCAGACACAGTAAAAGCCATCTGGCAGGTTATCTGATATGACAGTAAATTAAAATGAAGACAGTTCTAGAAAAGACGAGATTTGTTCTAAAGTTTTTCTTTCTGATCTCTTCAAAATTTCTGCCTTATCTTTACTACAACAATTCAGAGAAGTCAAGGAACTCCAAAGCCTCTCTTAGGGGCATTTAGACAGTCATCTTTGGGGAAATATGGGGCTAGGACACGTAAAGTCACTCGATGACTTTTAGAAATATTAGCCTGTGACCACATATACATTTCTTCAGGATTAGAAATTAAACTGGCAGTCTTTACACTATAGTTAAACATTGTCTCCAAAATTGCCCCTGCAGTTTCCAAAAGTTGAAAGCCCTCACCCATTAGGGACATTTGAGTCATGGCACCTTACCTAGGCCTTCTTCAACCACAACCCTGATCTTCCAGCTGCCTCTTCTGTCCTCAAGACAGAAGCTCGCCTAATCCTTGGAACAAGAGGCAGCAGATCCTGAGAAGTTTCTGCTTGTGTTTGTCGGCAAGGAGATGGCTTCAGCAGTGGTAGGGGCGTAGGCAGGGGCAGGGCTGCCCCCTTAGTCTGTGAGGCTGGTGATCGGCCACAGTGAATTGGCTCCATATCCACGAAGAGGCAAGGAGGCTCTGCTCTAGTGACCCAGGTCCAAACCTGGGAAGCTCCAGATCTGGGACAAGCTCCAGATCAGGCCCAGGCTAGCCGTGTGACGTTGGAGCAGCTGCTTAACTCTGAGCCTGCCCCTCCTGCTGCACAAGTCCCTGCTGGCTGTGTGGATGAGCAGAAATAATGTCCATGAAGGCATCACAAGGTCTCAAATGGAAGGCTCCAACAACTGGTTCAGTGAAAAAAAGGTTTGGAGAAAATACACATTTCCATGACCCCAACTGTGGAGAAATCTTTCTGTCCTTCTAGCTTTAAGAGTAGCAGAGCACTGTCTGGTGAGGAACTTTTCCTCCCGAACAGTCTCAAAATCGAAGCTCTGAGCACACTGAGCCAGGCCTTCCCTCATCTCTTCCTCTTCTGCACATTTGCTCAACTGTGATCTGAGTCAAGCCAGCAAGATCCAAGCTAGTCTAGCAAAGCATTTTCCAAGCAGCCTTGGAAAGGGGTTGGCCTCGTGAGGACACTGATTCCTAATATTTGCAGTTGGCTTTGCAGAGCTCTCATTACAGCGAAGGTGTGAGGGTGTCTGTTGCCACCCGCTTTTGAGAGAGAGGCACTGAGCACTACAACAGCACAGCTAATGTTTATTGGACCCTTCGTTCGATCCAGGAATTTAGATGGACTATTTTATTTAATTATTTCCATTAACCTGCTACCATTATCCCATTTTGGAAAGAACACAACGGAGGCCCAGGAGGGGTAAGGATTCTGTCCTGCAGTCCGAGGCCAGCAGGGCTGTGTTTCCCAGCACCGTGAGGGTCTTTACAGTTTGGGACCAAACAAGGGTGAAGTTCAGGACGGGGCCACGTGAGGGCGGTGGACTAACATGAAACAGAAAAGCAATCCGTTGCCCAAACGCCGGACAACTCCCAAAGGTCCTTGTTAACATCTATTTGATTTCTATTTATTTTCCAGGCAGCTGTGGGAATTGGGTAAAAGTGTGGTGTCTGGGGCCAGACTGCCTGGGGTCGATGCTGCCTCCATTATTTACCGACTGTGTAATCCCAGGAAAATTAGTTACCCTTCCTGTTTACCCTCCCTGAGCTTGCTTCTGCCTCTGTAAAGTGGCCCAGTTAGCAACCGGCAGGCCAGGACTCCAGAGCTACGGAGGACAAGTGGTGGCGCGATTATCGTAGCGAGCAGCACGGTGGGAGTGGCGCTAACGGTCAGTTCAGAAGACACTTCTGGAGATGGTTAATAGAACTTGGTATAAACAAACGGCGAAATACTTGCATTAGCCAACAGAGTGCTATTCAAATTGAACCATCAAAAGAAATCAAGGATGGGTGATGATGAAGCTGAGGATAGTTGCTCCAATAAAAAGTCGCTCTCCTTTGCCCAGTTTCTACACTGGGTCAGTTTTTGAACCCAGAACCCACTGATTGAAGCAGCGCCTGCAACTCCAGCAGGAAGAATCCTGCGACACGTGGCAATTGAACATGTAATGACTCCTTCAGGCCTTCCCTCAAAGGGACCTAAGACTATTTACTTGGGTAATTGAGCACTGGGGAAAAAAAATACTAAACATCTTGAGGACAATTAGACACAGACTTATAGTAGATATGAATAACCTTAGATCCCAAGTGTAATCATGGCCCCTGTTAGAATTAGGCACATACAGGCTGGGCACAGTGGCGCATACCTATAATCTCAGCACTTTGAGAGATTAAGAGGGGAGGATCACTTGAGGCCAGGAGTTGGAGACCAGCCCGGGCAGTATAGGAAGAACCTATCTCTACAAAAAATTTTAAAATTAGCCAGGTGTGGTGGTGCACGCCCGCAGTTCCAGCTACTCAGGAGGCGAGGCGGGAGGACCACTTAAACCCAGGAGTTCAAGGCTGCAGTGACCTATGATCATGTCAGGGTACTCCAGCCCAGCCTGGGCCACAGAGCAAGAAGCTGTCTCTAAAAACAAAAAACAAAAAACAAAAAAACGGAATAAGAGCATATAGCGACTAGGTATAAATGGAGTTCTGGCTAAACTCCAGCTCAGAATATGTCCATTGAGCAGTGGGCATTTCCTCAGTTCCCAAATGTATATGAAATAGAGATTCTTGGTAGTTGGCCTAATCTCAACAGTTCTTTTCATTATAGCAGTTTGAATGGGTGTGTAGTGGTTCTCAATGTGGATTAAATTTGCTTTTCCAAATTGACTATATTGAGCATCTTTCATGTGCTTATAGTTATTTGTATATCCTCTTTGGTGAAATGTCTATTTTGTACATATTTTAATTGGGTTGGCAGTTTACCTTGTTACTGAATTGATTTCTTTTTTTATTTCCCTTGAGACAAGGTCTCGCTCTGTTGCCCAGACTGGAGTGCAGTGGCACGAACTCAGCTCACTGCAGCCTTGACATCCCAGCCTGGAGATATCCTTCCACCTCAGCCTCCCAAGTAGATGGGACTATAGGCACACACCACTGTCTCGCTCTGTCGCCCAGGCTGGAGTGCAGTGGGGCGATCTCAGCTCACTGCAACCTCCTTCTCCCAGGTTCAAGCGATTCTCATACCTCAGCCTCCTGAATAGCTGGGACTACAGGCGCGCACCACCACGCCTGGCTAATTTTTTGTGTATTTTTAGTAGAGACAGGGTTACATCATGTTTGCCAGGCTGGTCTTGAACTCCTAAAGCCCCCTATAATAGTGAATATGGCTCCTATTAATAAGACGTAGTGGAAGTGGGCTACAACATAGTATCTGTCATATAACACAATGTCTAATGATGAGTTGGCTAGTACAGTGCCGGTTAGGCCTCCTACCATAAAAAGGAAAATAAATCCTAGGGCTCACAGCATTGCGGGGGATCATTTGGTATTGCTGCCGTGAAGCATAGCAAGTCAGCTAAAAACTTTGATGCCTCAAATTATCCACCTGCCTTGGCCTCCCAAAGTGCTGGGATTACAGGCATGAGCCACTGCGCCTGGCCTAATTTTGTTCATTTTTTGTATGAACAAGGTCTCACTATGTTGCCCAGGCTGGTCTCAAACTCCTGGACTCAAGTGATCCTCCTGCCTCAGACTCCTGAAGTACTGGGATTACAGGTATGAGCCACTGTGACCAGTCAGGGTTGAATTCTTTATATATTCTGGATACAAGTCCTTATCACATATATACTGTGCAAATAATTTTTCCCAGTCTGTGGCTTAGCTTTTCATTTTCTTTCTTTCTTTCTTTTTTTCTTTTTCTTTTTTTTTTTTTAGATGGAGTCTCTCTCTGTTGCCCAGGCTGGTGTGCAGTGGCAAGATCTCAACTCACTGCAACCTCTGCCTCCCGGGTTTAAGCAATTCTGCCTCAGCCTCCCGAGTAGTTGGGACTACAGGCGCGTGCCACCACGCCCAGCTAATTTTTTGTATTTTTACTAAAGAAGGGGTTTTCACCGTGTTAGCCAGGATGGTCTCAATCTCCTGACCTCGTGATCCGCCCGCCTCGGCCTCCCAAAGTGCTGGGATTACAGGCGTGAGCCACCGCTCCCAGTCTCTCTTTTTTTTTTTTTTTAAACTGGGTCTCACTCTGTTGCCCAGGCTGGAGTGCAGTGGTGGAATCTCAGCTCACTGCAGCCTCTGCCTCCTGGGTTCAAGGGATTCTCATGCCTCAACTTCCCAAGTAGCTGGGACTACATGTATGTGCCACCACATCCAGCTAATTTTTGTATTTTTAGAAGAGACAAGGTTTCACTGTGTTGGCCAGGCTGGTCTCGAACTCCTGACCTCAAGTGATCCGCCCGCCTCAGCCTCCCAAAGTGCTGAGATTACAGGCATGAGCCACCACGCCCAGTGCTTTTCATTTTCTTAATGGCATCTTTCACAGAGAAGTTTTTAATTTTAATGAAACTCAATTTTTCTTTTATGGATCATGCTTTTGGTGTCATGTCTAAGAATTATTTGCCTAACACCAGGTCATGATGTTTTTTTCCTGTTTTCTTCTAAAAGTTTTATAATTTTATTTTATACATTTACATCTATAATCAAGTTTATTTTACCACCAAATTCTATTACATCATCCAAGAACTACACAATTACATTTTTATTGAGTTTAAATTCACATAATATAAAGGTAACCATTTTATTTTTTATTTATTTATTTTTTTTGAGGCAGAGTTTCACTCCTGTTGTCCAGGCTGGAGTACAGTGGCGTGATCTTGGATCACTGCAACCTCTGCCTCCCAGGTTCAAGCAATTCTCCTGCCTCAGCCTCCCAAGTAGCTGGGACTACAGGCATGCACCACTACGCCTGGCTAATTTTTTGTATTTTTAGTAGAGACTGAGTTTCACCATGTTGACCAGGCTGGTCTTGAACTTCTGGCCTCAGGTGATCCACCCACCTCGGCCTCTCAAAGTGCTGGGATTACAGGCATGAGCCACGAGCCACTGTGCCCGGCCAAGTTAACCATTTTAAAGTGGACAATTCAGTGGCATTTAGTGCATTTACAATGTTGAGCAACCACCACTTCTATTTCTAAAACATTTTCATCACTCCAGAAAACCCACTCAGTGATTACTCTCCATTCTCTCTTCCCCACAACCCCTGACAACCACCAATCTGGTTTGTTTCTATAGATTTACCTATTCTGTACATTGCATATAAATGGAATCATACAATATGTGACCCTCTGTTCTTTTACTTAGCATGTTCTCAAGGTTCATCCATGTGTACCATGTATCAGTACTTCATTCCTTTTTCCTGCTGAATATCCCAGTGCATGTGTGTCCCTCGATTTGTTTCTCCATTCATCCACTGAGGGACATTTGGGTGGTTTTTACCTTTAGGCTGTTGTGAATAACACTGCTATGAACACATGCATACAAATATTAGTTTGACTACTTTTTTTCAGTTCTTTCAGGTAAATGCCCAGGAACGGAATGGCTGGGTCAAATGATCATTCTATGTTTAACTTTTTGAGGATCTGCCAAACTGCTTTCCACAGTGGCTGCACCATTTTACATTAATCCCAGCAATATGCAGGGATTCCAATTTAGGTTTTTAAATCAGAAAAACTTTCTCATCAACACTTGCTATTTTCTGGTGTTTAAAAATTATTCTCGTACTAGTAAATATGCAGTGGTATCTCACTGTGGTTTTTGGTTTGCGTTTTCCTAATGACTAATGATGTTGAACATCTTTCCATGTGCTTATTGGTCATTTGTATCACTTCTTTGGAGAAATGCCTATCCAAGTCCTTTTGCTCATTTTTGAATTGGGTTGTTTGTCTTTTCGCTTTTGAGTTCTAAGAGTTCTTTATGATTTGCAAACATCTTCTACCATTCTGCAAGTTGTCTTTTTACTTTCCTCATAATGTCTTTTGATACACAGAAACTTACAGTTTTCATAGTTCAATTTATCTATTTTTTCTTTTGTTGCTCATGCTTTTGTTGTCACATTTGAAAATCCACTGGCAAATCCAAGGTCATGAGACTTCCCATATGTTTACTTCTAAGAGTTTTATAGTGTTATCCCTTCTAGCCAGGTTGTTGATCCACTTTGAGTTAATTTTTAAATTTGTAAAAATATTTTTTTTATTTTTTTTTGTCTCTCTCTGGCTCCCAGGCTGAAGTGCAGTGGCACAATCTTGGCTCACTGAAACCTCTGCCTCCTGGGTTCAAGCAATCCTCCAACCTCAGCCTCCCGAGTAGCTGGGACCACAGGCTTGTGCCACCATGCCTGGCTAATTTTTGTATTTTTTGTGGAGATGGGGTTTCGCCATGTTGCCCAGGCTGATCTTGGGAGTTCAAGCAATCTGCCCGCCTCGGCCTCCCAAAGTGCTGGGATTACAGGCATGAGCCACCGCACCCAGCCCAATTTTTAAATTTTTTAATTTGTGTGGGTACAATAGTAGGTATACATATTTATGGGGTACATGAGATGTTTTGATACAGGCATGCAATGCATAATAATCACATCATGGAAAATGGGGTATCTATCCCCTCAAGTATTTGAGTTAATTTTTGTATATTGTATGAGATAAGAATGAAAAAACTCATTCTTTTGTATGTGGATTTGTTGAGCAACATTTGTTAAGGAGACAGTCTTTCCTCAGTTGAATGGTCTTGTTACATATGTTAAAAATCAATTGACCCTAAGTGAATGGGTTTATTCCTGGACTCTCAATTTTATTCCATTTTTCTACATGTTTATCCCAGTGGCAGTACTATACTGTTTCAATTACTGTAGCTTTTTTTTTTTTTTTTTTTTTTTTTTTTTTTTTTTTGAGACAGAGTCTTGCTCTGTCGCCCAGGCTGGAGTGCAGTGGCATGATCTCGGCTCACTGTAACCTCTGCCTCCCGGCTTCAAGCGATTCTCCTGCCTCAGCCTCCTGAGTAGCTGGGATTACAGGTGTGCGCCACCAAGCCCGGCTAATTTTTATATTTTTAGTAGAGACAGGGTTTCACCATGTTGGCCAGGCTGGTCTTGAACTCCTGACCTCATGATGCCCATGCCTCGGCCTCTCAAAGTGCTGGGATTACAGGCATGAGCCACCGTGCCCGAACGATTACTGTAGCTCTATAGTTAGTGTTTAAATCAGAAAATATGAGTCCTCCAACTTTGTTCTTCATTTTCAGTATTGTTCTGGCTACTCAATGTTTCTAAAAATATCATATGAATTTGAGAACTGGCTTTCCCATTTCTTCAAAAAAAAATAGGCAGAATTTTAATAGAGATTGCAGTGAATCTCTAGATAGCTTTGGGTAGTACTACCATCTTAAGGGTAAGTCTTCCAATTTATGCACATGGGATGTCTTTCCACTTATTTAGGTCTTCCTTAAGGTCTTTCAGCAATGTTTTATGGTTTGCAATATACAAGTCTTTCACTTCCTTGGTTAAATTTATTCCTAGATATTTTATTCTTTTAGAAGCTACTGTAAATTGAATTATCCATAATAGCATATAGAAACACAACTCATTTTCATGTGTTGATTTTGCACCCACAAGTTGCTAAAATTGTTTATTAGCAATAGTAGTTTTGTGACTTACTTGGGATTTTCCAAATATAGGATCATGTCATCTGCAAATACAGATAGTTTTACTTCTTCCTTTTTCAATTTGGGTGGTTTTCATTACCTTTTCTTGCCCAATTGCCTGGCTAGAACTTCTAGTACAATGTTGAATAGTCGTGGTGAAAATGGACATCATGTCTTGTTCTTGATCTTAGAGGAAAGCTTTCAGTCGTTCACCATTGACTATGATGTTAGCTGTGGGTTTCTCAGAAATGCCGTTTATTAGATTGAGAAATTCCCTTCTATCCCTAGTTTTCTGAGTGTTCTTACCATGAAAGGTGCTTGGATTTTGTGAAATGTTTTTTTGATCATGATCTCATGATTTTCTTCTTTTGCTCTATTAATGTGGTATATTACACTGATTGATTTTTTTTTTATGTTGAACCACCCTTTCATTCCTGGGATAAATCTGACTTGGCCATGGTGTTTTAATATGCTCTTGGATTCAGTTTGCTAGTATTTTGTTGAGGATTTCTGCACCTATGTTCATAAGGGCCACCCTCTATAGTGTTCTTTTCTTGTGGTGTCCTTGACTTGCTTTGGTATCAGGATAACACTGACCTCATAAGATGAATTAAAAAGTGTTCCCTCTTCTAAATTTTGGAAGAGTTTGAGAGGTACTGGCATTAGTTTCTCTGTATTTGTAGAATTCACCAGTGAAGCTATCTGGCCCTGGACTTTTCTTTGTTTGGAAGTTTTTGATTATTAATTCAATCCCTTTAATTGTTATAGGTCTGTTCAGATGTTTTATGTCTTCTGAGTAAGTGTGGTAGTTTGTGTTTTTCAAAGAATTTGCCCATTTTACCAAGGTTATTTAACTTATTAGTGTACAATTATTCATAGTATTTTCTTATGATCCTTTTTAGTTTTGTAAAGTCAGTAGTAATACCCACACTTTTGTTCCTGATTTTAGTTATTTGCATCCTCTATCTTTTTTCTTTGTTGGTGTAGCTAAAGGTTTGCCAGTTTTGTTGATCTTTTAAAGAACCAATCTTGGTTTTAGTGGTTCTCTCTATTGTTTTTCCATTCTCGATTTCATTTATCTCCATTTTTTTATTATTAATTTCTTATGCTAGCATTGGGTTTAGTTTGCTCTTCTTTTTCTAAGTTTCTTGAAAAGTTGGGCTAGGTTATTAATTTGAGATCTTTCTTCTTTTTTAATGAGGTCATTAACTATTATAAATTTCCCTCAAAACACTGCATTTCATAAGTTTTGATGTATTGTTTATATATATATATATATTTTGTTGTTGTTTGTTTGTTTTTGGAGTCAGGATCTTATTCTGTTACCCAGGCTGGAGTGTAGTGACAAGATCTTGACTCACTACAAACTCCCCCTCCCAGGCTCAAGCAGTCCTCCTACCTCAGCCTCCTCAGTAGCTGGGTCTACAGGCATGTGCCACCACGCCCGGCTAATTTTTTGTATTTTTGGTAGAGATGGGTTTCACTATATTGCTCAGGCTGGTCTTGCACTCCTGAGCTCAAGCAATCCACCACCTCGGCCTCCCAAAGTGCTGGGACTACAGGTGTGAGCCACTACATCCAGCCTGTTTTTATATTTTTCATTCATCTCTAAGTATTTTTAAATTTCCTTTGTGATTTCTTCTTTTTTTTTTCTGGGCACCCCCCGAACCAGAACAGGTTCAGAGCAACTCCCAAGTGATTTCTTCTTAAACAACCATTGGTTAAGAGTAAGTTTAATTTCCACATATTCGTGACTTTTTCAGTTTTCTTTCTGTGATTCATTCTTATTTTTATTCCATTGTATTCAGAAAAGATATATTGTATGATAATTCAATCTTTTAAAATTTATTAAGACTTCTTTTGTGGCCTAGCAGAGGTCTATCCTGGAGAATGATCTATATGCACTTGAGAAAAATGTGTATATGCATACACATATGTTTCTATACATAACATAACATTGACCATTTTAACCATTTATTTATTTATTTTTATTTTTTGAGATGGAGTTTCACTGTTGTTGCCCAGGCTGGAGTGCAGTGGCACAATCTCAGCTCACTGCAACCTCCGCCTCCCGAGTTCAAGCTATTCTCCTATCTCAGCCTCCCAAGTAGTGGGGATTATAGGGGTGCACCACCACACCCGGCTAATGTTTTGTATTTAGTAGAGATGGGGTTTCACTGTGTTGGTCAGGCTGGTCTCGAACTCCCGACCTCCTGTGATCCACCCGCCTTGGCCCCCCAAAGTGCTGGGATTACATGCGTGAGCCACTGTGCCTGACCATTTTAACCATTTTTAAGTGTACAGTTTAATGGTATTACAATGTTATCCAACCATCACTATCCATTTCCAGAACTTTTTCATCATCGCAAACAGAAACTCTGTACCCATTAAAAAATAACTCCCTGTTATCCCCTCCCCTCAGCCCCTGGTAACTTGTATTATACTTTCCGTCTTTATGAATTTGCTTTTTAGTGGTACCCCAAGCTATGCCCTGGTCCTTCCTGGGGAGGGAGACAGGGCCATTCCACACAGACAGAACAGCCCGCCACAGCACTGTTATGAGCGCCAGGTACGAACCAGGCTTGTGGAACCTGTTATCTCTGGTCCCATTTCAGGCTTAGGGTTTCTTTAAGTTGTGATTAAAAAAAAAAAAAAAAAAGACAGAAAATAGAATTTGGGAGTAGATAACTTCTTGGGGAATTAATGTCGGGAGAATATAGCTGCCATCATTGCCAGGCTCACCTCACGCCTCCTGTCATTTTATGATCTGGCCTGCGACCCCTCACCCATAGTCAGGCTCTTATTCTAGGACCCACCTCCCAAGACAGACCTTGTTAATAACAGTCAAGAAGGCTTTTCAGCATTTTTTAAATTTACTTGTTTGTTTATTACAGACAGGGTCTCACTATGCTGCCCAGGCTGGTCTCAAACTCCTGGTCTCAAGCAATTCTCCCACCTGGCCTCCCAAAATGCTGGGATTACAGGCGTAAGTCACCAGGTCCAGTCCCAGCATTCATGTTTAAGATTTATCATGCCAGGCAAGGTACTAAACGCTTTGCAGTCACCACCACAATATCTCATGGGATCTTCCTGACAAGTCTTTGAGGAAGGCATTATCATCCCATCCTACAGATAAAGAGACTAAAGGTCAGAGAGGTTGATCATTGCCCCAGGACACTAGTTAAACAGATGAACAGATGCTCCTTTCGGAAACCATCTCTAGAATAGCCCTGATGCTCAGACAGAAAGCATCACAAGGAAGTACTCTATCTAGCTAGCTGTCTTCTCTCTCTTGGCTGTCTTGTTCCCAAACTCTGGCCTTCATGTGACCCCAGCCCTGCCTCTTCTTCTATGAGGAAGACCCCTTACCATTACACATCCCCTTTCACTGCCCCTGGCTCTGCCCGCAGTCCCCCTCCCTGGTCATACCAGAAAGCAGTCTTTGCAGCCTGAGCCCAGCCTGATTCTTCACTAGTGACAACTGAATCCTTAAGAATCTTCAAGTTCGTCTCTGTCCCAAGAGAAGCAGGGCAGGGCTGAGAAAGGATGATGACAGAGATTGGGTCCTTGGGAGGGAACCGCAGACTTCACCGGCAGGGAGAGGACTTTGCACCCAGAGAGGGAAGCCTGGGACTTGGTCCTAGACCATGGCCCATGGCAAGAGGTCAGCACAGCTTGTGGAGCTACAGGCCTGTGTGGTGCTGTTGGAGGACCAGGCAAGCTGCAGTCAGGGTCCTAGGGCCTTAAGGTGGCCCAGGGAAGGATTCAGTACACTGGGAAGTCAGATGGGAGGGCAGCTGGGGTGTGCATGGCCTGTCCACAGGCTCTGCTTGTCCTCAGGATGGAGCTTACAGGCAGAGGACACAGGTGGCTGAAAGTGCACAGGACCTGCCCAGGAGCCTCGGAGTTGGGCAGTGTCCTGGGCCAATAGCTTGGAGTAGGAACTGAAACCAGCACAAATTCTCACATCTGGACCCTGTGGTCGGAAATGCGTAGGAAGAGATGGAGGCAGGGGCTGAGATGGGAGCCACTGGACCTTACGACTCACTGGCCTCCTTTCTCAGGCAGCTGAGTTTTAAATTTTATTTAACAAATATTTATTTAAGATTTACTGTGTATCGGCTGGGTGCGATGGCTCATGCCTATAATCCCAGCACTTTGGGAGGCCGAGACGGGCAGATCACGAGGTCAGGAGACCAGCCTGGCCAACATGGTGAAACCCCGTCTCTACTAAAAATACAAAAATTAGCCAGGCATGGTGGCACACGCCTGTAATCCCAGCTACTTGGGAGGCTGAGGCAGGAGAATCGCTTGAACCCAGGAGATGGAGGTTGCAGTGAGCCAAGATCGCGCCACTGCACTCCAGCCTGGGCAATAGAGCGAGACTCCATCTCAAAAAAAAAAAAAAAAAAGATTTGCTATGTATCAGTAAGCGTTTTATATACACTAATGCATTTAATCCTCACAACCCTCAGGAAGGAATTATTAACTCCATTTTACACATGAGAACGCTAAGGCACAGAGAGGTTAAGTGACTTGCCCAAGATCACCCAGGATAGGGATTCAAACACAATCAGCCTGGTTGTAGGGTCCTTGCTCTTTACCACCAGGAGGGGAAATAATGGGCTTTTTCTCCTTCTAAAAAGGAAATATCTCTTGTTTTTCCTGATTTTGAAAGGAACTAAAAAGACACAAAAATATTTAAACAAGATAAAAGGGTATAAACAGAAAGAAGTCTCTCCAGTAGCCCTTGTTAGACATAGAGAAGTTTACTTCTGGTTTATAATGTTGCATATTATAACTAGCTCTTGGGAGATTCAATTTGCAAATCAAAATGACAGGCAGGCCCAGTGTGTGTTGCAAGACTGGGAAATTATGGAAAGCGAGGACTTGGACAGGGAGGAGGCAGCATTGGGAGTAGTGCGTAGTAACTTGTGATGTCTCTAGAACGAAAAGCCATGAAGGGCATGTTCCAGGGGGGGTCTAAGGAAGCCCAGAGGCCCAGGGGTGGGAGGCTTTGGCACTTATGAATATTCCAGGCTGGCTGTTGGGCCTTCAGGAGCAGAGCCTGGCCCTCGGCAGTGGGCACAGCTGGGGCCTCAAGCTGGCAGGCTGCAGAGGACATCCAGCTTGGCTGATCTGACCCCCTCTCCTGCCCCCTCCCAGCTCATCGCCTGGGTCTGGGGCTGGCAGGGGAGAGTGAGCTCCCCTAGGCCCCACCCAGCTTCCCTTAATGAGCCCCACTAGGAGCTCCAGCTGTCAATCACCCTGGCTCCTGGCACAGCCCAAATGTGCCTTCGGCCTTCATATTAGGACGAGGCTGGTGAGCAAAGATGCTGGGCATAGCAGCAGCAGGTCTGTTCAGGAGGGCAGTGATTAAGGACCAGCATTTCCTAGGGGATGAGTGTCTCCAGCTCCAATGAGAAGTGGGGCCCCTAAACTGTTGGATTGTTTTCCTTTCCTGGCACTTCCAAGAAGCCCAAGGCTACCTTTCTCTCCAGGGTCCCCACAGAGTGTGAGGTGTCTGGGGGAGAGAATAGAGCTTGCAGGCGAAGCACAGATCAGTTCATGCCCTCACAGGATGAGCGTAGAGCCTGGAAGATGGCGAGCAGCCAAGCAGCCAAAATCAGAGAGCCTGGAGGGGAAGGAGAGCAGAGCAGGTGCTCAGGAGCCACCTGGAGATGTCACAGTCTGCTCTGCCATCCGCCCTTCTCCGGGAACCTGCAGCTACAGGGCCATGCATTGAACCACAGGACCCAGGTCTGGAGGGCCTCAAGTCTGTGCCCTTGGTTTCAGGAAGGCTCATTAAGTCCAGCAGCTCAAGGAGAGGGAATTACATCACACTTATGAACACTCAGAGGTGAGGACATAGAGGGCCCTCTCAAAAGCTGCCTACCACAGTCCACTCTTTGGCCCCCAAAGATTCAGAACTCCCTCACAGACAAAACGCATTAACTCCTTCCCAAGGTGCCCTAAATTCTCCTTCCATTTCAGCATCAGCTGAAAGTCCAGTTCCGCATCATCATCTCAATCAGGTCCAGCTGTGATGGGAGCGCCTGGGGTGTAGCTCCAACTTTCAAGTGTGTTTCCTCTCCATCTGTGGATTCATGAAACCAAAGAGACCAGATGTCTGCCCTGCACCAATCCACCTGACATGCAGTGGTGGGACAGACATGGATCACAGCTGTAGAGATTCCTGCTCAAAAATTGGGAAAATGAGAGGTAAGAAAACCACTGGTCCACAAAAATTCTCAAATCCAGCTGACTAAAATATTGGGAGTTCCTTGATGAGGTTTCAAGACTTAGGAATAATTCTCCATGACTTTTGGCTGCATCTTTTAGGCTCTTGGCTCGGCCTCTGAGCCATCCCTCCTTTATCATAAAAGGTAACAATCCTTTGCACCTGAATGGTTTTCTCAGCCTGTTTCCTTCCAGTAAAATGTTGGAGGTCCAATAGACTTCTTTCATTTTGTACATCTTGGTCCCTTTCAGCCCAAACTGGCAGTATTTCTGCTTAGATAATTTTCTCAAAAACTTTGTGCATTTTCTGTGAATCTCACCAGGGTTCACTCTATTTGTCAAAAGTCTTGGGCTACTGCTGGGGGCCGATGCTCTTAAACTTTCTGGAGGGCCTATTGTTTTATTGGAAAGAATCAGGGAGGGACACCCTAATTCTCCTGAAAGAGCCCCATATGTGACTGAGTAATACTCTGATTCTTTGGTCTTTCTGAGTTTTTTGTTGTTGTTGTTTTCTTTTTGAGATGGAGTCTTGCTGTGTCGCCCAGCCTGGAGTGCAGTGGCGCGATCTCTGCTCCCTGCAAGCTCCACCTCCCGGGTTCACAGCATTCTCCTGCCTCAGCCTCCTGAGTAGCTGGGACTACAGGCGCCCGCCACCACGCCCCGCTAATTTTTTTGTATTTTCAGTACAGACGGGGTTTCACCGTGTTAGCCAGGATGGTCTCAATCTCCTAACTTCGTGATCCAACCGCCTCGGCCTCCCAAAGTGCTGGGATCACAGGCGTGAGCCACCGCGCCCGGCCCTGAGTCTTAATGAAAGGTTGTAGAGTCACACTCTTGCCTTTATTTTATTACCAGACCATGTTTTTCTGCCAGTGCCCAGAAGTAATACTTTTTTTCTTTTTAGAAATGGGGTCTCACTCGACCATCCTGGCTAACATAGTGAAACCCCGTCTCTACTAAAAATACAGAACAAATTAGCCGGCCATGGTGGCGGGCGCCTGTAGTCCCAGCTACTGGGGAGGCTGAGGCAGGAGGATGGCATGAACCCGGGAGGCGGAGCTTGCAGTGAGCCGAGATTGCGCCACTGCACTCCAGCCTGGGCAGCAGAGAGCGAGACTCTGTCTCAAAAAAAAAAAAGAAAGAAAGAAAGAAATGGGGTCTCACTCTGTTGCCCAGGCTGGAATGCAGTGGCACAATCTTGACTCACTGCAGCCTCAACCTCTCAGGCTCAAGTGATCCTGCCACCTTAGCCTCTGTAGTACTAGGACTACAGGTATGCACCACCATACCCAGCTAATTTTTTTTATTTTTGTAGAGACAGGGGTCTCACTATGTTGCCAAGGCTGGTCTTGAACCTCTGGGCTCAAGCAACCCTCCTGCCTCAGCCTCCCAAACTATAGGAATTATAGGCGTGAGTCACTGCACCCAGCCAAGAAGCCATTTCTTAACTTTCATATAGTTTGCCATCTAGAGAGACTGCAAACTTTCAAAATCATAAAGTCCTGGCTTCTTTTTTGTTTAATAGTTTTTTGTTTTTTTGTTTTTTGTTTTTTTTTTGAGACGGAGTCTCACTCTGTTGCCCAGACTGGAGTGCAGTGGCTGGATCTCAGCTCACTGCAAGCTCCACCTCCTGGGTTCATGCCATTCTCCTGCCTCAGCCTCCCAGGTAGCTGGGACTACAGGTGCCCGCCACCACGCCTGGCTAGTATTTTGTATTTTTAGTAGAGATGGGGTTTCACCATGTTAGCCAGGATGGTCTTGATCTCCTGACCTAATGATCCACCCACCTCGGCCTCCCAAAGTGCTGGGATTACAGGCATGAGCCACCACACCTGGCCTGTTTAATAGTTTTAATAGTCCTTCCTTTGATTTATCTTTCATCTCTTGCAATTTACTATAAGCAGCAAGAAGAAACCAGGAGACACCTTCAATACTTCACTTGAAAATCTTCTTAACTAAATCACCTAGTTCATTAGCCACGTATTCTGGCTTCCACATGATTTCAGATTGACATGTCACTAAGCTTTCTGTCACTATACAATAAGCACACACCCATCCTTCCTCTAGTTTCTAATAATATTTTCCTCATTTCCTTTTTAGCCCCCACTGGCAGCCTCCTCAAAGTCAAGATGTTTACTAACAATGTGTTCAAGGCAATTTAGGCTTTTTCTAATATGCTCCTCTAAATCTTCCCAGTCTGTGCACACCAAGGGTTCCAAAGCTGCTCCCACACTTTTAGGTGTTAGTTAGCAGCAGCCTCCTATTTCCAGTTACCAAAATCTGTATTTGTTATTGATGGAGGCACAACAAATTACCCCAAAATGTAATGACTTATAACAACAACATTATTACCTCATAGTTTCTGTAGGTTGAAACTATGGCATGCAGATTGCATGGCTTGCTACAATCAAGGTGTTGGCTGGGGCTGTGGTCTCATCTGAAAGCTTGACAAAGGAAGGCTCCAGTTCCATGCTTACTCACATTATTGTTGACAGGATTCAGTCCCTCAAGTGTTGTTGGACCAAAGACCTCAGTTCATTGCTTGTTGTAGGCTAGCAGCCACCCTCAGTCTATTGTCATGTGGGTCTCTCCATCAGACAACTCACAACATGGCAGCTTGCTTCATCACAGCAAGCCAGTAAGATGAGCCAGAAAAAGAAAGTCTGGACAAGACAGAATTCACACTCTTTTGTAACCTAAGCTAGGAAATCAATTTACCATATTCTATTTGTTAGAATCAAGTGACTGGGTCCATCCCATGTTCGATGGGAGGGGATTACATGAGGATGTGAATACCAGGAGGTGGAGATTTTTTGGAGCCAGTTCAGAAGCTGCCTACTACATAAGCCTTTTTGAAGCTCTCCCCTCCTATGGATTTGAAAACACCACACTTGCCAAGTTCTCCCCCTTCTCAGCCTCCAGAGATATTGGTGGGCCTCAGCTGTCTTCTCATACACATCTTCTCCCTAGTTGAACTTAATTCCATTGCTACTAGTGATTCTGGGATTCACGCCATTAGAAGTACTCAGAGGTATTAAGCTGACCAGAAGACAAGGCAAGACCTCCTAAAAGGTACAAGGAGTAATATAGTGAATAACCATGTCCTCATCACCAGTTTAAGAAATAAAACAAACAATACCAGTTCAGTCCCTGGGCCCCCCTTTCTATTTCTATTTATATTTTATATTTTCAGCCTTCTCTTCAGGCTGCTGTCCTGAGTTTGGTGTTTATTGTTATTATGCATTTCTTCATATTCTTACTACATATGTAGGCATTCTTAAGTCATGTTTATTGTTGTTTTGCATGTTTTAAACTTTTTGCAAACATAGTCATGTTATATGTATTTCTCTGCAACTTGCTTTGTGTTTACTCTTATTATGTATACTTGCCCATATTAATACTTGTGGGTCTGGTTTATTCTTTTCCACTGTTGCATAGTATTCCATTGCATAAACATACCACAATTATGCTATTAATGAACATTTAGTCTGTTTCCAATGAGTTCTTTTATAAACAATGCACAATGAATATTCTATGTCTCTATTAGCCATATGCGGAAGAGTTCCTGTAGAGTATGGGCTACAAATAAAATGTAGGATATGTGCATTTTCAAATTTTCTAGATAATAGTAACTAGCTCTCCAAAATTATTGTCTTGAATTTATGCTCCTACCAGCAATGTGTAAGGGTTCAATTACTCTGTCTTCTTAACATTTGAAGTGTCAAACATTGAAGTATTTGTTATATGGTGGATGTACAATGGAATGTCATTCCACTACCAGCAGTGTGGTAGACAAGATATTCTTAGGGCACCTCCTATGAAAATGAAAAGAAATAAGAAAGAGAGAGAGAGGGAAGGAAGGAATAAAGGAAGGAAGGAGGGAAGGAAGGAAGGAGGGAAGGAAGGAAGGAAAGAAGGAAGGAAGGAAGGAGAGAGGGAGTGGAAGGAGGGAGGGAGGAGGGAGGAAGGAAGGAAGGAAGGAAAGAAGGAAGGAAGGAAGGGAAGGAAATCCTAGATCTTGCCTAAACCATTGTTTGTGTTGCTTTGCTGGCTTTGTGAGAAATGGAGGGAAATTTTCAAGAGGGAAAAGTCTTGAGAGACAGAGTTGCCTGGACAGTAAATGCTACCTGCTGTCTTGCAGTCGAGATTGATCCATGGGCCAGTAGCAAAGGGCTGGAATGGGGACCTTGGCCTGAGACCTGATGAGAGGAGATAGGAACAAAGAGGGTTAAAGTGGCCCTAGGTGAGTGGCTCTCTGGCCTGCAGCAAAAGAAAATGCGAATTCTATTTGGAGGAAACCATCCCCAATGTAAGCTCTAGGGTTTCCTCCCAGATTTAGATAAACAAAATATGAACTCACAATTCATTATCACCAAAGAAACAAAGCTAGAAACACAAAAATATGAAGGCAACAAGAGATTGTCAGTAGCAAGACAGATTTTAAAACAAACTAAAGGTTAGAAATTAAAAATATAATTGTTGAAATAAAAACTCAATAAACCAATCTCCCTTATGAATATAGATGTACAAATCCTTAACAAATATTAGCAAATAAAATTTGGCAATATACAAAAAGAATTGTACCTCATGACTAAACAGGGTTCCAGCGATGGAAAGCCGGTTCAATATTTGAACATCAATCAATATAATCTACCATATTAATAGACTAAAGAAAAATACCTATGAGATTATATCAATTGGTGCAAAAAAACAGTATTGGACAAAATTCAACACCTGTTCATGATTAAACAAACAAACAAACGACTCTCAGAAAAATAGGAATAGAGGGGATGAATCTCCACAGAATTATGCTGAGAGGAAAAAAAAGTCAATCCAAAAGGTTACATACTGTATGATTCCATTTATATAACATTCTTAAAATGACAGAATTATAGAAATGGAGAATGGCAAATAGATTAATGGTTGCCAGAAGTGGGTGGGGTGGGAGAAAAGTAGGGGTGGGTAGGGGTGGGTATAAAAGGGCAGCATGAGGGATTCTTGGGTGAGGAAATGTTCCATGAGATTCCATGAGGGTGATGGAAATATTCTGTATCTTGACTGTATCATTGTCAATGTCCTGGTTATGATACTGTTCTGTAGTTTTGCAAGATGTTACCATTGGCAGAAACTGGATAGAGTACGTGGGAATTTTCTATGTTTTTTCTCAAAACTGCATGTGAATCTACAATTCTCTCAAACTAAAAAGTGAACAAAACTACTCCATGGAAGGGTTAAAGAGAAGAGTATATAAAGATGAAGAGAGAATTTATCGAAAATGGAAAGAGAGAGACCAAGGAGATAGAAAATAAGAGTAAGAAAATAAGAGGCCGGGCGCGGTGGCTCTCGCCTGTAATCCCAGCACTTTGGGAGGCCGAGGCGGGCGGATCATGAGGTCAGGAGATCGAGACCATCCTGGCTAACACGGTGAAACCCCGTCTCTACTAAAAATACAAAAACAAAATTAGCTGTGTGTGGTGGCAGGCACCTGTAGTCCCAGCTACTTGGGAGGCTGAGGCAGGAGAATGGCGTGAACCTGGGAAGAGGAGCTTGCAGGGAGCTGAGATCGCGCCAGTGTTTGCCAGCCTGGGCGACACAGTGAGACTCCATCACAAAAAAAAAAAAAAGAATAAGAAAATAAGAAGAGTAGGGTGAGAAGGTTCAACATACCCCAGTCAAAACTTCACGAGGATGAAATACAGAAAATGGAAGAGAGGCGTCTTTGAAGTGATAATGGCTGAGAAATGTCTAGTACTGAGGATAGACTAGGACCCATAGCTATAGGAAACAGGATAAATAAAAAGGAATCAATACCTAAACACACTGCAGTGGAAATGCAGAACATGTAAGACAGAAATATTTTAAAAGACCACAGGAAAAAGATCACCTATAAAGAAGCTAGAATTAGATCTGCAGTCAATTTCTCATAGCAATTATAAAAGTTAGAACACAGTGAAATTATATATACACACACATAATCATGCATGCACACACACATAAAATAGGGATATTGCTTTCTTTTCTTTTTAAAATAGACTATTTTTCAGAAGAGTTTTAGCTTCACAGCAAAATTGAATGGAAAGTACAGAGACTTCTCATATACTCCCTGTCCCCACCAACCTTCCCAGCTGACAATATTCTACACTGGAGTGTTGGACAGAGACTTCTCATATACTCCCTGTCCCCACCAACCTTCCCAGCTGACAATATTCTACACTGGAGTGTTGCATTTATTACAACTAATGAACCTATATTGACACACGGTTATCACTCAAAGTCTATAGTTAACATTAGGGTTCACCTGTGGTGTTGCATGTTCTATGGGTTTTGAAAAATGAATCATGAACTGTATCTACCACTATAGGATCATGCAGAATAATTCTACTGCCCTAAAAATCCTCTGTGATCTGCCTACTCATCCCTTTCTCCCCTCAACCTCTAACAACCACTGATCTTTTTACTATCTTTGTTTGTTTTTTACTGTTTCACTTTTTCCAGAATGTCATATAGTTTGAATCATACAGTATGTATCCGTTTCAAATTGGCTTCTTTCACTTAGTAATACTCATTTAAGTTTCCTCCGTATTTTTTCATGACTTGATTTCTTTTTAGCTCACTTCTTTTTTCTTTTTAGCTCTGAATAATAATCCACGTTTGAATGTACCAGGGTTCGTTTATCCATTCACCTACTGAAGGGCATCTTGGTTGCTTCCAGGTTTTGGCACTCATGAATAATGTTGCTCTGTGCATCCATGTGCAGGTTTTCTGTGCACATAAGTTTTCAGTTCATTTGGATAAATACCAAGAAGCATGATTGCTAGGTTGATGTATTTTTTAAATTGTTTTAAATATTTAATTTACATACCATGTGATTCTCCCAGTTAGAGTGTAGAATTGAGTGTTTTTAATATATTAACTATCACCACAATCAATTTAAGGACATTTTCATCTACCCTAAAAGGCACCCCGTATCCATTACTGTCATTCCCCTATTCTCCCGCTCCTCTCACCCCAATCCCTGGCAACCAGTAGTCTGCTTTCTGTCTCTATAGATTTGCCTGTTCCAAATATTGCATATAAATGGAATCACACAAGGCACAGTCTTTCCTGACTGGCTTGTTTTGCTTAGTATAATGTCTTCAAGGTTCATCCTATTTGTTGCATGTATCAATACTTCATTTCTTTTTATTGCTGAATAACATTTGATTATATGGATATGCTACATCTTATTTATCCACTCATCCATTGATGGACATGTAATATAAAGCTGTCACTTGTTGCCTCAATGACTCCCTGAGTGTTAGCACCCACCCTGCTTAATTTTGTTTTGTTTTGTTTTTTTATTTTACTTTAAGTTCTGGGATACAAGTGCAGAACATGCAGGTTTGTTACATAGGTATATATGTGCCATGGTGGTTTACTGCACCTATCAATCCATCATAGCTTTTAAGCCTCGCATGCATTAGGTATTTGTTCTAATGTTCTCCCTCCCCTTGCCCCTCACCCCCGACAGGCCCCATGTGATATTCCCCTCCCTGTGTCCATGTATTCTCATTGTTCAACTCCCACTTATGAGTGAGAAGATGTCGTGTTTGGTTTTCTGTTCCTGTGTTAGTTTGCTGAGAATGATGGTTTCCAGCTTCATCGATGTCCCTGTAAAGGACATGAACTCATTCTTCTTATGGCTGCATAGTATTCCATAGTGTGTATGTGCCACATTTTCTTTATCCAGTCTATCATTGATGGGCATTTGGGTTGGTTCCAAGTCTTTGCTATTGCAAATAGTGCCACAAAAAAACATACGTGTGCATGTGTCTTTATAGTAGAATGATTTATAGTCCTTTGGGTATACACCCAGTAATGGGATTGCTGGGTCAAATGGTATTTCTTGTTCTAGATCCTTGAGGAATCGCCACACTGTCTCCCACAATGGTTGAACTAATTTACACTCCCACCAACCGCACTGCTTGTTTTGACTTTTACCTAGTTATTGCTCATTTCTGGGTACCCGTCACTAACATGTGTGTTCAAGCAATAAGCCTCCTGATGACTTCCCCCTGCTTCCGCTGTCCCCTAAATATATGACAATTTTTGCTGAAATCCATAGTTAGTGTTTCCATTATTATGCTTCTGAAACTCTACTCCACAATAAGCAGGTGGAGTATTGTGATTGCATTTCCTTTCTGACATAACTTTTTGTGTTTGCCTCATTCTTTTCCATTTGTTTAGTTCTCTCTGAATCTCTGGCCACATCTTTCCCTAAATTCCAGCGGCTCTACAGCTCTATCCAAAGGCCTCTTAGCACGATTATCCCTAGGACCAAAGGCATCCATTCCATTGTTTTTCTCAAAGCATCCATCCTAGAGCCTCTGTCGTCTGTCCTCTTGCTGCAGTCTGAACTGGCCAGTTTCTAACTGTGGTGCACAGTAGCTTCTGAGAAAAGGCACATACGTTTGTTTGCTCAGTTATTAGTTGGCTCATTTTTCATTTTGCAAGTCCTAATACGTCTTTCTGTTTCATAGACATTTCATTGATAGTTTGGCTAGGCATAGAATGAGTTCTTTGGTTAAAAAACATTGTCAGCTTTGGCCAGGCGTGGTGGCTTCATGCCTGTAATCCCAGCACTTTGGGAGGCCGAGGCAGGTGGATCACCTGAGGCCAGGAATTCGAGACCAGCCTGGCCAACATGGTGAAACCCCGTCTCTACCAAAAATACAAAAATTAGCAGGGCGTGGTGGTGGGTGCCTGTAATACCAGCTACCAGGGAGTCTGAGGCAGGAGAATCACTTGAACCCAGGGGCCGTAGGTTGCAGTGAGCCGAGATCGTGCCACTGCAGTCCAGCCTGGGCAAGAGAGCGAAACTCTATCTCAAAAAAACAAAAAACACACATTGTCAGCTGGGTGCAGAGGCATGTACCTGTAATCTCAGCTACTAGGGAGGCTGAAGCAGGAAGATTGAGTCCAGAAGTTTGAGGCCAGCCTGAGCAATATAGGGAGCCCCCATCTCAAAAAACAAAAATAAGTCTGGTCATGGTGGCTCATGCCTATAATCCCAACACTTTAGGAGGCTGAGATGGGAGGATCTCTTGAGCTCAGGAGTTTGAGAACAGCCTGGGCAACACAGTGACACCCCCATCTCTAGAAAAAAAAATTAGCCAGATATGGTGGATCACACCTGGGGTCCCAGCTACTCAGGAAGCTGAGGTGGGAGAATTGCTTTTGCCCAGGAGTTCAAGGCCACAGTAAGCCATGATTATGCTACTGCACTCCAGTCTGGGCAACAGAGCAAGACTCTGTCTCAAAAAAACCAAACCAAAACAAAAAATCCCCCCAAAACAAAAATAAGCATTGGCACTCAGAATTTTGTCAACGTATCTCCATTGCCTTTTATTTTTCAATGTCGCCATTTCTCTTAAAATTAAATACCATCCTATGCTAGCTTAGTGAGTATAGTATCTTATCTCTCTGAGAATATGAATTATAGTTTCTTTGAGATTTTCTTCTGCTCAGCCTCCCATGATTAAAATTCAATTAGAAATTGGAATATACTGTTGCTGTGTAGCCACAGGTCCCCACAGTAGAGGCACTTGAAATGATCTTCAAATTGTAGTGTCCACTATAATCCCTTGAGGAGTTTCTAAAAACTGTACATACACCTTCCCACACCCAGATGTGCTGGTGCAGCAGGTCTGGAACAGGGCTCGAGAATGCCCCTCTCAGCCAGCCCGCAAAGGCATTTCCACCTTAGTGGCTCCCTGGGAAGTAGCCCTGCCTTTGGATGTCTTGGGAATTAAGTCACATTGTCATTCTGCTTCTATCTCAAATTTGCAATTCACATCACCCTCCTGAGCCTCAGTTTTCTGACCCATGGAACAGAGAAAATATCCACCTGCCTTCCTCACCCCACATTATGTGGACTAATTGAGATGACTGAAAAAAAATCTCTGCAAACCACTCAGTCTTCTCAGGTTGTAAGGGAGGACTATGATGATTTGTGCTGTTGTACCAGCTGAGGACTCCACTGGGGTCCTACCATGTGTCCTACCATGTGATGCTACGAGAGGCACTCAGCTTCTCTGATTCTGAAAGGAAAAAAATGGATGTGGTGGTTTTTTACCCTGTCTGCCTATTAGAATCACCTGCCAATACCTGGGCCCACCTCCGGACATCCTGCTCTAAAAGGTCTGGAGTGGAACACAGGCATCAGCTTGTTTGAAGATGCTTCCTGAATGATTCTCACATGCAGCCAAGGCTGAACCATGGGCTAGGTGATCAGGAAGGCCTCTGTCAGCTCTAAAAATATTCCAACTCCTGCGGGGATTGTCAGGCCAGAGGCACAGATGGTAGTACCGGATGGGTTGGGGCTATCACAGCAGTTCTCAGCTTCCCCATTTCTGCTCAGTTCCAGCTGGACCCTCTCCCCAGCCAGCAGGGCCCCCAATTCGCTGTGGCAAGAGCAGCTCAGACTGTAAGAGGTCACAGCTGTGCACCTGGCAGACGGCCCCGACACACTGATCCTTGCAGCCTTCTGAGACATCAGCTGCGGGTGGGCTGGGGGGTCAGCTGTCTGGGGGCCAGCTTAGTGCTGAAGCATTTGCAAGCCTTGGGGAGTGGGGACTTCCAGCTAGGAGGTGCTGCATTTGAAAAAAAAACATCTAAAAAAGTTTTCCGGCTTCATTAAAAAACACATGATAATTATTAAAAATTTCAACAGCGGCCAGGTGCAGTGACTCACACCTGTAATCCCAGCAGTTTGGGAGGCCGGGGCAGGTGGATCACGAGGTCAGGAGATTGAGACCATCCTGGCCAACATGGTGAAACCCCGTTACTACTAAAAATACAAAAATTAGCCAGATGTGGTTGTGCACGCCTGTAGTCGCAGCTACTCAGGAGGCTGAGGGAGGAGAATCACTTGAACCCAGGAGGCGGAGTTGCAGTGAGCTGAGATCACGCCACTGCACTCCAGCATAGGCGACAGAGGGAGACTCCACCTCAAAAAAACACACAAAAAAACAAAAACACAAAGAAAACTTCAACAGCACAGAACAAGGTAAAAAAGGAACAACAAAAATATCACATGGTACACCACCATTTAGCAATAATCTGTTTACACTTGATAATATTTCCAAATGTCCGTGTATGTCATGGCCCTGACAGTTAACTTGTTGAGTGTTTACTCCAGGGCAGGCAAAAGCTAAGACTTGACTTCATGAAATTGCCACGGCACACAGGATGGCGGGGACTCCTATGACTCCCTTCCCACAGGTTGAAGAAATGGGGTGAGGAATCTGCGCAAGGTTACATCTGGAAGGTGCTGGACTTCAAGCCCAAATCTGTCCAGCTCCAATGTTCTAATACTAATTCCTACCAAGTGCTAAAGTAGTGGCAGGTCATATTATAGAAATTGTCATTCAAAAGAGTGAGTTCTGGGTCCTTTTTCACTTAATGTCTCCTGACCTTTCGCCAAAATCATTAAAATGCTTTCGTTTGTTTGTTTCACCAGTGATCAAAGAAAAGCAAATCAGCCAGATGCTGCGGCCCATGCCTGTAATCCCAGCACTTTGGGAGGCTAAGGAGGGAGAATCGCTTGAGCACAGGAGTTAGAGACCAGTCTAGGCAATATAGTGAGACCCCCGTCTCTACAAAAAATAAAACACTAGCCAGGTATGGTGGTGCGTGCCTATAGTCCCAGCTACTTGGGAGGCTGAGGCAGGAGGACTGCTTGAGCCCAGGAGATCAAGGCTGCAGCGAGCTATGATTGCATCACTGAACCCCAGCCTGGGTGACAGAGAAACCTGCTGTCTCAAGAAAAAAAAAAAGGAAAATATCATTTTTTCACATATCACATTGGCAACATTTTAACATAAAACAAGATGCATATGAAGAGTTTTAAATGAATGTTCAAATGCCTTGATTCAGTAATTCCATATCGAGGAACCTATTCTAAGAGACAGAGAGGTAGTGGAAGATTTATTTATAAAAATATTCATTGTGGCATTATTTAGAGCTGTGAAAATTGCTGTGGAAAATAATTTGAATGTATAACACGCAACTTCAGAAAATTATGCCAGCACAAAATATCATATTAGAAAGTATATTTAAGGCCGGGCGTGGTGGCTCACACCTGTCCCCAGCACTTTGGGAGACTGAGGCGGGCAGATCACCTGAGGTCAGGAGTTCAAGACCAGTCTGGCCAACATGGTGAAACCCTGTCTCTACAAAAAATACAAAAATTAGCCAGGTGTGGTGGCAGGCGCCTGTATTCCCAGCTACATGGGAGGCTGAGGCAGGAGAATCACTTGAACCTTGGAGGCGGATGTTGCCGTGAGCTGAGATCGTGCCATTGCACTCCAGCCTGGGTGACAAGAGCAAAACTCCATCTCAAAAAAAATATATATATATATATAGATATATATATATTTAATAGCACACAAAAATATTCCCAGGATATGTAAGGTGGAAAAAGTAGAATATGGTTCTGATTTGGTGACATTTGTAAAATAAATCCATATAAATTAAACAACATTTCAACATTTCAGTCTTCTTATTACCTAATAATGTGAAAAGGAAAGGGAAGCTTAGGGTATGCTTAGGATAGGTTGCATTCAAATATAGGTTTGTGGCATACTCACAATTCCCTTTGTAGTTGTGGCGGCCTGCCCAGAAATAGGCAGCTAAACAGGTTTCAGAAGAGATCTCCCTAAGGGCCAGAAGGGATCTGCCTCCCAAAGTGTTAAGATCCTGAGTCAGGGCAAAACAAAACAAACAAACAAAAAACGCACAAAACAAAAAAGGGTTTCAGACATGGGACCCAAAGCCACAGTGCCAAGTCCATAGGATCCAAATTACAGGTAACAATGTGCAAGCAAGTTGCTTCTCCTACCAGTAACCATGAGGCACAGCTCCCTGGTGTGTCGCAGAAGGCTGTGTTTACTTAACGATTGCTATGGCTTGAATGTGTCCCCCAAAAAGTATGTGTTGGAAATGTAATCCCCAGTGCAGCAGTATTGGGAGACGGGGCCCAATGGGAGCAGTTTAGATCATGAGGGCTCCACCCTTATGAATAGATTCATGCCAATTTTAAAAGAGCTTGAGACTGCAAATTCAATCTCTTGCCTTCTCTCACCATGCAATACCTTCAGTCATGTTATGACGCAGCAAGAAACCCTCGCCAGATGCATTCCTCAATCTTGGACTTCCCAGCCTCCAGAACCATGAACCAAATAAATTTCTGTTTGTTACAAATTAGCCAGTGTGTGGTATTCTGCTATCGCAGCACAAAACAGACTAAGACAACAATGGTTAGTGACATTCTGAGCAAGGCTGGGAGGCCACAGTTTGCAAATATGAATAGGAACAGCCTAGAAGGACAGTCCGGTATTACCAACACTTATCTCTGAGTGGTGGGATTAACCAATTATTTTTCACTTTTTACATTTCTGTGTTTTCTAAATTTTTTTGTCCTAAATACATGTGACTTTTTGAAAATTCTTATTAAGAAAAATGTCAAACATACCAAAAGTAAAGAGACTAAAAAAAATTAATCTTCCTCTGTCCATCACTAAGCTTTGGCTATTCTCAACATTCTGTCAAACCTGTTTTATCTCTCCACACTCCAATTTTGTTTTTTCTTCAGTATTTTGTTTTATTTTATTGGGACAGGGTCTCACTCTGCCACCCAGGCCAGAGTGCAGTGACACAACCATGGCTCACTGCAGCCTCGACCTCTCTGGCTCAAGCAATCCTCCCACCTCAGCCTCCCAAGTAGTTGGGACTACAGGCACATGTCACCATGCCCGGTTAATTATTTATTTATTTTTAGAGATAGGGTCTCACTATGTTGCCCAGTTTGGTCTTGAACTCCTGGCTTCAAGTGATCCTCCCTTGCCTCAGCCTCCCAAAGCTGTGGGATTATAGGCATGAGCCACTGTGCCTGGACTTTTCTTGAGTATTTAAAAACAAATCCTAATTTTTCCATGTTAGGCCAGTGAAGCCCCCTCAAGTTGTCTCATATGTCCTTTTCAAATGACTTCATTAGTCTTTGACAGTTTCTGTGCTTCCTGGCACAACAAAATATTCCTGCTAGTGGTAGATTTTTAAAAATGGTTACAAATCCCTCTCTTTCCTGTATGCAGGCTTCTTTGCAATATGACTTTGCAACTTAGAGTTGAATGGACTCTAGAACAATATGCAGCATGAGAAATGGGAGGATTTTGCTCCCCCAAAGTGCAATAAGGCCCTCTGTGTTTTTGTTTTTTGTTTTGTTTTGTTTTGTTTTTTAAGAAAGAAGGCAAAAGTTTATTTATAAACCATTTACCTGAGATAATCTCCATTCTTTTTCTTTTTTTTATTATTATTATACTTTAAGTTTTAGGGTACATGTGCACAATGTGCAGGTTAGTTACATATGTATACATGTGCCATGGTGGTGTGCTGCACCCATTAACTCGTCATTTAGCATTAGGTATATCTCCTAATGCTATCGCTCCCCCTTCCCCCCACCCCACAACAGTCCCCAGAGTGTGATGTTCCCCTTCCTGTGTCCATGTGTTCTCATTGTTCAATTCCCATCTATGAGTGAGAACATGCGGTGTTTGGTTTTTTGTCCTTGCGATAGTTTACTGAGAATGATGATTTCCAATTTCATCCATGTCCCTACAAAGGACATGAACTCATCATTTTTTATGGCTGCATAGTATTCCATGGTGTGTATGTGCCACATTTTCTTAATCCAGTCTATCATTGTTGGACATTTGGGTTGGTTCCAAGTCTTTGCTATTGTGAATAGTGCCGCAATAAACATACGTGTTCATGTTGTCTTTATAGCAGCATGATTTATGGTCCTTTGGGTATATATCCAGTAATGGGATGGCTGGGTCAAATGGTATTTCTAGTTCTAGATCCCTGAGGAATCGCCGCACTGACTTCCACAATGGTTGAACCAGTTTACCGTCCCACCAACAGTGTAAAAGTGTTCCTATTTCTCCACATCCTCTCCAGCACCTGTTGTTTCCTGACTTTTTAATGATTGCCATTCTAACTGGTGTGAGATGGTATCTCATTGTGGTTTTAATTTGCATTTCTCTGATGAATAAGGCCCTCTGTTAATGACATGTTACCTAATGTCAAAGAGGTTTTATGTAATACAGTAAAATTAACATCTTTATCCAGCCTCTCCCACCAAGACATATGGTTTATTTCTCCTACCTTTGAATCTGGACTTGGCCATGTACCTTGCTTTGGTCAGTGGAACGTTGTTGATAGTGCAGAGTAGCGCTGAGTTCATTTGGCTGAGGCCATTCTCAGTTTCGACACAAGATGGGGAGGCTGCTAATAGAGGACGAGCTCTGTATTGTGTGGAGGAGGATGGTAAGCTGGTGGCGTAAGCCCCAATCTGTATTAGTTATCTGTTGCTGCATAACAAATCACTCCAAAATTTACAACCAACAATTTATCTCATATTATGGTTTCTGTGGGACAGGAATTTGGTAGTTTAGGTGGGCAACTCTAGCTCAGGCTCTTGTAGGGTTGCAATCAGGATGTCATCTGGGGATTCAGTCACCTGAAGGCTTGACAGGGTCTGGTGGGGGTCTACCTCCAAGATGGCTCCCTTACTTTATTATTATTATTTTTTATTTTTTTAGTATTTATTGATCATTCTTGGGTGTTTCTCGGAGAGGGGGATTTGGCAGGGTCATAGGACAATAGTGGAGGGAAGGTCAGCAGATAAACATGTGAACAAAGGACCTTACTTTATTATTGGCAGAAGGTTTCAGTTCCTTGCCATGTGGGACTCTTCCTAGGGCTGCTTAAGTGTCCTGACATCTTGGTTTCTGGTTTTCCCCCAGGAGAGTGATCCAAGAGAGAGCGCATGGAGAAAGCCACAGTGCTTTCCTTTTCTTAGAGACAGGATATTGCTCTGTTGCAAAGACTGGAATGCAGTGGTGCAATCATTACTCACTGTAACCTCTAACTTCTGGGTTCCAGCCATCCTCCTGCCTCAGCCTCCCACCTCACTGGAACTACAGGCACGTGCCACCATGCCTGGCTAATTTTTAAAGTTTTTTGTACAGACAGGGTCTTGCTATATTTCCCAGGCTAGTCTCAAACTCCTGTCCAAAAGCGACCCTCCCGCCTTGGCCTCCCCAAGTGCTAGGATTACAGGTGTGAGCCCCTTGCACAGCTGCACATGCTCTGTATGTCCTGATCTTGAATATCACACACTGTCACTTCTGCCACATGCCATTCACTAAGCAAATCACTAGGGATAGCTCATGCTTGAGGGGATGAGGGAGTGGAAATGGGCTCCACTTTTTTTTTTTTTTTTTTTTTTTTGAGATGGAGTCTGGTTCTGTCACCTAGGCTGGAGTGCAGTGTCCTGATCTCAGCTTATTGCAACTTCCACCTCCCAAGTTCAAGTGATTCTCCTGCCTCAGCCTCCCTAGTAGTTGGGATTACAGGTGTGTGCCACCACGCCTGGCTAATTTTTTTGCATTTTTAGTAGAGACGGGGTTTCACCATGTTGGCCAGGCTGGTCTCGAACTCCTGGCCTCAGGTGATCCACCCGCCTCGGCCTCCCAAAGTGCTGGGATTACAGGCATGAGCCAGCTCCACCTTTTTTGTGGACATATTTTAGAACACCACACTCTCTTACTCAAATTTCCTTTCCCAGCTTCCTTACACACTGCCATTTTACTCACAAGGCAAACACGCCTTATCAGTTTAGTAGAAAATAAGAGGTAAAGTTTCATGCTAAAGATGGAATTTTTAGTGCTACAATGACAAGGACATCCATCCTTGTCATTTTGCAGTTACTGTAAACATTGCAAAATGTGAATTGCATATATTAGAAGTGATGCATACTGTGACACATTCATCATTTTTTCAATTTTCTCAGGTAGATATTTACCATACTCTTCCAGTTATATCCTCTTAGAACTAGCGTTTGTGTCTTACCAACATGTTTGATAGTCCAATATGCTGATTTTTGAAGATAGATGTAGTATAAAAAAGAAAAGGGGGATTCAAAGCCTAGGTTTACAGAAACTTCCCTTTTTTCCTTTTTCTTCTTTTTTTTTTTTTTTCCTTTCTTTTTTGTGATGGAGTCTCAATCCATCACCCAGGCTGGAGTGCAGTGGCATGATCTCGGTTCACTGCAACCTCCACACCCCAGGTTCAAGTGATTGTCCTGCCTCAGCCTCCCAAGTAGCCAGGATTATAGGCGTCTGCCACCACTCCTGGCTAATTTTTGTATTTTTAGTAGAGACGGGGTTCTACCACGTTGGCCAGGCTGGTCTCGATCTCCTGACCTCAGGTGACCCACCCACCTCAGCCTCCCAAAGTGCTGAGATTATAAGCATGAGCCACTACACTGGCATTTTTTTTTTTTTTTTAAGAGACAAGGTCTTGCTATGTTGCCCCCAGGCTGGTCTGTGGTCTGGAACTCCCAAGCTTAAGGTGTCTCGGCTTCCCAAGTAGCTGAGATTACAGGCACTCATCCCTGCACCTGGCTACGACACTTCTCAAATTAGCGATGAGAAATTTCAGTTTTCTGAGTCATTTCAATGCACTAGAGGACAATGGACACAAAAAAGTTCATCTACATAATTAAAGATATTTGTAAATGGGCTTTACATGGGCTTTGAGTTTTCTGTTCATTTGTGTGTCATCTGTGGTGAGCAACTTACACATTCAGCAACGGCTCCCACAAAAGTGAAAAGACACTCGACTACAAATCATAGTCATTTGACAAGTAAACGGGCTGATTATTGTAAGTAGTTACTGGAATCTTCAAACAGACTAAAGTTTTTAAAAGTCACAAGCAGAAAAAAGGCTCAGGAAAAAAATTATTTAGTAGCAGAATTATTGCCTAGGATAGGAAAAGTCATACAGTTAATGAGACACTAACAATGCCAGATGGAAACTTAGAGTTGAGCAGACTCTAGAACAATATGCAGCATGAGAAATGGGAGGATTTTGCTCCCCCAAGTGCAACAAGGCCCCCTGTTAATGACATTGTTACCTAATGCCAAAGAGGTTTTATGTAATACAGTAAAATTAACAACATCTTTATCCAGACTGAGTCAAGAGATGTCACCAATAAATATAATACCTTAACATTTGTAATATTTGTAAATTGCAATAAAATTCAAGATCACTTTTCCTCTGTAAAGAGGTGCCGCAAAATCCATCAAGAAAATGTAGCAATTACACACATATATGCAGCTAACAACAGAAATGCAAAATATGTGAAGCCAAAAAATGAAAGAATTGAAGAGAGAAATAGACAATTTGACAATAATAGTTGAAGACTTATATGCTTCATTTTCAATAATGGGTAGAACAACTAGACAGAAGGTCGACAAGGAAATAGAAGACTTGAACAGCGCTAGAAACAAACTAGACTTAACAGACATCTACAGAACACTTCACCCAGCAAAAGTGGAATCAAAATTTTTAAGTGCACATGGAACACTCTAAAGATAGATCATATGACAGGTCATAAAACAAACCTCAATAAATTTAAAAGGACAGAAATAATACAAATTATGTTCTCCAATTACAATTAAATGGAAATAGAAATCAATGGAGAGAAATTCGGTATATCCACAAATAGGTGGAATTTTTTTTTAATTACTGACTTGAAGCTCATATAGGTGGAAATTAAACAACACACTTCCAAATAACGATTTAGTCAAGAAAGAATTTTTTTTTTTTTTTTTTTTTGAGACAGAGTCTCGCTCTGTCATCCAGGCTGGAGTGCAATGGCGTGATCTTGGCTCACTGCAACCTCCGCCTCTCAGGTTCAAGCAATTCTCCTGTCTCAGCCTCCGAAGTAGCTGGGACTACAGGTGCCCACTACCACGCCTGGCTAATTTTTGTATTTTCAGTAGAGATGGGTTTTCACCATATTGGTCAGGCTGGTCTCAAACTTTTGACCTCAGGTGATCCACCTGCCTCGGCCTCCCAAAGTGCTGGGATTACAGGCATGAGCCACTGCGCCTGGCTAAGAAAGAAATTTTTAAGGCTGGGCGCAGTGGCTCACACCTGTAATCCCAGCACTTTGGGAGGCCAAGGCAGGTGGATCATGAGGTCAGGAGTTCGAGACCACTCTGGCCAACATAGTGAAACTCTGTCTCTACTAAAAATAAAAAAAATTAGGCCGGCATGGTGATGTGCACCTGTAATCCCAGCTACTCAGGAGACTGAGGCAGGAGAATCACTTGCACCCAGGAGGCAGAGGTTGCAGTGAGCCAAGATCGCGCCACAGCACTCCAGCCTGGGTAACAGAACGAGACTCCGTCTCAAAAAAAAAAGAAATTTTTAAAAATCAGAAAATACTTTGAGGCAAATGAAAATGAAGACACACATACCAAAAGTTATGGGATGCAGCAATAGCAGTGCTTACAGGGAAATTTATAGCTGTAAATATCTACATAAAAGAAGAAGAAAGGTCTCAAATAAATAATTAAATCTTCTACATTAAAGAACTAGAAAGGGGTCAGGCATGATGGCTCATGCCAGTAATCCCAGCGCTTTGGGAGGCTAAGGCAGGAGGATTGCTTGAGCCCAGGAGTTCGAAAGCAGTCTGGGCAACGTGGCAAAACTCCATCTCTACAAAAAATACAAAAATTAGCTGAGTGAGATGGCACGCACCTGTAGTCCCAGCTACTCAGGAGACTGAGGTGAGAGGATCACCTGAGCCCAGGGAGGTTGAGGCTGCAGTGAGCCATGATTGCACTACTGCACTCTAGCCTGGGAGACAGAGTGAGACCCTGTCTCAAAAGAAAAAGAAAAGTAAATTAGAAAGAGAAGAGCAAACTAAATCCAAAGCAAATGGAAAAAAGAAATTAACAAAGATTAGAACGGAGATACATGTAATAGAGAATAGAGAAACAACAGAGAAAATCAACAAAATCAAAAGTTGGTTTTTTGAAAAGATCAATGAAATTGACAATATTTAGCTAGACTAACCAAGAAAAAAAAAAAAGAGAAGACTCAAGCTACTGAAATCAGTAAAGAGGAAATTTACTACCAACCTTACGTAAATAAAAAGGATTATAAGAGGCCAGGTGCGGTGGCTCACACCTGTAATCCCAGCACTTTGGGAGGCTGAGGTGGGCTGATCACGAGGTCGAGAGATCGAGATCATCCTGGCCAACATGGTGAAACCCCGTCTCTACTAAAAATACAAAAATTAGCTGGGCGTGGTGGCACGTGCCTGTAGTCCCAGCTACTCAGGAGGCTGAGGCAGGAGAATCTCTTGAACCTGGGAGGTGGAGGTTGCAGTGAGCCAAAATCATGCCACTGCACTCCAGCCTGGCGAAAGAGCAAGACTCTGTCTCAAAAAAAAAAAAAAAAAAAAAAAGGATTGTAAGAGACTACTGACCAGGCTCACACCTGTAATCCTAATGAATTGCTTGAGACCAGGAGTTTGAGACCAGCCTGGGCTACATAGAGAGACTCCATCTTTTTTTTAAAAAGTTCTTCTCACGCCTGTAATCCCAGCACTTTGGGAGGCCGAGGCGGGCGGATCACGAGGTCAGGAGATCGAGACCATCCTGGCTAACACGGTGAAACCCCGTCTCTACTAAAAATACAAAAAATTAGCCGGGCGTGGTGGCGGGCGCCTGTAGTCCCAGCTACTCGGGAGGCTGAGGCAGGAGAATGGCGTGAACCCGGGAGGCGGAGCTTGCAGTGAGCCGAGATCGCGCCACTGCACTCCAGCCTGGGCGACAGAGCGAGACTCCGTCTCAAAAAAAAAAAAAAAAAAAAAAAAAAAAAAAAAAAGTTCTTTAACTAGCTGGGCATAGTAGGATGCCCATAATCCTAGCTATTTGGGAGACTGAAGTGGGAGGATTTCTTGAGCCCAGGAGTTCAAGATCACAGTGAGCTATGATCATGCCACTGCACTCCAGCTTCGGTGAGAGAGTGAGACCTTGTCTCTAAAAAAAAAAAAAGAAAGAAAGTAAAGAGAGAAAAGAAAAGGAAAGGAAAGAAAGAAAAAAGTATGTCAACAAACTGGATAACTTAGATGAACAAATTCTTAGATAGACAAAAACTACAAAAATTACCTCGAAAGGAATAGAAAATCTGAATATATTTATAACAAGCAAAGAAACTGAGTCATTAATCTAAAAACATTCAACAAAGAAAAGCTACCAGATGGTTTCACTGATGAATCCCACCAAATGTTTGAAGAACTAACACCGACCCTTCTCAAACTCTTCCAAAAAATAGAAGAGGATGGAATACTTCCTAACCCATTCTATGAGGCCAGTAGTACCCTGATACCAAAGCCAGACAAAGACATCACAAGAAAACTATAAACCAATATCCCTATGCATATAGACACAAAGATCCACAACAAAACACTAGCAAACAAAAGTTTGCAACGTATAAAAAGTTTTATACACCATGACCAGGTGAGATTTATCTCAAGGATGGAAGGTAGGTTCAATATATGAAAATCGATTAATATACTACATCATATCAATAAAATAAAGGACAAAAACTATGCGATCATCTCAATACAATTAGGAAAAGCACTGGACAAAATCTAACACCCTTTCGTGACAAAACATACTTAATAAATTAGAAATGGAAGGGAATTCTCAACCTGATAAGGGGCATCTCTGAAAAACCCATAGTTAATAGCATAATTAACGGTGAAAGACTAGATGCTTTCCCCCTAAGGTCAGGAGCAAGACAAGGATGTTCACCAATTGTAGTCAGCATAGTACTGGAGGATCCAACCAGGGCAATTAGGCTACAATATGTAATAAAAGCCATCAGGATGAAAAGGTAGAAGTAAAGCTATCTTGATTTGCAAATCTTATATATAGAAAATCGTAAGGAATCTAGTAAAAAAATTATTAGAACTTGCCCAGGAGCGGTGGCTCATGCCTGTAATCCCAGCACTTTGGGAGGCCGAGGCTGGTGGATCATGAGGTCAGGCGGTCGAGACCATGGTGAAACCCCGTCTCTGCTAAAAATACCAAAAGAAAAAATAATTAGCCGGGCGCGGTGGCAGGTGCCTGTAGTCCCAGCTACTCAGGAGGCTGAGGCAGGAGAATGGCGTGAACCGGAGAGGCGGAGCTTGCAGTGAGCCGAGATAGCACCACCGCACTCCAGCCTGGGCAATGGAGCGAGACTCCGTCTTAAAAAACAAACAAACAAACAAAAAATTATTAGAACTAATGCATTCAGCAAGATCACAAGATGTAAGATCAATATACAAAAATTAATTATATTTCTACACATTTGTGAAGAACAATCTGAAAATGAAATTAGGAAAACCATTTCATCTATGATATCATCAAAAAGAATAAAATCCTGGGAATATAGTTAACTAAAGAAGCATAAAATTTATACTCTGGAAACTATGAAAATATTCATGAAAGAAATGAACAAATCCTAAATAAAAAGAAAAGTATTACACGTTCATGGATTAAAAGACAATTTTTTTTCTCTTGGTGGTCATATTTATTGAAAGAGCTTGAGAGAAATGAAAATACCATTTAGCTTAGTTATGAGTCATCTGCAAATCAACTCATTTCAGGAGTGGAAGAATCCCCAGAATTATTTCTTTTTTTATTTCATTTTTCTTTTTTTTTTTGAGATGGAGTCTCACTCTGTCGCCCAGGCTGGAGTGCAGTGGCACAATCTCGGCTCACTGCAAGCTCCGCCTCCCGGGTTTACGCCATTCTCCCGCCTCAGCCTCCCGAGTAGCTGGGACTACAGGCGCCCGCCACCGCGCCCGGCTAATTTTTTGTATTTTTAGTAGAGACGGGGTTTCACCATGTTAGCCAGGATGGTGTCGATATCCTGACCTTGTGATCCGCCCGCCTCGGCCTCCCAAAGTGCTGGGATTACAGGCGTGAGCCACCACGCCCGGCCTCAGAATTATTTCTTAATATCAAAATGTATGCAGGATTCTCTTTTGAATGTCTTGTACATTTAGAGAGGCCACTGTGCAAAGTCTCCTATTTTCCATACAGGACAAATTCTTTGTTTCAGCCAACTCTCAGTGGAGGGGCAACCAGGACAACGACATCTCCCTGGACAAAAAGCATTGGAATATTCCATTTCATTGGTTTATATATCTCTTCATATGTTTCTTCATCAATTTCTATAGTAGTCACAGTTTCTTCCATGTCTCCCAAGATCATATTTAAATGTTGATCATAAGCATGGTAATCTGCCTCGAAGCTCTCGGTCATTTCTCATTTTCACATAAATTCTCTCACCTAGGCTGAGCCTGATAAAATCCAGGGGCTCCTCTACAGTGTTGGTAGTTTGTTGCTGGTCTACTTCGTCCGCCATGTTTCCAGAAGACGTAAATATTTTAAAATTTATTTATTTATTTATTGAGATGGTGTTTCACTCTTGTCACCCAGGCTGGAGTGCAATGGCACAATCTCAGCTCACTCCAACCTCTCCCTCCTGGATTCAAGCCATTCTCCTGCCTCAGCCTCCAGAGTAGCTGGGATTACAAGCACCCAGAACCACACCCGCCAATTTTTGTATTTTCAGTAGAGATGAGGTTTCACCATGTTGCCCAGGCTTGTCTTGAACTCCTGACCTCAAGTAATCCACCCACCTTGGCCTCCCAAAGTGCTGGGATTACAGTCATGAGCCACCACATCCAGCCTATTTATTTATTTTTACCATAAGGCTTTTTTGTGAATACTTAATATTGTTAAGATGGCAATACTCTCCAAATTGATTTACAGATTACATCAATTCTTATCAAAATCTCAGCTGACTTCTTTGAAGAAATTGACAGGCTGATTCTCAAGTTTATTTGGAATTGAAAGGAACTCCAAATAGCCAAAATAATCTTGAAAAGGAAGAACAAAGTTAGAGGACTCACATTTCCTTATTTCAAAACTTAATACAAAGCAGCAACAATCAAGATAATGTGGTACTAGCATAAGGACAGATATATTGATCAACGGAATAGAATTGAGAGTCCAAGAATAAAACCATGTGTCTACAGTCAACTAATTTTTGACAAAGATGTCAAGATCATTCAATGGGAAAAAAATTGTCTTTTCAACAAATGATGCTGAGACAACTGGTAGCCATATGCAAAAGAATGAAGTTGGCTTCTTACCATATAAAAAAATTAATTCAAAACGAATATAAGACCTAAGTGTAAGAGTTAAACTATAAAAGTCTTGGAAGAAAACATGAAAGTATTGGAAGAAAAATATTGATTACCTTATATTTGGCAATGGATATTTAGATATGATACCAGTAGCGCAAGTAACCAAGGAAAAAAGAGATAAATTGGTCTTGATCAGTATTAGAAACCTTTGTGCTTCAAAGGACACTATCAAGAAAGTGATAAGACAACCCACAGAATGGGAGAAAATTTTATAAATCACATCGCTAATAAGGGATTTATAGCTAAACACATAAAAGACATAAACAACACAACTCACACTCAATAAAATACAGATAATTAAATTTTAACATGGGAAAACCACAACTAGGTGAACGGACTTAGCGCTATTGAACTGTATATGTAAAAGGACTAAGATGGTAAATTTTATGTTATGTATATTTTACCAGAATTTTTTTAAAGTTTTTTTAGGCCAGATGGGATGGCTCACGCCCATAATCCCGGCATTTTCGGAGGCCAAGATGGGAACCCAGGAATTTGAGACCAGCCTGGGGAAAATAGCAGGACTCCATCTCTACGAAAAATTTGAAAATTAGCCCGGCATGGTGGTACATGCCTGTAGTCCTAGCTATTCAGGAGGCTGAGGCAGGAGGACTGCTTGAGCCCAGGAGTTCGAGGCTGCAGTGAGCTACAATTGCACCACTGCACCCCAGCCTGGGTGACACAGCAAGACCTCATCTCTGGAAAAAAAAATTTTTTTAATGGGCAAATGTTCAAAACAGACATTTCTCCAAAGAAGAAACAGAAATGGTCAATGAGCACATGAAAAGATACTCAACATTATTAGTTGTCAGGGAAATCCAAATCAAAACCACAGTGAGATACCACTTCACACCCACTAGTATGGTTATAATGAAAAAGATAGTAACAAGTGTTACTGAGGATGTGGAGAAATCAGAACCCTCATATACTGCTGGTGGTAACGCAAAATGGTACAGCTGCTTTGGAAAACAGTTTAGCACTTCCTCAAATGATTAATTATAAAGTTAACATATGATCTAGCAAATCTACTCCTAGGTGTACCCCTGGAAGAATTTAAAACATATGTCTACATAAAAACTTTTACACAAATGTTTATAGCTTCCGTATTTATAATAGCCAAAAAGTAGAAACAACTCAAATGTCTGTCAACTCACAAATCTGTAAAGAAAATGTAGAATGATATATCCAATCAATGAACTGTTTTTTGGCCATAAGAAGGAATGAAGTAATGGCACAGGCTACAACGTGAATGAACCTGAAAACGTTATGATATTTCTCATAATGATACTGTAATCATTTTATATGATTCTATTTAAGAGATTAGTGGTTTTCCTGGGCTGGGATGCATGGGGGAGAGAGGGGGTCACAGCTGAAGGGTATAGGGTTCATTTTTGAGGTGATGAAAATGTTCTAAAATAGACTCTGGTGGGCCAGGCACGGTGGCTCACGCCTGCAATCCCAGCACTTTGGGAGGCCGAGGCAGATGGATCATGAGGCCAAGGGTTCGAGACCATCCTGGCCAACATGGTGAAACCCCGTCTCTACTAAAAATACAAAAATTAGCCAGGTGTGGTGGCATGCGCCTGTAGTCCCAGCTACTCGGGAGGCTGAGGCAGGAGAATTGCTTGAACCCAGGAGGTGGAGGTTGCAGTGAGCCAAGATCGAGCCACTGCACTCCAGCCTGGTGGCAGAGCCAGACTCTGTCTGGAAAAAAAAAAAAAAAATTGACTCTGGTGATGGTTGCACATTTCTGCGAATATACTAAAAACCACTGAACTTTATACTTTCAAGCAGTGGATTGTACGGTATGTGAATTATATCCTGATAAAGCTGTTTAAAATTTTTATGAAAAGGAAAGAAATAGATTAATTTCAATAAAGGTTAAACTAAGCTTAATATTTTTCAAGAAAGTTTGGTTAAAAAGTCATTTTTAGTTTTTAGTGGGGATGAAACATGCACTATATATCACAGTTGATCAACATCTTGTGTAGTAGAAATTTGTAATAAGGCTTTGGATTTTTTTGGATAAAGTAAAATAAGGAAGACATTTTTAAAATGAAAAGGTTTCTTTACCTATACTATTGATTTGCATGGGAGTTGACATCCTTTGTGGATTGGAGGGACCACACAAAAAGTGTGTGCTAATAAGTTCAGCAAAATGCACAACTCACAGGGGAAAAAAAAAAAATTCTCGACCAGGTGCGGTGGCTCACGTCTGTAATCCTAGCATTTTGGGAGGCCAAGGTGAGTGGATCACCTGAGGTCGGGAGTTCAAGACCAGCCTGACCAACAAGGAGAAATGCCGTCTCTGCTAAAAATACAAAATTAGCTGGGCGTGGTGGCGCATGCCTGTAATCCCAGCTACTTGGGAGGCTGAGGCAGGAGAATCACTTGAACCAGGGAGGTGGAGGTTGCGGTGAGCCAAGATTGTGCCACTGCACTCCAGCTTGGGAGACAGAGCGAAACTCCATCTCAAAAAAAAAAAAAGAAAAAGAAAAGAAAAAAATTCTCTTCTCAAAATGGCATTACTGATTTATTATTGAATGATTATATCTACATCTTAATAATCACACTAATATACCATGAGCTGTAGGTATAATTTTTATGCAGGGGTTCTCTGAGACCTAAAAATCATTTCAAGAGTTGTTCTAAGCAGTACGGTGGCTCACGCTTGTAATCCCAGCACTTTGGGAGGCCGAAGTGGGAGGATCACTTGAGCCCAAGCGTTTGAGACCAGCCTATGCAGTTTAGTGAGACCTCATCTCTACAAAAAATACAAAAATTAGCTGGGCATGGTGGTGCATGCCTGCAGTCCCATCTACTCAGGAGGCTGAGGTGGGAGGATTTCTGAAGTCCAGGAGGTCCAGGCTGCAGTGAGTTCAACTGCAGTGCCACACTGAACTCCAGCCTGGGTGGCAGAGTGAGTCCCCGTCTAAGCAAAAAAAAAAAAAAGGAGTTCCCCTGGAGTGAAAAGATTGGGAAAGACTGCTCTATAGGCAACCGTTTCTGCTTTCATTATTTATGAAAATATAATTTTAATATATAATTTATATATTCATATTTCCACACTTTTCTTACCCAAAGAATGGCACACTATGCACTGTTCTGCCCCTTGCTTTTTTCCATTTAGCCATATTTTCTGGAATCCATGGAGGTAGATAGGGGTTCTTCTCATTGCTTTTTACATCTGTATAGGACTCCACTGTATAGCTGCGACATTCAACCAGTCCCCAAACACCATTTTTGTTATTTCCAGTCTTTTATTGACACAAATAGTGCTGCAATGAATTGTCTTGTTTGTATGCCATTTACTGGTTTTGCTAGTGCGTCTTGGGATAGATTCCTAGAAGTAGGATTGCTAAATCAAAGTGTAAATGCATATTCTGTTTCATTAGACATTGCCAAGTTGCCTTCCACAAAGATTATATCATCCTGCATTCCATAAGCAATGTATAACAGAGCCTGACTCCCTATATCTCAACATCAGAGTATGTTGTCAAACTTTTGGAGTTTTGCCAATCTGATAGGGGAGAAATATCTCAGGATGATTTTACTTTGCACTTCTGGCCAGGCGCAGTGGCTGGTGCCTGTAATCCCGGCACTTTGGGAGGCCGAAGCAGGCGGATCACTTGAGGTCGGGAGTTGGAGACCAGCCTGGCCAACATGGTGAAACCCGGTCTCTACTAAAAATACAAAAATAAAATAAAATAAAATAAAATAAAATAAAATAAAATAAAATTAGCCAGGCATGGTGGCACGCGCCTGTAATCCCAGCTACTTGGGAGGCTGAGGCAGGAGAATCACTTGAACCCGGGAGGCGGAGGTTGCAGTGAGCTGAGATCATGCCACTTCTCTCCAGCCTGGGTGACAGAGCCAGACTCTCTCTCAAAAAAAAAATAAAAAACTGCACTTTCCTCATCATGTAAAAGGCTGACCATCTTTGCTATTTGCCTTTCTTTTAGAGACAGGATCTCTACCGTCACCTAGGCTGGAGTGCAGTGGAGTGATTATAGCTCACTGCAACCTGGACCTTCTGGGCTCAAGCAATCCTCCAATCTCAGCCTCCCGAGTAGCTGGGACTACAGGCATGTGCCACTGCATCTGGCTAATGTTTTTATTTTTATTTTTTGTAGAGAGTGGGTCTCACTATGTTGCCCAGGCTGATCTTGAACTCCTGGCCTCAAGCTATCCTCCCATCTCAGCCCTCTCAAAGGACTGAGATTACATGAATGAGCCACTGATCCCGGCCTCTTTTTTTCACTCTCTATGTTCATATATTTTGCCCTTTCTCCTTCCTCATGATTCTAAAAATCATGAACTCTTTGTATGTTAGGAGTATTAGTGTGTTATGACTTGTCAATACCTTTTGACAGTTTGTTAATTTCTTTTAAATATTTTAGGTCTTCCTCTCTCTCTCTCCCTTCTTCTCTCATGTTTGCAAATAATATTTACATTTATATAGTAACAGTTATCAGTCTTTTCTCTATAGCTTCTGCTTTTAAAGTTATAAATGTTTTCCCACTCCCAGTTTAAAAAGACACATTCAGTTTTTCTTCTAGTATTTGTGTTTTCATTTTTCATATTTAGATCTCTTACCCATTTGCCATTTATTCTGGTATATGAGAAGAATGAAGCTGATGTTATATTTTTCCATATAGGTACACGGTTGCAGTTGTCTCAATACCGTTTATTTAAAAGTTTGGCTCGCCGGGCGCGGTGGCTCACGCCTGTAATCCCAGCACTTTGGGAGGCCGAGGCGGGTGGATTATGAGGTCAGGAGATCGAGACCATCCTGGCTAACAAGGTGAAACCCCGTCTCTACTAAAAATACAAAAAATTAGCCGGGCGCGGTGGCGGGCGCCTGTAGTCCCAGCTACTCGGGAGGCTGAGGCAGGAGAATGGCGTGAACCCGGGAAGCGGAGCTTGCAGTGAGCCGAGATTGCGCCACTGCAGTCCGCAGTCCGGCCTGGGCGACAGAACGAGACTCCGTCTCAAAAAAAAAAAAAAAAAAAAAAGTTTGGCTCTTCCCCACTGCTTCGAGATGCATCCTTTCATTGATCTGTCTATTCATATATCAACACTATACTCTTTTAATTACAGAAACTTTATAACATTTTAACGTCGTGGAGGGCTAGCCTCCCTATGTATCTCTTTCTTAAAGAATTATTACTTGTTTATTCTTTTTTTTTTTTTTTTTTTTTTTTGGACACAGGGTCTTGCTTTGTCACCCAGGCTGGAGTACAGCGGCATGATCTTGACTCACCGCAACCACTGCCTCCCAGGTTCAAACGGTCCTCCCACTTCAGCCTCCCAAGGAGCTGGGACTACAGGCATGTGCCATCCTGCCCAGCTAATTTTTGTATTTTTGTAGAGATGGGGTCTCACTGTGTTGCTCAGGCTAGTGTTTATTCTTTTTAAAAAAATCTTTATATAAAAAACTTGTAAGACTACAAAATTATCAAAACCTCATGGTAATTTCCACTGGGATTATGATTAATATATCATTTAATTTAGGGAGAACTGACATCTTTATGACAGAATCTTCCTATCCAAGAACACGGTATGTCTTTCCATTTGTTTAAGTCCACTTTTGTGTCTTCCATGTGTGTTTCATAGTTTTTACTCATATAGGTTTTGCACATTTCTTTTGGTCTACAGCAAATATTTTACTTTATTGTTGCTATTTTAAGTGGATCTTCTCTCTCATCTCTCATTATATTTCCTGTTCTTTTTATTTTTATTTTTATTTTGAGACATAGTTTCACTCTGTCGCCCAGGCTGGAGTGCAGTGGTGTGATCTCGGCTCACTGCAACCTCCACCTCCTGCATTCAAGCGATTCTTGTGCCTCAGCCTCCCGAGTAGCTGGGATTACAGGCGCCTGCCACCACAGCCAGCTAATTTTGTATTTTTAGTAGAGATGGGGTTTCACCATGTTGGCCAGGCAGGTCTCCAACTCCTGACCTCAAGTGATCCACCCACCTGGGCCTCCCAAAGTGCTGGGATTACAGGCATGAGTCACTCACAGCACCAGGCCTTCTCTCATTATATTTCCTAATTACTTACTGTTTGTATATATGCAGATGATTTCTACATGGTGAATTTATTTATTTATTTATTTTTTGATGGAGTTTTGCTCTTATCGCCAGACTAAAGTGCAATGGCATGATCTCGGCTCACTGCAAGCTCCACCTCCTGGGTTCAAACAATTCTCCTGCCTCAGCCTCCCGAGTAGCTGGGATTATAGGCATGCACCACCACACCTGGCTAATTTTGTATTTTAAGTAGAGACAGGGTTTCTCCATGTTGGTCAGGTTGGTCTCAAACTCTTGTCCTCAGGTGATCTGCCTGCCTCAGCCTCCCAAAGTGCTGGGATTAAAGACGTGAGCCACCACGCCCGGCCCATGTTGATTTTTATATCCAGTTACTTTACTTAGTTTGCTTATTGTTTGTGAGAGTTTTTCTTTCCATCCTTTTGGGTGTTCCAACTAAACAATTATGTTGTCTATAAATAGAGATTGCTTTATCTGTTTCTTTTCTTTTTTCTTTTTTTTTTTTTTTTTTGAGACGGAGTCTTGGTCTGTCGCCCAGGCTGGAGTGCAGTGGCGTGATCTCTGCTCACTGCAAGCTCTGCCTTCCGGGTTCACGCCATTCTCTTGCCTCAGCCTCCTAAGTAGCTCGGACTACAGGCGCCCACCACCACGCCCAGCTAATTTTTTTTATTTTTAGTAGAGACAGGGTTTCACCGTGTTAGCCAGGATGGTCTCTATCTCCTGACTTTGTGATCCGCCTGCCTCGGCCTCCCAAAGTGCTGGGATTACAGGTGTGAGCCATCGCGCCCGGCCTCTTTCTTTTCAATTACTGTGTCTCTTGTCTGATATGATTTCCCTTGTATAATTTGCTTTAGCTAATACTTCCAACATAATGTTCAATTGTAGAGGAGATAGTAGACATTATTCCTCACTTCAGCAATTTTTTTTGAGACAGAGTCTTACTTTGTCGCCAGGCTGTAGTGCAGTGGCACCATCTTGGCTCACTGCAGCCTCTGCCTCCTGGGTTCAAGCAAAATCTCCTTCCTCAGCCTCCTGAGCAGCTGGGACTACAGGCACATGCCACCATGCTGAGCTTATTTTTATATTTTTATTAGAGACATTTTCACCATGTTGGCCAGGCTGGTCTTGAACTCCTGACCTCAAGTGATCTGCCCACTTTAGCCTCCCAAAGTGCTGGGATTACAGGTGTGAGCCACCACACCCAGCCAGCATTTTTAAATTAAGATAAGAGGCTAACTCTTGAGGAGTTTTACATAGATATAATCAGGTTTGAATTGTGTCATGTGCCTTTTCACATTATCGTTGAGTTCCCCTGAAAACAGATGAAGAATTTTCTGCATATTGTTTATGTGGGAAGGTGAGCCCAGAGAACAAGCATGAGAAATAAGGAGGAATGAAACAGGGAAAGCCAATGCAAGATGCACTGACCAATTGGCTGGCGTTATAGGTAACCAGTGCTTGATTCTGTGGAGTCATCTGAGGAGTCTTATGAAATGTGCTTCAGAACTGTTTGCCAGGTAATGAAAAGCTAGCTTTGATCAAGATACCTCACATATAAGGGTTGACCATATATGAATGCTGAGAGGGTTCCTGCTGGTATCAATGGCACTGTGTCAGAGAAGTCTTGGGGCAGGAAATAAGCATTCATTATCTTATAGCTTCTGTGGGTCAGGAATGTAGGAATGTCTTAGCTTGATGGTTCTGGCTCAGGATTTCTAATGTGGTTGCAGTTAGGACATCTACAGGTCCTGCGGTTATCTGAAGGCTTAATTGGGGCTAGAGAATTCACTTCCAATTGACTCATTCATATGCTTGTTGGCAGGAAGCCTCAGTTCCTCATCAGGCGGACCTCTCCATTGGTTGCTGGAGTGTCCTCACAATATGGCAGCCAACTTTCCCCAGAGCCAGTGATCTACAAGGGGATGGGAATTAGACTCCACCTCTTGAAGGGAGGAACATCAAAGAATTTGTGGACATATTTTAAATCCAGCAAACTGTCATAATATAGTCCAAATAGATCTTGACTATCTGAACATCCTGAAGAATATCACATTGGTCCATTTTGTCAATAACATGATGTTTATCGACCACATGAGTAAGAAGTGGCAAGTAAGTTGAAGCCTTGGTAAGATACACATTTTCCAAAGAATGAGCAATAAATGATAAATCTTAGGAAGATTCTGGGTCCTACCAGATCCGTGACATGTTTAGGGATCCACTGAGATGGAAGCATGATACTCGTTAGCCTCTTTGGGTTCTGGAGATGGTATGTTTCATACTGGGGAAAACTACTCTGACTCATTTACTGAATCACATGGAAGGCTGACAACTTTGAGTGGTGTCCAGAGTAAGGAAAGGCTCTACAGCTGGTTCATGCTGCATTACAAGCAACCCTGCCACTTAGGCCAGGTGACCCAGGAGACTTTGTGATATTAGAGCTTTCTGGGGTGTAAAAACACCTGTAGGAATGTATGGGAAACCCCAGACAGCTACATGCCACTCAATAAATAGTTCCTGGCATACTCCTGGGTCATGGTAGAGACGAATCAGCTGACTATGAGACATCAAGTGGCCTGTGGTTAGAACTGCCCATCCTGAGCTGGTTTCTGTCAGACCCATCAAGTCATAATGCTGAGCGGGTCCAGCAGCAGCCCATTATAAAACTGCAGTAGTGTGTCAGGATTGGGTATCAAGTAGAGCCAGAGGCTAAAAGTAAGCCACTAGCCACATGTCATCCTGTCATCCAGTACTGTTGCATGGATGCCTTTCCCTGGATTCCATTTACATCCACATAGAAAGTATTATGACCAACTGATGGAGGAAGCAAAGGACAAGCTTGATTCTTGGACGCACTAGCTTGATTTGTGGATATAAACCAAAAGCAGACTGGTGATACAGTGCTGTCTCACTCAGGGTGCCCCTGAAAGCATGTTGAGATAAAATCCTCCCATGGTCAGAGCTTTGGGAAGTACATCTGGTCTTCTACTTTATGTGGAAAGAGAAGTACCCCAAGATGAAAATATACACAGACGTGAAGGCAGTGGCAAATGGCTTAACTGAACAAGGACCTGAAAGGAACAAGATTGGAATACTGGGGACAATATTGGAAAGAAGCATGTAAATCAAGAATCTGCAAACTTTTTGTATAAAGGGTCAGAGTAACTATTTCAGACTCAAGGGCCATATGGTTTCTGTTGCAACTGCACAGCTCTGCTGTTGTAGTGTAAAAGCAGCCATATTCAACACATAAATAAGTGGCATGGCTGTGTTCCCATAAAACTTTATTCATAAAACAGGCAGTGGGTGAATTTGCCCTGTGAGTTTTAGTTGCCAACCCTTGGTAGAGATGGACCCAAAGAAGTGGGCAAAAAAAAAATGTGAATGTCTTTTTCTGCATTTCATTGACCACATGACAGCATCCACCAACAAAAGACTGACTGGACAACCAAATAGACAGGATGACTCAACTAGTTGATGTTAGCTACCCTCTGTTATCACTCACCACAGTTCTGGCCAGATCACCTCACAAATGGGGTAGTCATATGGCAAGGTTGGAGGCTATGAATGGCACAAAAGTATGAGTTCCTACTTACTAAAGCTGGTATAATTACTTTTGCCATGCAGTGCCCAACCTGCCAGCAGCAGAGGCCAATGCTGAGTCCCCAGCACGGTATCATTCTTTGAGGAGACCAACCACCCACTTTCTGCCAAGATGATTACCAGGCCCTTTCCACTCTAGAAGGAGAATTGCTTCATCTTGACTGGAATTAACACATGTTCTAGATATAGTCTTACCTTTTCTGCCTGCAGGGCCTTGGACAACACTCTGAGAACTCACAGAGTGATCTACCGGTATGGAATTCTGAATAGCATTGCCTCTGACCAAGAAACCCAACTTACAGCAAGAGAGTGTGGCAATGGCCACATGACAATGGGATCCACCAGTCCCATCATATACCACATCACTCAGAAGCTTCTGGACTCAATAAAGTGAGGAAATAGCCTTTGGAAACTGTAGACAAGATACCAGGTTAGAAATGATACTCGACTGGGCACAGTGGCTCAGGCTGGGCGCAGTGGCTCATGCCTGTAATCCCAGCACACTGGGAGGCCAAAGCAGGCGGATCACAAGGTCAGTAGTTCAAGACCAGCTTGGCCAATATGGCGAAACCTCATCTCTACTGAAAATACAAGAATTAGCCAGGCGTGGTGGCAGGTGCCTGTAGTCTCAGCTACTCAGGAGGCTGGGCAGGAGAATCACTTGAACCCAGGAGGTGGAGGTTGCAGTAAGCCAAGATCGTGCCACTGTACTCCAGCTTGGGCAACAGAGCAAGACTCCATCTCAAAAAAAAAAGAAAAAAGAAATGACACTCAACAAGAATAGGAAATCATCTTCCAGGATGCAATATACACCCTAAATCAATGACTATTACATGATATTGTATCCCCAGGAGACATAGTACATGAATTTGGAAACCAAAGAATGTCAATAGAAATGGCCCCAATTACCATCAATCCCACTGGCCCACTTGGGAAATTCGTGCTTCCCATCCCCTCAATTTTAAGGCCTAGAGATCCTGGTTCCCGGGCGGGGGTGGAGTGCTTCCACCAGGAGACATGGTAAGAGTCTCCTATAGCTATTGCCTAGTCACTTTGGGATCCTTGTGCCAAGAGACATCAAGAAAGGAAAGTAGTAACCGTACTGTCACAGGTAGTTAAGTGATCCTTATCATCAGAAGAAGATAGGGTTGCTGTTACTCAGTAGGGATAGGGAAGAATGTATTTTGCACCCAAGTGGTTTACTGAGAAATCTCTTGGTACCCCCTGCCCAATATTTATGGTAAATGGACAAGGACAGCAGCCACAGTCTAAGAAGGACATGATGACCATGTAAAGCCATGGCCACTCAATAATGACGGTCTGGGCCACCCATCAAATAAGCCATCTGGACCAGCAAAGGTGCTAGCTGAGGATGAAAGAAATCTAGACTCCTAGACTAGAGTAAGTATTAGAGGAAGGAGACTGTGGCTCAAGACCAGCTGAAGCAGTGAAGGCAATAGTTTGTCCCAATAACCTTCTTCTCAAAGTTTTTCCAGGAAAGAAAATTATTCAGAATCCTGGAGCTGTCCCCAGAATTGAATGCACAAAGTAAGCAGATCCAAGTGGTGCAAGGGATAAGCTGTAGTGGATGCTGTGGTATACCACACAGAATTCCCCCTTTAGGATTGAGCTACTCATTTCTTCAGCTGCCAGGAGTATTTTCTGCCAATGGCTCACAGCCGAATCCTTCTCTAGAAATTGCTCTGGGCAAAAGAGAGCTGCCTTGCCCAAGGTTTTGCCCCTACTCTGGCAGCAGTCCATATCCAACAACTAATCAATATAGGGATACAAAGGTCTGGCCCCCTTGCCTCAATGTGGGGCAAATCTAAAGGAATATTCCAGCACTAAAGCTCCCTGTGAGATCCATTAAGTCCTCTCTTGCAATTGTTGTGAATTCAAATTTTCTATCTGCCCAATCCTGACACACACACACACACACACCCCCCACAATGTCAAAGGAAAAAGTCTCCCCTATGAGCTCATCTCCAGAAAGCAGCGCTGCTCACTGCTTGGTGGATATTGCTTCAGATTTTTTTTCTATATAGCCAATAGCCAATATATCTTTCATAATTTGAAGAAACAATAATAAATTAAAAATATTTTAAATACCAAAAGATGATAAGAAATGGGATTAGAAAATATCAGAATTTGTTCATCTTAGGGCTCTCAGCAGTAAAAACTAACTCGCTTTATCAAAATTCTGTGTGTGTGTGTGTGTGTGTGTGTGTGTGTGTGTGTCTGTGTGTAGAGCATGTCCCACTTTAAGATACTAAAAAACTTTTTATGCTATGATTAGAGAAAAGTACTTGGGTGTCATCTCCTCTTTCAAATCAGAGCGAAAAAGAACATAAAGCATGAGAACGATAAAAATAACACCAAATGGCTAGAGGCCAGACTGTCCATAATAAACTGAGAAAGGAAAAGTGACTTGTTGGAGGAAAATACTAAATAATAAGACTTTTTATAAATTGTCATCTTCTCTTTCTATACATAGACCATGTTGAGATTTCCCCTGTTGGACCACAGATGTCCTTAGCAGCTGATTTGTCTGTATAATCAGGACCAGACAAGACATTTCATGGTTCTGTTTTCCAGTTTCATAGATGAGAAAACCAAGGCTTCAGAATACTAAGCTGACTTGTCCAGAGTCACATAGTAATGATTAGAACCCAGATGCAAACTCAAATCCTCACAGCTTTCAGTTGGCCATGTTCTTCATGCTGGCAACAATAGGAAAGACAGGTCGATGCACAATCCATTTTTAAAATCCAAAGAATGCTTAATAAACATTTATTGAGGTGATTCAGTGCAATTTTTGGTAGATGGGAAAATCCTTCAACTCATGGAATAAGTAGGCTATGCACTCTTGTTCAAATCTTAACCTACCCATAAAATGATTTAATTCCATATCTGCAAAAAGACACAAGGATGTAACTAAAAAAATTCATTCTGACCACAGCAGATTTGTCATGAACAGGCATGCAGTAATATGAAAACACTTAAAATATACACGTTATATTAAACTGGTGTTGCATGCCAGGAACATTTTGAGCCACCTGGAAGGAATATTTATTTCTTTAGAAATGATTACCCTCCAAAAAAAAACTGCAATTAGGAAAAAATTTCTCCAGGTAATTAATGCTCTGCGAAAGAAATCTAGAACAAAAAAGTAAATAGCTTTGGACTTTGCAGTCAAGATAAGAACAAAACAAATCCTCACCCCCTCTCCACCCCCTCAGCTTCCATTCCTGGTGTATCAGAACAACCACCAGTGATTGCCGCAAGAAATTATCCCAGATTAGAACAAAAACCATTTGTTATGACTTATACTTTATTTGCCAGTTTGCAGATGATGCTAAAATATGTTGGTCAAATCGACAAAAAGAAATGCAGACTTCTACATATATTCTATTTACTAGAAAATAGCACTAGCTTTAAAATTAGCAGCACAAAATTGGACTTGGGAGCAGTTTACAAATTGGCATTCCACTATGTTCATGCTCTATCAAATCTTTGTGTGACTTTTATGTATTGCTAGAGTAGCATGAAGAAAATAATGAAAGATGTTTGAAAAAAGGGGAAAAATCACCCACTTCATCCACGACATGAACACATTTTCATTTTCCTTAAAGACCTTGTCCATATGTGTAATGTAATGATCTGGTACCTATAGTTTTCCATTGTGCTATTTATTGCTTAGCATTGTCTGTGTTGCTACATAGTTATCTGCAACCTCTATTAAATGTAAAGGAGGTGACAGAATCTTAGAGGTTATGTGTGTACACACACACATATTTATTAATTTCTAATTTGATTACAGTTTACAAACTCAGAACAGGAATATTATTGCATTGACTTACTTCTCAAATATCATGGCAGCAAAAGTTCAGCTGTTGAAGAACTTGATGTCACTGAGCATTTAACTAACCTTTCAAAAAACATGATTGCAGCAAGACTTTGAGGTGAAAAGTCCAGATTTTATAAACCATTCCATTTTTATGCTTTTGTCTTTTGAGCATTTTTGTCATCGCTTTACCTTGATTTCCTAATAAAAGATATTTTAAGGAAATTCCCATCTGGTCTCAACTGAAGAAAGAAGTACAGGAAGTTGCCCTCTTCCAGGCTATGAAAGTCAGGGAGATCCATAGGCCCAAGGGGTCAGGTGTAAAGGGTAGCTGGGCCAGCAAGGGTGGAGACAGTGAGATCTCCCTGGGTCTGCAGTTGCACAGATGGGAGCAGAGAAGGTAAGAATGAGGGGCAGCTGGTGCTATCCCAGGGCATTGCATGGCTCTCTCTGTTTTACCTCCCTGAGAGACTGCAAATTCCCCAGGGCACAAACCATATCCTGGGCAAACTTACCACTAGGTCAGTAGCTGCTGAATTCATGAACTTACGTCTTGGAGAAAGTTTTGAGGCATTATAGAAGAGTGGAAATCAGCTGGGAGCTGTGGCTCACGCCTGTAATCCCAGCACTTTGGGAGGCCAAGGCGGGCAGACCACAAGGTCAGGAGTTCGAGACCAGCCTGACCAACATGGTGAAACCCTGTCTCTACGAAAAATACAAAAATTAGCTGGGTGTGGTGGCACTACCTGTAATCCCAGCACTTTGGGAGGCCAAGGCGGGCAGACCACAAGGTCAGGAGTTCGAGACCAGCCTGACCAACATGGTGAAACCCTGTCTCTACGAAAAATACAAAAATTAGCCGGGTGTGGTGGCACCACCTGTAATCCCAGCTACTCAGGAGGCTGAGGCAGGAGAATCGCTTGAACCCAGGAGGCGAAGGTTGCAGTGAGCCGAGATCACGCCACTGCACTCCAGCCCAGGTGACAGAGCGAGACTCCATCTCAAAAAAAAAAAAAAAGAAGAGTGGAAATAATAATAATGGCCACGAAGTTGTTAGTTTATTTATGCAACAAGTATTTATTGTGCATCTACTATTTGTCAGGCATTAATTACGTTGACTACCTTTTCATATGCTTCTTGGTTATCTGGATATACTTTTTGATGAAGTATCCAGTGAAGTATCTTGTCTATTTTCTTCTTGGGTTGTCTGGTTTTTTCCTTATGGGCTTGTGTAAGTTATTCATATATTCCGAATGAGTCTCTGGTCAGATATGTGTAAAGCAAATATTTTCATCTTGTCTGTGGCTTGCCATTTTACTCTAATAATGATGTTATTTAAGAAATCAAAATTCTTTATTTTGGGAGGCTGAGGCGGGCGGATCACGAGGTCAGGAGATCAAGACCATCCTAGCCAACACAGTGAAACCCCGTCTCTACTAAAAAAAAAAAATGCAAAAAATTAGCCGGACATGGTGGCACACGCCTGTAATCCCAGCTACTCAGGAGGCCGAGGCAGGAGAATCACTTGAACCCGGGAGGCAGAGGTTGCAGTGAGCTGAGATCGCACCACTGCACTCCAGCCTGGGTGATAGAGCAAGATTCCGTCTCAAACAAAAAAAAAAAGAAAGAAAGAAAGAAAGAAAAAAGAAATCAAAACTCTTACTTTTTTTTTTTTTTTTTTGAGGCAGGGTCTCAATCACAGCTCACTGCACCCTCAACCTCCTGGGCTCAAGCGATCCTCTCGCTTCAGCCTCCTGAGTAGCTGGGACTATAGGCACACACCACCACACCCAGCTAATTTTGTATCTTTAGTAGAAATGGGGTCTTGCCATAGTGGCCAGGCCTGTCTTGAATTCCTGGGCTCAAGTGATCTGCCTGCCTCAGCCTTCCAAAGTGCTGGGATTACAGGCAGGTGTGAGCCACCATGCCTGGATCAAAAGTCTTAAGTTTAATATAGTCCAGTTTTCACTTTACCTTTATAGTTAGTACTTGTGGGTCCTATTGAAGAAATCTTTGCTCACATCAAGGTTGTGAAGATATTCTCCATATTGTGTCCTAGGAGCTTTGTTGTTTTACTTTAAGTGTAGATCTACAATCCATCTGAATTGTATTTTTGTGTATGCCCTGAATTAGAGATCAAGGTTTTTCCCTCCATATGGATGGTTGCTAATCCCATCCTTTCTCTCTTTCACTGACATGACAACTTTATCATAAATCAGGTATCATGTAAGTGTGGATCTGTGTCAAGATTTTTCCGTTAGTCTAATTGTCTAGACTAGCACCAAGAAGGGGCACTGTACATTTCTAACAAGTCTTAAAATCTTTTAGTGCAGGGTGGGTGCGGTGGCTCATGCTTATAATGCCAGCACTTTGGGAGACCGAGGTGGGTAGATCATTAGAGGTCAGGAGTTCGAGACCAGCCTGGCCAACGTGGTGAAAGAAACCCTGTCTCTACTAAAAATACAAAAACTAGCCAGGTATGGTGGTGGACACCTGTAGTCCCAGCTACTGGGGAGGTTGAGGTTGAGGCAGGAGAATCAGTGGAACCCGGGAGGCAGAGGTTGCAGTGAGCTGAGATTGTATCACTGCACTCCAGCCTAGGGGACAGCTTAAGACTGTCTAAAAAAAAAAAAAAAAAAAAAAAAATCTGTTAGTGTAAGTGTTCAGGTTTTGTTCTTCAAAGTCATCTATGCTATTTTTAGCCTTCTACATGCCATATTGTTTTAAAATGTAGGTTTTATTATTATTCAGGTTTGGTGAGACTGACAGATTAAGGAACAACTGCCATTGAAAAGATAATTTGTTATTCACCGTGCCCAAGAAGAAGGGGTATGCCACACCATACAGGGCCACGTGGGGAAGCACCATGGCCAGTTAGGAGGCAGAAATGAGGAGAAAGCATGGGTAGGAGCCTTTTTTGTGGTTTTCACAGGTAGTATGGGAGAGGCAGTTACAGGCTAAGAAGGACTGGCATTGGCTAGTTTGAATAAATTCAGTAGGCTCCAGGGAGCAGGAGTGGTCCTGAGCTGTCTGGTACCTAGCCCTGGGGTGATTAGGGAAGGAGAATATTGAGGAGTAAGAGCCCTGTGAGAGTGCAACAAAGGAGGAGGTTGGAGGGTATGGGCTCTGGATTGGTTGTTTTGCATCTGAAAAGCTCCCTCACAGGAAAGCCATTTGCTATTTCTAGGAATTAGCTAGCCCTGAGAGGGGCAGTCTCTCCCAGGTCAGCAAGGCCTCCAGGATCTAAAAGATTAATAACATACAGAAAATAAAAAACATGATTAATACACATATCTATTGTAGAATCAGCTTGTCAGTTTATACACACAAACACACACACACACACACACGGTTTTTTAATTGGGTTTATATTGAATCTATTCATCAATTTGAATAGAATTAACATTTTTATAATATTAAATATTCCAGTTGATGAAAACAGAATATTCCTACCTTTTCTTTCTGTTGAAGTCTTCTTTAATTCCCATGAGTAATACTTTTAGTTTTCTATGTAGATGACTTGCATATTTTTGTTGAAATTATTTCTGGGATTTGGTAAATTTTGATGCTATCTAAATGATATCATTTATTGGATTTTTCTCATTGTTGATTGCTAGTATGTAGAAATACAATTGATATTTGTTATATTGATCTATAGAGAGATTTTGCTAAATTCACTTAATTCTAATAGTTTATGAATTCTTTTACATTTTCCTACATACAAATCATATTGTCTGAAAATAATGAGTTTTATTTCTTCCCTTCCAACTAATATAATATACCTTTTCATTCTTTTGAGACAGAGTTTCGCTCTTGTCACCCAGGCTGCAGTGCAATGGTGAAACAGCTCACTGCAACCTCCTCCTGGGTTCAAGCAATTCTCTCGCCTCAGCCTCCCGAGTAGCTGGGATTACAAGCGCATGTCACCATGCCCCACTAATTTTTGTATTTTTAGTAGAGACGGGGTTTCGTCATGTTAGCCAGGCTGAACTCCTGACCTCAGGTGATCCTCCCCGCTTGGCCTCCCAAAGTGCTGGGATTACAAGTGTGAGCCACCGCACCCAGCCTCTTTTTTTTTTTATTATTATTTTATTTTTTGAGATGGAGTCACTCTGTTGCCCAGGCTGGAGTGCAGTGGTGCAATCTTAGCTAACTACAACCTCCAGCTCCCGGGTTCGAGCAATTCTCCTGCCTCAGCCTCCTGAGTAGCTAGGATTACAGGTGTGCACCACAACACCCGGCTAATTTTTGTATTTTTAGTAGAAATGGGGTTTCACCATGTTGGTCAGGCTGGTCTCGAACTCCTGACCTCAAGTTATCCGCCCATCTCACCCTCCCAAAGTGCTAGGATTACAGGCGTAAGCCACCGCACCCAGCCCTTTTTCATTATTTTGCTTGCCTTGTTGTATTGTCTAAGAGCTCCTATCATAAATCTGAATAGAAGTGATGTTAGCAAGCATCCTTTTCTTATTCCCAATCTGAAAGGGAAAGTTTTCAATATTCCATCAAGCATATTTACTGTATTTTTTTGATTGACAACCTTTACCTTATTACAGAAATTCCTGATATTTCTAGTTTGCCAAGAGCTTTTATTTTTAAAAAACTATACATAGATACTGAATTATATAAAATAATAGTATCTATTGAAGTGATCATATAGTTTTTCTCCTTTATTCTATAATTGTGGTAAATTATATTGATTATATTTTTGAATGATAAATGAATTGTCAGTCTTGGAATAAATCCAATTTATCATGACTTACTATTCTTTTTATTTATATTTAAAATTTTTATTTAATTAATTTATTTAGAGCTGGGATCTCCCTATGTCACCCAAGCTGGTCTTGAACACCTGGCCTCAAGCCTTGACCTTCTGAGTAACTGGGATTACAGGCCTGAGACACTGCACTCAGCTCTATTCATTTTTTATATATAGCTGAATCCAGTATAATAATATATTATTTTGACCGGGCACAGTGCCTCATGCCTATGATCTCAGCACTTTGAGGGGCCGAGGCAATCAGATCACTTTAGGCTGGGAGTTCAAGACCAGCCTGGCCAACATGGTGAAAACCTGTCTCTACTAAATACAAAAAAATTAGCTGGGTGTGGTGGTGCACGCCTGTAATCCCAGCTACTTGGGTGACTGAGGCATGAGAATGGCTTGAACCTGGGAGGTAGAGGTTGTAGTGAGCTGAGATCGCACCACTGCACTCCAGCCTGGGTGACAGAGTGACACTCCAGCCTGGGTGACAGAGTGAGTCTCTGTCTCAAAAAAAAATTTTTTTTATTTTGTATATTTGCATATATGGTAATGAGAAAGACTGGCTTGTAATTTTCTTTTCTTATATTTTTTAGTTGTTGTATCAAGATTATGTTGAACTTACAAAATGAGTATTTCTGCTTTTTCTCTTCTCTGGAAGAGTTTCTATAAAATTGTGTATTAGTATCCCTAGGCTGTTGTAACAAAGTACTGCAAATTGGGCTGCTTAAAACAACAGAAATATATTCCCTCATAGTTGTGGAGGTTGGAAGTCCAAAATCAAGGAGCAGTAGCGTTGGTTCCTTCTGTGAAGGCTCTGAGGGAGGATCTGCTCCATGCCTCTCTTGTGGCTTCCGGTGAAGCCAATCCTCAGTGTTTCCTGGCTCACAGATACATGGCCTCCATCTTCACCTGGCATTCTGTCTTCGCATGGTTGTCTTCTTATAAGGACTCAAGTCATATTGGTTTAGGCGCTCCAGCGTGACCTCATTTTAATGAATAGCATCTGCAATGCCCTATCTCCAAATGTACTCACATTTGGAATTCTGAGATACTGGGGGTTAAGACTTCAACATATCCATTTTTGGAAGGGACACAATTCAACCCATAACAGATTGTGTTATTTGTTTCTTTGAAAGTTTAGAAGAATTAATCAACGAAGCCATCTGGGTGTACAATTATATTGTAGGAAAATTTTAAATTATGGATTTCTTTTTTTTTTTTTTTCCAGACAGGGTCTCTCTGTTGCCTAGGCTGTAGGACGGTGGCACAATCACAGCTCACTGAAGCCTCAGCCGCCTAGGCTCAAGTGATGCTCCCCTCTCAGCCCCCAACAAGTAGCTGGGACTAGAGGTGCTCACCAACACATCTGGCTAATTTTTAAATTTTCTGTAGAGGTGGGGTCTCCCAATCTGCACAGACTGCTTCCAAACTTCTGGCCTCAAGGAGTCCTCCCACCTCAGCCTCTCAAACTCTTAGGAATACAGGTGTAAGCCACGGCACCTTGCCACATTCCACTTATTTAACAATAATAGACCTATTCAGATTTTTCAGTTCTTATGTGAGTCGAGGTCAAGTTTTTTAAGGAATTTGTTCATTCGTATAAATTTTCAAATTTATTAGCATAGTTGTTCATAATATCCTTTTACTACTTAAGTATTGATATATTTTGTGTTTTATGGTCCCCTTTCATTATGGTACTATACCTTTTCTCTTTAAAAATATATTTTATTTTTAAATAAATAAAATGGAATATATTTGCATAATTTCCAAAATTGTAGGGATATTCAAATTTTTTGTTTTCTTTTAAAATTGCTTATTAGCTTATCTTCATTGTGGTCAAAAAACATACTCTGCATGGCAATTCTTTGAAATTTGCATGTGCACTTAATAAGTATATATACAGGCAGTGGCTCACACCTGTAATCTCAGCACTTTGGGAGGCCGAGGTAGGCGGATCACTTAAGGCCTGGAGTTCCAAACCAGCCTGACTAACATGGCCAAACCCCGTCTGTACTAAAAAAATGTATATATACAAAAATTAGCCAGGCGTGGTGGCACATGCCTGTAATCCCAGCTACTCGGGAGGCTGAGGCAAGAGAATCGCTTTAACCTGGGAAGCGGAGGTTGTAGTGAGCCGAGATCGTGCCGCTGCGCTCCTGCCTGGGCAACAGAGAGTCTGTCTCAAAAAATTAAATTAAATTAAATTTTAAAATAGGGCCGGGCGCGATGGCTCACGCCTGTAATCCCAGTACTTTGGGAGGCCGAGTCGGGCGGATCACGAGGTCAGGAGATTGAGACCATCCTGACCAACACGGTGAAACCCTGTCTCTACTAAAAATACAAAAATTAGCCGGGTGTGGTGGCACGTGCCTATAGTCCCAGCTACTTGGGAGGCTGAGGCAGGGGAATCACTTGAACCCAGGAGGTGGAGGTTGCAGTGAGCCAAGATCACGCCACTGCACTCCAGCTTGGCGACAGAGTGAGACACCGTCCCCAAAAATAAAATATATATATATATTTTATTTTAAATAAATAAAATGGAATATATTTGCATAATTTCCAAATTTTTCGGATATTCAAATTGCCTATTTTCTTTTAAAATTGCTTTTTTTGAGATGGAGTCTTTGCTCTGTCTCCCAGGCTGGAGTGTAGTGGCATGATCTCGGCTCACTGCAAGCCCCGCCTCCCAGATTCACGCCATTCTCCTGCCTCAGTCTCCCGAGTAGCTGGGACTACAGGCACCCGCCACCACACCAGGCTAATTTTTTGTATTTTTTAGTAGAGACAGGTTTTCACCATGTTAGGCCAGGATGGTCTCGATCTCCTGACCTCGTGATCCGCCCGCCTCGGCCTCCCAAAGTGCGGGGATTACAGGCATGAGCCACCACGCCCGGCCTTAAAATTGCTTTTTAGTTTATCTCCACTGTGGTCAAAAAACATACTCTGCATGGCCATTCTTTGAAATTTGCATGTGCACTTAAAAAGCATATAGAGGCGGGGCGCAGTGGCTCACACCTGTAATCCCAGCACTTTGGGAGGCCGAGGTGCGTGGATCACTTGAGGCCAGGAGTTCGAGACCAGCCTGGCAAACATGGTGAAACCTTGTCTCTACTAAAAATACAAAAATTAGCTGGGCGTGGTGGCACGCACCTGTAATCCCAGCTACTCGGGAGGCTGAGGAATTGCTTGAACCGGGGCGGCGGAGGTTGCAGTGAGCTGAGATCACACCACTGCCCTCCAGCCTGGGTGACAGAGTGAGACTCCATCTCAATTAAAAAAAAAAAAAGCATATGGATTCTGCAGTTGTTGTTGCAATGTTTTCTATATACGTCAAGTTTGTTAATTGCATTGTTCAAGTCTTCTATATTTTTGTTGATTTTTTGTGGCTTGTTTGGTCAGTTACAGAAAGAGTTATATTAAAATTGCCAGCTATGATTGTAGTTTTGTCTACTTCTCCTTTTCGTTCTGTTTTTACGCATATTTTTGAAACTATGTTATTAGGTAAATGAAAATTTTGAGTTATTTTTATCTTCCCCTTTTATCATGATGAAATGTCCCACTTATTTCTACTAATATTTTTGTTTTAAAGCCTACTTCATCTAACATTAGTATAGATAAATCAGCTTTCTTCCCCCACGCTATCCCCGGAGTCTTACTCTGTTGCCCAGGCTGAAATCTGGAATGCAATGGCGGAATCTTGCTGCCTAATGGTTTCAAGCAATTCTCCTGCTTCAGCCTCCTGAGTAGCTGGGATTACAGGCATGTATCACCATGCCCACCTAATTTTAATTTTTTTAGTAGAGATGAGGTTTCACCATCTTGGCTAGGCTGGTCTTGAACTCCTGGCCTCAAATGATCCACCTGCCTCAGCCTCCTAAAGTGCTGGGATTACAGGCGGGAGCCACTGCACTCGGCCTAATCAGCTTGCTTTCTTTTATTTATTTATTTATTTTTGAGACGATGTCTCACTCTGTCGCCAGGCTGGAGTGCAGTGGCACGATCTTGTCTCACTGCAACCTCTGCCTCCTGAGTTCAAGTGATTCTCCTGCCTCCGCCTCCCGAGTAGCTGGGACTACAGGCGCATGCCAACACACCCAGCTAATTTTTGTATTTTTAGTAGAGACAGGGTTTCACCATATTGGCCAGGAGGGTCTCGATCTCTTGACCTCGTGATCTGCCCGCCTTAACCTCCCAAAGTGCTAGGATTACAGGCATGAGCCACCGTGCCCAGCTAATCAGCTTTCTTTAGGTTAGCATTTTTTATGTTTATCCTTCTCCCTCTTTTTACTTTCAACCTGATTTGTCATCACCTCAAGGGTGTAGCTTTTGTAAGCAGCAGATAGCTGCTTTTTAAAAATATACTCTAAAAATCTTGTCTTTAAATTTGGAGTGTTTAGATCATATACATTTAAAATAATTACTGAAATTTTGACTGTATCATTTTAATATATTTTTATTTGTCTCATTTGTTCTTTAATTTTTGTCTCCTTTCTTCTTTCTTGCTCATTAGTTTGTTAGTAATATTCTTTTCTTTTTTTTTTTTTTTTTGAGACAAAGCCTCCCTCTGTCACCCAGGCTGGAATGCAGTGGCACAATCTCGGCTCACTGCAACCTCTGCCTCCTGGGTTCAAGTGATTCTCCTACCTCAGCCTCCCAGATAGCTGGGACCACAGGTGTGTGCCACCATGCCTGGCTAATTTTTGTATTTTTAATAGAGAAGGGGTTTCACCGTGTTGATCAGGCTGGTCTCGAACTTCTGACCACCTGCCTAGGCCACCCAAAGTGCTGGGATTACACGTGTGAGCCACCACACCCAGCCAGTTATACATTCTTTAATTATTCAGTGAGTGTTATTCTAGGGATGAACACATGCATTCTTGACTTACTAGAGTGCACCTTATTTATTTATTTATTTATTGAGACAGAGTCTTGTTCTCTCTCCCAGGCTGGAGTGCAGTGACACAATCTCGGCTCACTGCAACCTCTGCCTTCTGGGTTCAAGCAATTCTCCTGCTCCAGCCCTCCTAGCAACTGAGATTACAGGTGTGCGCCACCATGCCCAGTTAATTTTTGTATTTTTAGTAGATACGGGGTTTCGACATGTTGGCCAGGCTGGTCTCAAACTCCTGACCTCAAGTGATCCACCACCCTCAGCCTTCCAAAGTGCTGGGATTACAGGCATGGGCCACCACGCCTGGCCTACTAGAGTGTACTTTAAATTCCTACTTTCACGACTTCTCAGACAACCTTAGTTTGGTTCAATGCCATATCCCCCCTCTGCCTTTTGTCCTATTGTTGTCATGTATTTTATTTTATTTTATTTATTTTTGAGATGGAGTCTCGCTCTGTCGCCCAGGCTGGAGTGCAGTGGCACAATCTCAGCTCACTGCAACCTCCACCTTCCGGGTTCAAGCAGTTATCCTGCCTCAGCCTCCTGAGTAGTTCAGATTGCAAGTGTGCGCCACCACATCCGGCTAATTTTTGTATTTTTAGTAGAGATAAGGTTTTGCCATGTTGGCCAGGCTGGTCTCAAACTCCTGACCTCAGGTGATCTGCCTGCCTCGGCCTCCCAAAGTGCTGGGATTACAGGTGAGCCACTGCACCCAATCCCCATTGACTATTGATGTTATTTTCAATGTCCTAAACTCTTTTAGCAATGGTGAAAGGCAAGTTTATTTTCTCTGGACATATTTCTGTGGCTACTGCTCTTGAGTACAATTTAATTAAGTCACCATCAGTTAATAGCTCTCCTTGCTTTACTAACAAATGAGCCTCTAGGACACTTACTTTGTGAAGAAATTTTGCTGTGATTAGATATTCTGATTTCAATTTTTTTTTGAGATGGAGTTTCGCTCTTGTTGCCTAGGGTGGAGTACAATGGTGTGATCTTGGCTCACTGCAACCTCCGCCTCCTGGGTTCAAGCGATTCTCCTGCCTCAGCCTCCCTAGTAGCTGGGATTACAGGTGCCCGCCACCATGCCCAGCTAATTTTTTGTATTTTTAGTAGAGACAGGGTTTCACTATCTTGGCCAGGCTGGTCTCGAACTCCTGACCTCAGGCAATCCACCTGCCTCAGCCTCCCAAAGTGCTGGGATTACAGGCGTGAGCCACCGCGCCCCGCTTGATTTCAATTTTTAAATTTTTCTGGTCATTCCTTTCCTCTCAGTTGGGAAAATTGTTGATGAGTGCTTACTCTCGTGATGTTGACATATGTTCTCTTAGCATAACTGCTGTTGTTGCATACTAAACACAACGCTTTGTCACCTAATTTGCTAATAAAATAATCCATACTTCACTGTGCCTTCAAAGCACAAAATTCATAGTCTACTGATATGGTTTGGCTCTGTGTCTCCATCCAAATCTCATGTTGCATTGTAATCCCCATGAGTTGAAGGAGGGGCCTCGTGGAGGTGACTGAATCACGGGGCAGGGGGACCTTCTTTCTTGCTGTTCTCATGGTAGAGTTCTTACGAGATCTGGTTGTTTGAAAATGTGTAGCGCTTCCTCTCTGTCTCTCTCTCCTGCCACCATGTGAAGAAGTCGCTTGCTTCCCCTTCACCTTCTGCCATGACTGTAAGTTTCCTGAGGCTTTCCAGTCATGCTTCCTGTTAAGCCTGTGGAACTGTGAGTCAATTAAACCTCTTTTCTTCATAAATTACCCAGTCTCAGGTACTTCTTTATAGTAGTGTGGCAACGGATGAATACATCTACTTTTCTTTTCTTGTTTTGACATAATGGATATGCCCTGGTAATAAAAATTTAAAATAAATGTCGCAGTACAGAGATATGCATGGCACTGAAAACACTGTATCACCGTGATTTGTGGTGTACTGAGCAGCAGTATGAAGTGATAAGAGCATATACTGTCCCTGTTGCAACTACAGTCAGGCACCATATAACAAAGTTTTGGTCAATGAGGGATCACATACATGATAGGGTCCCATAAAATTGTAATACTATATTTTTACTGTGCCTTTTCTATCTTTACATATGTTTGGATACACACGTACCAATGTATTACAGTTACCTGCAGTATTCAGTACAGTAACATGGTGAACAGGTTTGTAACCTAGGAGAAACAGGCTATACCATATACTCTAGGTGTGTAGTAGGCTATACCACCTAGGTTTGTGTATACTCCATATGTTCACAGAGCAATGAAATTGCCTATTTCTCAGAATGTATCCCTATCATTAAGCAATACATGTCCTAAACTCCATCATTGTTTTGTGAAAGCAGCCATTGGCAATGTATAGGCTAAGGAGTATGGCTATGTTCCAATAAAACTTTATCAACACTGATATTTGAATTTCATATAATTTTCATGTGTCATAAATATTATCCTTATTTTTATTTTTATTTTTTGGGACAAAATTTCGCTCTTGTTGCCCAGGCTGGAGCGCAACGGCGCGATCTCGGCTCACTGCAACCTCCGCCTCCCGGGTTACAGGCATCTGCTACCACGCCTGGCTAATTTTTTTTTTTTTTTTTTTTTTGAAACGGAGTCTCGCTCTGTCGCCCAGGCTGGAGTGCAGTGGCACGATCTCGGCTCACTGCAAGCTCCGTCTCCCGGGTTCACGCCATTCTCCTGCCTCAGCCTCCTGAGTAGCTGGGATTACAGGCGCCCGCCACCACGACCGGCTAATTTTTTGTATTTTTAGTAGAGACGGGGTTTCACCGTGTTGACCAGGATGGTCTTGAATTTCTGACCTCAGGTGATCCACCCGCCTCGGCCTCCCAAAGTGCTGGGATTACAGCCGTGAGCCACTGCGCCTGGCCCTTATGATCTTTTTCAACCACTTAAAAATGTAAAAAAAGCGGCCGGGCGACGTGGCTCACACCTGTAAAACCAGCACTTGGGCGGATCACCTGAGGTCAGGAATTCGAGACCAGCCTGGTCAACATGGAGAAACCCCGTCTCTACTAAAAATACAAAATTAGCCGGGCGTGGTGGTGCATGCCTACATTCCCAGCTACTCAGGAGGCTGAAGCAGGAAAATTGCTTGAACTCGGGAGGTGGAGGTTGCAGTGAGCCGAGATGGCACCATTGCACTCCAGTCTGGGCAACAAGAGTGAAACTCCGTCTCAAAAAAAAAAAAAAAAAAGTAAAAAAAAAAAGTCTTAGCTGAGACCATTCAAAAACAGGCAGCAAGCTGTAGTATGCTGCTCTAGATGGTTGTTTTTGGTTTGGCCTCTATGCCTGGTGCTACAAATCACCAAATTCTCTGAGGGGATGAAACAGCAGTGAATACAAACTCGCTTGAATGAATTTCCCTTCTGGTATTTTGACTCCTCACGTCCTGGCTGACTTGGTTGACAGTGATGCCTTCAACTCAGCTGGGTTTTGTTGTTTTATTTTGGTATTTTATCCAGTTTATAGTTAGTTGTTCTTGATGAAGGAGTCAATCTGACATCAATACCCCATTAGAATGGGAAGTGGAAGTCTACATGTTAATTTTAATTTGCTACTTTTGCTTACCATTATGAGCCTCCTTCTATATTGACAAATATATCTCCACAATGTCATAACATTCCATTAGATGAATGCACCATGATTTAACTTAATAATTCCCTATAGGGGACATTGAAATTGTTTCTAGATTTTTTCACTGTGATGAACACACTTCTACAGGTTTATTTTTGTACCTAGTTGTTTCCTTCAGATAAAATCCTAGAAGTACGTGGATAAGTCAAAGGGTTCACACTTTTAAAGGTATTTCACAGGTATTACCAAACTTCTCTTTAGAACTGTTACACAATGGCCCAGCATCTATGTGCTTCTTAGTATAGGGGCCAATGCTGGGTGTTACCATTCTTTTCTTCCTTTGCCAATCTGACAGATGAAAACTGGTTATCTCAATGCTGTTTCCGTTTGCATTTCTGGTTTATAGGTGTGGCAGGCTGATAATGGCTTACTCCCAAAGCTGCATCTATGACCTAATCCCTGGAAACTGTGAATGTTTAAGGAAAAGAGGTCTTTGCAGATATGAAGTTAAGGATTTTGACATGGACAGGTTATCCAGGTGGTCCTTAAATGCTATCACAAGTATCACTTTTTTTTTTTTTTTTTTTTTTTTGAGACAGAGTCTCACTCTGTCGCCAAGGCCGGAGTGCAGTGGTGCCATCTCAGCTCACTGCAACCTCCTCCCTCCAAATTCAAGCGATTCTCCTGCCTCAGCCTCCCAAGTAGCGGGGATTACAGGCGCCTGCCACCACACCTGGCCAATTTTTTGTATTTTTGGTAGAGACAGGGTTTCACCATGTTGGCCAGGCTGGTCTGGAACTCCTGACCTCGTGATCCACCTGCCTTGGTTTCCCAAAGAGCTGGGATTACAGGCGTGAGCCACTGTGCCCGGCCACAAGTATGGTTTCTTACAAGAAGGGGGCAGAGGAAAATTTGTCACAGACAAAAAAAGGAGAAGGCAATGTGATTACAGACGCAAGGGTGGGAGTGATGTGGTCACAAGCCCCCAGAAGCTGCAAGAGACAAGGGTAGATTCTTTTCGGAGCCTCCAGAGGGAGCATGGCCCCGTCAACACCTCCATTTCTACTCAGTGAAACTGACAGTGGACTTCTGTCTTCCACAACTATGAGAGGATAAACTTCTGTTGTTTTAAGCCACCAAGTTTTCGTGATTTGTGACAGTAGCAGCAGAAAACTAGTACAATAGGTTTTTCATATATTTATGGACCATAAACATGAAAAATCGTCTGACTTTTAAATCTTATAAAAATAAAATAACACACAATAATACAAAGAGTATGATTCTATGTATGTACATCAGAATATCTGTAAATACGTTTACATATGTTCATAACTGCCTAGGAAAGTGTCTGGAAGGATATATACCAAACTAGTGACAGTGGTTAACCAGAGGCAGTTAACTGAAAGTGGTTAATTAGAAGGGTCCTGTGTCCTGAGGGGGAAAGAGGAACTTTTACTTGTTACTCGATACTGCTCAAGATACATCTGTTATTTGAAAACGCTTTATGAGACTGTACTCATGTATTGTGTAAAAAATTAGAAAAGGCATATCTGCTTGTTATAAAGTTCATAGAAACCAGAAAACTATCTCCTTTCACTTATCCTTTCCCAGAAATAGTCATTGATAATAATTTGCATCTTCTCAGATTTTTTTCTACGCAGAAATAAATGTGTATAATTTTTTTAAAAACAAAAATAAAATAGTGAGTGTCATATATAGTGTTTCATTTAAAGATGTTCCTCCAAAATCAATCTTGGTCCATGTGCCTGTGTGTGTGTGTGTGTGTGTGTGTGTGTGTGTGTGTGTGTGTGTGTGTATGGGTGGGGGGAGGGGCGGGGACACTGCATAGAACTGGCCAGCTGCATGGACTGTCACTGTAAAGAAAGATGAAGAATGCATGTCACCAAGCTCTCTGATGCTTTGAACCTAGCATATGTGGCTTTGCCCATATGTGCGGGCACCTCTGTAGAAACTCTTCTGCCAGTTGGGCTGAAAATAGTTTTACATAGTTCCATACTGCCTTCCAAGCTGTTTTCAAAGTTTATGCTCTAATAGTTCCCCACGGAGGATAACACAAGATATTCATTTTCCTCAAACTTTCCCGCACAGGTTGGAGAGAAACGACATCTTAATGTCATTGTAACAGGCATTTCTTTATTAAAAAAATTTTTTTTTTGGAGACAAGGTCTTGCTATGTTGCCCAGGCTGGTCTCAAACTCCTGGGCTCCAGCGATCCTCCTGCCTAGGCCTCGGGAGTAGATGGAACTCCAGGCGCGGGCCGTGGCGCTCGCACCACAGGCATTACTTAGGTATGAGGCTGGTTGAGCATTTTTCTCGTGTTCACTGGCTACTCACGCAGCTTTGTGAATGGCTTCGGAGATCACTGGACAGGCAATTTTCCCTCTCAATGAACCAAATCCAAATTCTTTTGGAACCCAAGACCGCGATTTTTCGATTTAGGACCTAGTCCCAAACAATGAAGAAAAGGTGATCTTCAAGATTTCAGCAGGGAAATCTGTATATCTGTACAAGGTTGAAAACCTGGGCCGGGGGTCGCGTTGGAACCCCACAGGAAAAAGGCGCGGAAAGCCGCCGGGCATTTTCCGGGGTTCCATAGATGTCCCCAGTGTCCTAGTCCGTGCATCAGCTCGCGCACTCGGAGGGACTCTAGGCAGGGGGAGGGCCCCGCGGCCAGTATGTGCGTCCGAGGCTTTCCCGCAGGGGGCAGTGCCGCCCGCCCGCGCGCCGATACGGTGGGAGGGGGTGGGAACCTGCGCGGAGTTCTGGAGGTTCTTTGGGAGAAAGTTAGGGGATGCGGAGGGGTGGGCGCAAGACTTCCAGGACTCCAGGGAGGCCGTGGGGAGGGCCGCCGAGGGTGCAGTGTGAGGCGCAGGAGGGGGTTGGGGGCGGTGCACGTTGCAGGGAGACGCAGCCCCTGGAAGATGCGAGTGTGAACGTGTGAGTGTGAGTGCGTGTGTATGTGTGTGTGTGCGCGCGCACCGCAGCTCTCCGGGTTCCGCGAGGCGCGCGGGTGTCAGCTTGCAGCCGGGGCTCCTCCCTCCGGCCCCCCTGCCCAGCCCGGCGGTCCCTCCTCCCTCCCTCCCCGCTCGCCCCTCCCCGGCGGGCCAGGGGCTGGGACGCCCCGGCGGAGCAGGCGGCGGCGGTGGCGAGTTGGGGAGCCCTAGGCTCGGCGCTGCCGGAGGGGCCCGAGCCGAGCCGCCTGCGCCCCGGCCGGGCAGCGCCGGGCCCGCTTCCCGCGGGGCCACGCCCTGTCAAACTTTGTTGCGGCGGCTAGCGCAGCGGGCCCGCAAGCGGGCGGGAGGGGCGCCGGGCCGGGCCGGGCAGGGCGCGGGCGGCTAGGGGCTCCGAGAGCGGCGGCCCCGGCCCGCGGCCCCACCATGCCCCAGCTCGGCGGCGGGGGCGGCGGCGGCGGCGGCGGCAGCGGGGGAGGCGGCGGCTCCAGCGCCGGGGCGGCCGGCGGAGGGGACGACCTCGGGGCGAACGACGAGCTGATCCCCTTCCAGGACGAGGGGGGCGAGGAGCAGGAGCCGAGCAGCGATAGCGCCTCGGCGCAGCGGGACCTAGACGAGGTCAAGTCGTCCCTGGTCAACGAGTCGGAGAACCAGAGCAGCAGCTCGGACTCGGAGGTAAGGAAGCACCGCGGCCACCCCCGGGGGATCCCGGCCCTGCGTCCGCTCACCCGCTCTTGCCTTTGTGTCTCCTCCGCAGGCGGAGAGGCGCCCGCAGCCCGTCCGGGACACTTTCCAGAAGCCGCGGGACTATTTCGCCGAAGGTATGTGCCCGCTGGGACAGCCCCCCACTCTCGATTCCCGCTGCGCTCCGCTGCTCAGCCCGGGCGGCCCACCGTCCCCCTTGCTTGGGTGGACGCACCCTTGCCCTCCGCCTTTATTGGCGGCAGCCCCCGTGGGGCGCGCGTGGGGGGCGCTGGGGTCCCCAGCTCCCGCCTCGAGCCCCCTGCCGCGGCGCTGTCAGTCCCGGGGGCCTGGGCCTCACCTCGCCTTGGTCTTGTTCGCAGTGAGAAGGCCTCAGGACAGCGCGTTCTTTAAAGGACCCCCGTACCCTGGGTACCCCTTCCTGATGATCCCGGACCTGAGCAGCCCGTACCTCTCCAACGGACCCCTGTCTCCCGGAGGAGCGCGCACCGTGAGTGCCCGTCGGGCGCGCCGGGGAGGGTGGGAGGCCGCGGCCCGCAGGATGCGCCCCCGGGCTTGGCCATGGAGTGGGGGATGGGGCCTTCTGCGCCGATCCCAAGCAGAACTTGTTTGCGGAGTTGAACTACTCTCTGGCGGCCGAGCGCGAGGCTGCGCTGGCCAGTGCCTGGATGAAAGTAAAGTTACTTTAACTTTTCCCCTCTTGCGGGTTGAGGTTTTGGAGTCCACCTCTGGGATCTTCCTTGGCCTCCAGAATTCTTCGCCTGCACCGAAGGAAACTTGGATTTGTGCCCGCTTTGGGGGGGTCTCGCTTTCCTTCTTGGAAATCGGTCAGCTTTCTCTGGCAGTGGGGCAAGGGGCCTAGGGAGCTGGGTTGGCGACGTTGTCCTCCGACTCCGGGTTCACTGGGCGGCTGCAGGCTGGTTCCTAAGAAACCCAGTTTTCGTGGCGGGTTATTCACAGCCCCCGTTCCCACCCCCAGCCCTCGCACCGGGGCCTCAGCTTTTCTGCGGAGCTAGCTCCGAATTTTAAACTCGCGTAGATGATTTCGAGGCGACCCAAGGCATTCTTCAAGTTGAGGAACTTGGCTTTTTCCCCCTTTTGTCGCCTGCTTTTCTCATTTAAAGCGAGCGCTGCGACACTTTAAACCTGTTAATGGGCGCGTATTGTGTGCTGCCCGCTGGCATTTAGAGCGGTGATTAAGCAAATTGACCGGGCCCCAGACGACGTGCAAATGAGGGCGGATTCCTTCGCCCCCTCTCTCTGGCTCTAAACTCCCGCCCCCCGCGTTGCGAGGGGCGCAGCTGGGGGCTGGCGAGGCCTTTGTGTCCCCCAAGCCGCCACTCCACCCCTAGGCTCCCTGCCCAGGTGCTGGGTCCGATGACAGATGTTGGGTGAACGCCTACCTACTGTGTGCCAGGTTCCCGCGTGCTGCTGCTTGGGCGCGATGTGAATCGTAGTAGTTCTTTGCTTCCCGCCCAGATTCCCATTGCCTGCCACTTCGCTGTCGACGGTGGGTAAGGGGGCAGGGAGTGTTAGCCTCTTAGGAGCAGGGTCCCAGCAACACACTTTATGCTAAGACTGCCCTAAAATAACGACGATAATTAAAGGGTGCTAGAGAAAGGCTAGGTGCTGAATGGCCATTCCTGCTGTCATTGTACAGCGGTCGGTGGAGAGCCAAGTCCTCCACATTTGGTTCAGCGGGGGCGCTACCATCACCAGATGGGTTGGAGGGGGATTGACGGGGGGCGGTGGAAGAGACTCTGACTGAGAGAGAGGGGAATGGGGAGTGGGACTACACAGACCTCACAGTTTTGCCCCGAGAGGGAGGGAGGTCTTGCAGCTTTGGCCCTGCTGGCCTGGAGCACCCCAGGAAGTCCTGAATGTAAGTGTCAGTTTTGCAGTGAAAACTGGATGTGGGTCTATGGCTGTTGCTTTTTCTCATTAAAAGAAAAGAGGTGCGTGCCAATCAAAGGGGGGGGGGGATCAACGAGCTGCTGCGGTCTTATTTAGGTTTTCAGTGATTCCCACCAGTGCCCACACATGTAGCTTAGTTCTGCAAGTTTTGTTGGGATTCGTGTAACTTTGCGTATGGGGGAGAGTTAATGCCGCTAAAGTCTCAGGTTTCCATTTACTATTAGGATATCTAGAGAGAGGGGTCTGGGAGGCACTAGCATCTGTGCATCAGCCCTCAGCCAAGTCCTGATGCAGTTAAAGTCACCAGAAATGACTATTTCACCATCAAATATGACTATGGCTCCCTCAAGGCTATTTCTCCATGCACCCATTTCTCTTTAGGGCATTTTGATTCATCCAGGCTCTGCTGTCTGCTCTCTCTGACAGTCCAAGTGAGACAGATTTTTGTTAGTGTCCCCTCCTTCCTTCCTTCTATCACATTATGTGTTCTTTCGCCTAAGAACTTCCAAAGGCTGATTCTTGCTGATCCTGGAGATTCCTGATTACTAAATCCAGGCCCGTGTGGGATTTTGGAGCCCCTCCTTGAGGCAGCCAACCTTTCGTCTCTGCATGCCTCTCTGACTGTCCTTGTTCATCTCTGCAGTTGTTCCCTGCCCTGGCCCAGGCACCAGCCTCCTTTCAAGCCTCCTAGGACATGTACTTTCTTGGGGACTTAGTATGTCCCATCCCACCCCCATACCTACATCTTGTCTCCCTGGTGACTTGCCCTTACAGAAGTTAGTTCAGTTCCCAGTGTTTCTGTGTCTCTGTGTGCCTTTCGCTGTGTTAGTTCACGGATATACTGGGGAAGTGTCCTGCCCTTAGGTCAGCACAGTTAAACCTAATTTGACCCTGTTCGTTTGCTGCCAGTAAGTAAAGCAAGTGAGGAAACACTTAAGCACTTGGTTGTCTGGACTATAGGGTGGAGATGATGGTTTTCTGCTGAACGATTCTATTAATATAATTAAGATAATTGTCACTGTAGGCAAATGGTAGGTACAGACAAAGTGGCCCTCTGTTGGTTTCCCAGCCTGGTAAAATGAATGTGGATAGATACGAGTGGGGAGGGAGGAGGGAGGAAAGTGCCTGGGATATATGATCCGATCTCTCTGACATCTTAGGTCTTTTTTATTGTTTGGCCTCTAAACTGCACCACTTTAGGCTTTGCTGCTCTAAGGCCTAGAGGTAGTATAAAATTAGGTGACCCCAGTTATCTGCTGCTCTAACACTTCCTCTGGAAATACCAAGCCAGATGCAGAAGTGGGAATTGTCTGGATTGTTTTCAGGGTGTTAATGAACCCTAGGAATAGCAGGCAGGAGGCTTCAGCAGCCTCACCCACTGGCATAATTCCTGCTGAGACCACTGGGGGCTGGCCCATCCTACAGTCTGGCCATCTCTCCCCATGAGCCATCACCCTTGCCCTCCACTCTGGTTTGGCTGGGATGCTGGGAAGTGGCTTTTTCCTGAGGCTCTTTAGAGAAGAGGTCCCCTCAGCATGGGATGTGGGCCAAGTCTCTGTGAGCTGCAATTGCTTCTTGTCTGGAGGCCCTGGGACCCTGTGAAGAGAGGAATAACTGCCACAAACCATTTTTCAAATAATCACCTCAAAATTATACATTCATTTCTGAAAAGGCTTCACGGTTTACTAAACTACTTTGGGGCTGTTGCCTAGAATTTTGTTAGGAAAATGTAAGTTGGCTGGGTGCGGTGGCTTAGGCCTGTAATCCCAGCACTTTGGGAGGCCAAGGCGGGCGGATCACCTGAGGTCGGGAGTTCGAGACCAGCCTGGCCAACATGGTGAAACCCCATCTGTACTAAAAATACAAAAATTAGCCAGGCGTGCTGGCGAGCACCTGCAATTCCAGCTACATTGGAGACTGAGGCATGAGAATCTCTTAAACCCGGGAGGCAGAGGTTGCAATGAGCTGAGATTGTGCCACTTCACTCCAGTCTGGGCAACAGAGTGAGACTCTGCCTCAAAAAAAAAAAAAAAAAGAAAGAAAGAAAATGTAAGTCAACACATTAGAAAGTGAATGCCAAAAATGGTTTAAGACAAAGAAGAGCCAAAAAGAAAATGTTGAATGTGGTTCAGCAAGCCAGCTACAATGTGATAGAAAGTAATTTGACTGTGACCATGAAGTGAGGGCTGATGACATTTTGGAAAGAAACACTTCTAGGTAGTATTGCTGAGGGAGTCTGTGGTTTTTGTGTCCATCTTATAAATTACAGAACCTCTTTCGTTCAGCACAAGCACACGAAAGGCTTTGCTTTATTATTTCTCAGACCATCTCATCTCAGGCTTGTGTATGAAATTGTCCTGGTCCTCAAACGCGTGCTCATTTTTAAGTCCTTTATATCCCACTGCTTCCCATGGGCAGTCTTGCTCATATCCTGGGAGCTCCTGTTCTTTCAGACCCAAAGGAACCCAAGCAGAAATCTTTGTATGTATATGTATGAAGAAGTTGTCTGTTTTTAGGAGTTGTATGTAAAAGCTAAGGAAACCTTTTCTTTTGGAAGATCAGTATAAACATGCTGCTTTTGGTAAAATTCTTTTGAGCCATTTCATCTAAATATAACTTCTGTTTCATTTTTTTTTCTAAATATAACTCAGAGTTTAATGAGGGCTTTTCACATGGAACAAGCTTTTGAGAGGGCCTGTGTTGCTGAAGTTTTCGCCCTTGGATTGCTGGGGTGATATTGGTGACAAACTCTGTAGGGAAGGACTGGGAACCTGTCAATCTTTTTTCTTTGGTTGGGTGGATTGGGCAGGGAATAGCTGACTTGATTTGTTATAAGTTTGGAAGGTTATAGTTTGGTCACATTCTTCATTGATCACACTTTTAGGGATTCTTGAAGAAAAGGGAAGCAAAACATACACACACACCCCCACCCAATCTAACAGCGTATTCCAGCCTTTACAGTGATGTGCAGTGTTACTAAAATAATTGGGAAATAAAAAAGAGTATAAATGATTAACTCGCTGGAAAATCTTTTAAATCTTCTATAATAGGAAGGCCCTACTTACATTCTAATTTAGAGACACCTTTTACATGCCAACCTAGGGAAATTTAGATTTACACTTTTCTTTTTTTTTTTCTTTTCTTTCTTTTTTTAGACAGGGTCTCACTCTGTCGCCCAGGCTGGAGTGTAGTGGTGTGATCTTGGCTCACTGCAACCTCCACCTCCTGGGTTCAAGTGATTCTCCTGCCTCAGCCTCCTGAGTAGCTGGGATTACAGGTGCGTGCCACCACGCCCAGCCAATTTTTGTATTTTTAGTAGAGACAGGGTTTCACCATGTTGGCCAGGCTGGTCTCGAACTCCTGACCTCGTGATCCACCTGTCTCGGCCTCCCAAAGTGCTGGGATTACAGGCGTGAGCCACTGCGCCCAGCCTAGATTTGCACTCTTAAAACTAATTCCTAACTCTTAAACTTCTTCAACTGAAGTCTATTGGATACCTATCATGGGCAATGGCTAAGGGACCATGGGAAACAAGATAAGACCCAGGCTTTGCCCTAAAGGATTTAAAAATTAAGTAGGAAAGAAGTCATGGTAGCACTGTAATAAGAAGTTAAGAGGTAGTAAAGTCTGGAGAAGCATTTTCATAATAGAAATTGAGAAAAATTACTTCCTGGGTGATCCAAGAAGGCAGGTCGAAGAAGTAGGTTTAAACTGGTCCTTAAAACTCAGTCATTCTTTAATCCAGGTAATTCTTGTTAATTTAGAAGAATGTAAATAGTAAGAGGAGGCATTTAGAGTGAAAAAGTGGAAGTCTTCCTTCACTCTCATCTTGAGGTGGGAGCCAGGACCAGGAGAGTGAAGACATGGAGGAAGGAAAAGTTCAGGGCGATTTGGGGGTAATGCAGCTTATTTCAGTTCCATTTGCCTGGAAGGAGAAGGGGCCAGGACATGGGCTAGGGGACCTAGAATGCCATGGAAGGAATCTGATCTTATTTAAGAGGCAGCAGAGAACCATCAGAAGTTAGGCTGGGAAGTGATGTGACTTGTACACATGGCTAGAAAGATAATGGTGGATTGGAGGACGAGGACCTGGAAGGGGATAGAGCAATTAGACTCACAGGAGTCAGGGGTGAGGTGAAAAGGGCTTCAGAGTAGCAGAGTGGAAAGGAAAGGTGGGATGGGAGGAAATAGGATTCTTGTCTGTACCTCTTTGGGGAGGGGAGGTACCAGATCCAGAAAGTGGCTGATGTCACAGTTAATTCCTGGTGTCCAAGCTCAGGCACCTGGAGACTGACTTCTGTGGGTGGGGAGGCCTCCCCAGTCTCTACCTCCCCAGTGGTGGACAGATGCTTACTGAATATTTTGGCGATGACAGAGCCCACACAGTCTATGAGAGGCTCTCATTGGGAGGAACCCTCGGTTTCATTGGAGACACGTTAGGTGTGAGGGGATGTTGAGGGGATGATTGAAACTGGCTGATGTAAGAGAGGTATAGAAGTAGGAGAAGGGATGCTTAGAGCAGGGACAGAAGTCGTTGGAGGAGGATGGAAGGGAGCATTGGGTAAGGTAGGAGAAGCACTTAGGGACTCCCCTCCCCCTTTCTTTTCCTCCATGGTGGAAGCTGGAGGGAAAGAAAGTGGGAGGCCAGGTGCAGTGGCTCATGTCTGTAATCCCAGCTCTTTGGGAGGTCAAGGCGGGTGGATCACCTGAGGTCAGGAGTTCGAGATCAGCCTGGCAAACACAGTGGAAACCCTGTCTCTACTAAAAATACAGAAATCAGCTGGGCGTGGTGGCAGGTGCCTGTAATCCCGGGTACTCAGGAGGCTGAGGTAGGAGAATCACTTGAACCCAGGAGGCGGCACCTGTATCCCAGCTACTTGGGAGGCTGAGGCAGGAGAATTGCTTTAACCTGGGAGGCAGAGGTTGCAGTGAGCTGAGATCGCACCATTGCACTCCAACCTGGGCAACAAGAGTGAAACTCCATCTGAAAGGAAGAAAGAATCCAGCCTGGGCAATAAGAGCGAAAGAGAGAGAGAGACAGAAGAGAGAAAGAAAAGAGAGTGTCCTTGGTGTTAGATGCCACAGAGAGAGAGGGGACAAGAAGATCGAGGAGTCAAGAGGAGCTTTTGAGCCAGATGCTGTGGCTTGTGCCTGTAATCCCAGCTACTCAGGAGGCTGTGGCAGAAGGATATTTTGAGGCCAGAAGTTCAAGACCAGCCTGTACAACATTGCAAGACCCAATCTCTAACAAAATTTTAAAACTTGTCCGGGCATGGTGGTAGCTCAGGAGTTCAAGGCTACAGTGAACTATGATTGTGCCACTGCACCCCAGCTTGGGTGACAGACAGTGAGACCCTGTCTCTAAGAAATAAATAAAAATAAAAAATAAGAGGAGCTTTTGGAATTCAGCTATTAGGAAGTTACTGGTGCCCATGGAGGGAAGTGTTCCAGGCAAGTGGTGGTGTTAAAGGTAGAGAGAAGAGACATTAGCTCAGTGCTTCCCAAATAGGATAGCCAAGGCGCCAAGCTGCAGACTGATCTCAGGTGTGGCCCAGTGCCTCCCCCTCAGCTGGAACCCCAGACCAGACTCCTGCAGTTTCAAGCAGCCTCCTCCTTCTATCCCGGTGTACCTTCCATATCTCAGTACCACCACGGGGAACCTCAAAGACTCGACAACCCATTTCAAAAGCCTGGCTATGGAAAGAAGAGGAAAGGGAGGAGCCGCAAGTTTGGGAGAAAGTGTATTTGGGATGCTGGAGTGGGAGCCTGTTTGTAGGAGCCATAGGGCAGGCTTGAAGATGAATGGGAAAGAAGATGAGAGGAAGAGGAGGTGAGACTGAGAGCTTCAAAAGCAGGTAGGCTTCTTACTTCATCCGTGGAGGGTGCTGTATAGTAGGTGTCCCCCCAGCTTTAAAGACGAGCCCAAGACTTGAAGATGAGGTTGTAGGGGAATGCAGAGGTGAGTTGGCAGAAATGGATAGTGTGCATTGGAGGACCAGATGGCTTCTTGGTATTCTCAGGAAAACCAAGGGCAAGTTGGCTAGAGTGGGGGCCTTGGAATTTTGTTGGCAGTAGGGAGACTGCAGGAACTTCCTCTCCATCCTCTCATAAAGCCCAAAATGTTGGGAACCTTTTAGCTACATGTTAGATAATGAAATGTTTGTGTATTGATTGAAAGGAAGACATGGCACACCTGGGAAATTTTCCCTCCTTTTATTATCTGGAGCTGGCTGATGTTGAAGAGGGATAGAGCATCAAAATACGCTTTGTGTCCTGGTGTGGTGGCTCATGCCTGTAATCCCAACACTTTGGGAGGCCAAGGCGGGCAGATTGCTTGAGCTCACGAGTTCGAGAGCAGCCTGGGCAATATGGCGAAACCCCATTGCTACAAAACATACACAAACTTAGCTGGGCATGGTGGTGGGCACCAGCTTCTTGGAAGGCTGAGGTGGGAGGATCACTTGAGCCTGGGCATGGAGGTTGTAGTGAGCCATGATCACGCCACTGCACTCCAGCCTGAATGACAGAGTGAGACCCTGTTTCCAAAAAAAAAAAAAATGTGTGTGTGTGTGTGTGTGTGTGTGTGTGTGTTGTGTGTATATATATAATATATATATATATATACACACACACACAACACAGACACAATTTGTGTGTAGCTAGGGGCAGATATTGAGATATTGAAGTGATAAGTAACTGGGGATGGGGAAGTACTGGTCACTTAAGAGCATATAGAAAACCGTCCCAGATTGTCTTTTCTAATCTATTTTTGGAGGAGGTTTTTATATATCCCATGTTTTATATTATTTCTCCCAAACCGGATTAGATATAGTGAACAATAAAATAAATGCAGTTTCCAAAACCTTGGTGTTCAGAAATGAAGGGAACCATGAGGGGAGTGAAGGGGACTTGCCCTTTGCTCTGTGCTGTATGCACTGCCCAGGGAACAGCCCCAGGACACTTCTATAGTTTCTTTCTGAGACTCACAAGGTGTTAGCAATGCTCTGAGCTCACTCAATTGACAGATACGTTTAAGGTTCTCAAATAAATTTCAAACTTCTAAATTTTTCCTTTTCATTGTGTGCATAATGTACAGATTAGGAAAATGATCTTCTAATTGAGAAGTATACTTCAAAGTTTGGAAATAAAATCATAAAAATGTTTTCCTAAACATAGCCTTTTTCAGGAGTTTTTGTGGATATGGTCAAAGGCAATAGCTCTAATTATCTGGGGTCCTCAGGACAGGAAATGAGCTCACACTCATGCTCTCAAACTGTGTCACAGCATTTTTGGAAATATTTTCATTTCTATTCAAGAGGAGGAACAAGGCCCCAAGTGTTCACCCTAATTGTAGAAAATAAACATAAACATGAAATTCACAAAAGAACAACTATAAATGGCTGCAAATATGTGAAACTATGTTTAACTTCCCAGGGAGTCAAAAAATACTAATTAATACAAGAATCATCTTTGGCCCACCACATTATGATTTTGTCTGAATAAGCCTCTTCAATGCTGGCAAATATGAGGTAAAATGGCTGCTCCGGCTGCTCTTTTTGGCTGGTCTTAAGGGGCGCAAATAGCTCCACCCCATTTGGAAAGCACTTGGCAATGGCTGCTAAGACTTTAGTGTTTTTCATAGCTTCTAACCTGCTAAGAAGTAGATACTTGTTCCCATTTTGCTGCTGTGCAAACAGACTTGTAGAGGTCAAGTATCTCGTACAAGGTTACATTGATGGTGATTGATGGCGCCAAGATTTGAACTTGGTTGTGAGTCCAAAGTCTAGGTCTCCCATTCTACCCATGTGATTTTACACACATGCCTGATATAATTAGCTCCTCCTCCTCTCCAGAGAAGGGCAGCTGACCTTTGTTTCCCAGTTCAGAAATCCTGGTGTGAGTTATCAGCTGGGGTTGAGGGTGGATAGATTTGTTCCAACTTTACACATTGGACCTGAGAATGTACTTTCCTGAATAAACAGTTGTAGAAGCGAGTGACAGTTGTGGTTGAAGTTGTTCCCCCAGTGCAGTGCCCCAGAGGGGTTAATGACCTTTCGTGGGCTGTCCCAGGAACTTCATCCGAGGAAAAGGTGCTTACCTGCTAACATTTGACCTGTTTGGAAATTGGGGATTGTTTTTCCTCATTGAAATTGGTGAGGGTTGGAAGAATACGCAAACGAATGTTTGGTGTGGAAGAACGCTGGAGGAGTAAACTTACTATACTCACAATTTGGATTACAACATAGTTTGGTTAACCCAGCTCTGGTGAACCAAATGTACAAGTATTATTTCCTTATGGTTCATCTTATAAAATATTTTATAAATTGGTTGCTTTCTTTAAGCTCTCCACAAATGAAAAATCAGTCCCAAAAATCTATAAAAGACTATTTCAGCGTTAATTGACCATTAAGGAAATACATACTAGGCTGCATGTGGTAGCTCACGCCTGTAATCCCCACACTTTGGGAGGCTGAGGCAGACAGATAGCCTGAGCTCAGGAGTTCGAGACCAGCCTGGGTAACTTGGCAAAACCCTGTCTCTACAAAAAAAAAAAAAAAAACAAAAACCAAAAAAAACATTAGCCAGGAGTGGTAACGTGTGCCTGTAATCGCAGCTACTCAGGAAGCTGAGGTGGGAGGATTGCTTGAGCCCAGGCTGTTGAGGCTGCAGTAAGCCAAGATTACCCCACTGTACTCCAGCCTGGGTGACAGAGTAAGACCCTGTCTCAAAAAAAAAATTTTTTTTGAACAATAAAGAAATACATACTAAACATTTACACAGTTATTTTGGGAATTGCAGAGGGGATATTTGTCTTCTTTCCCATCCCCCTTTCTCTCTCTCTCTCTGTGTGTGTGTGTGTGTGTGTGTGTGTGTGTATGTGTGTGTGTGTGTATGTATGTTTAAGATGGTTAGAAATCATGAAACTCCACCGGGCACAGTGGCTCCCTCCTGTAATCCCAGCACTTTGGGAGGCCGAGGCGGGAGGATCACTTGAGGTCATGATTTCAAGACTAGCTTGGCCACCATGGTGAAACCCCGTCTCTACTAAAAATACAAAAAATTAGCTGGGTGTGGTAGCACACACCTATAATCCCAGCTACTCGGGAGGCTGAGGCGGGAGAATTGCTTGGACCCGGGAGGCAGAGGCTGCAGTGAGCCAAGACTGGGCAAAAAAGCGAGACTTTGTTTCAAAAAAAAAAAAAAAAGAAATCATGACATTCCATACTTTTTCCTTTACTTCCCAAATTACTTTCCAATAATAGCATGGTGGAAAGATTAACAAAGGGGGCTTATGATATGGTTGACAGAAGTTGGGAGGCTTTTGGGGTCCTACCTAAGCCATCCTAGAGACCTGGGTATTGCAAGGCACTAAATCTTAGATAAATATCTTAGACCTCATTAAAGTGAATGGGGCTATTATATGTAGGAATGTCCATAGAGAATGTGTGGAGAAAGCAGAAAGGTGTAAGTTTGAGAGATGGCAACTGTGATTAAGGAACAGATGGATCTCATTGATAATGAGGAAGAAAAATGAAGTAGGAATGAGTGGTATGAAAAGCAGATCAATTTACAAGTCCAGATTTGTTGGCAGTAGTGCTTTCTGATGTTTGGGACTACACTCCCCTCTGTAAATTCCAAAAAAGGATATGTCAGGGTCATTAAACTCAGCCGGATTTGCAAGACATACCTTCTAGAGGTGGTTGGGTGTTAGTCCCTGAGATTCTTATCAAGGACCCTGCGGGAGTGTCCTCTAGCCCTCTGAGCTAGGTGGAACCATCCCGCCCACCCAACAGGTGAGGAGCACAAGCTCAGGGCAGTTGTTGACCTGCCCAAGGGCAAACAATTAGGAGTGATGGAAACAGGACTAGGGTCCAGCTGCACTCTACAGTGGTAAAGCTTCATCTTCTACCACTCAGGGAAGTACACAGCCAGCAGTGCTCCGGAGATGATGCACATCTTTTTGCTATGTTTTTATTTTATTTTATTTTATTTTATTTTTTGTTTATTTAAAAAAAAATAGAGACAGGGTCTCACTATGTTGCCCAGGCTGGTCTCGAATGCCTGGGCTCAAGTGATCCTTCCACCTCGACCTCCCAAAGTGCTGGGATTACAGGCATGAGCCACTGAGCCCAGCTGAGATGATGCACCTTGAAATACTTCTTTATCTAAAACCTAACACCTGACTCATAATAAGCGATTCACTTGTTGATTGTTGACAACATGAATATTTAAACATCAATATTAAAAAATAGCCCCATAAGCACCTTTAGTGTTCCAGGGCACTATATCACGCTGTTCTAACTCTTCCTACACTGAATTCTTGTGCATCTGATATTATCACCTCGATTTTATCCTTGAGGAAGCCAAGACTTTGACAGTAAACCAGAGGCCCAGAGTCACCTCCCCAGAAGGTGATAGAGCCAGCATTCCAGCTGTGGGGGATTCTGGTTCCACTGGGCTGCAATTTCCCTCCACTGAAAATTGAGAGCCAAATTGACGTGACAATGCATGAAAATGCCATTTGGGGCAAGATTCAAAGAAATGGTGTGTAGAAGTAAAAGATGAGTAACATCCCTCAGCATATATTCTTTTCAGTGGCATTTCTTTTCTTTTCTTTCTTTCTTTTTTTTTTTTTTTTTTTTTGAGATGGAGTTTCGCTCTTGTTGCCCAGGCTGGAGTGCAATGGCACGATCTCGGCTCACTGCAACCTCCGTCTCCTGGGTTCAAGCGATTCTCCTGCCTCAGCCTCCTGAGTAGCTGGGACTACAGGCGCCTGCCACCACGCCTGGCTAATTTTTTTGTATTTTTAGTAGAGACGAGATTTCACTGTGTTAGCCAGGATGGTCTTGATGTTCTGACCTCAGGTGATCTGCCTGCGTCGGCCTCCCAAAGTGCTGGGATCATAGGTGTGAGCCACTGTGCCTGGCTTCAGTGGCATTTCTATCCCTTTCACTTAGGAGGCATTTTTAGTACCTGACGTAGAATCAGAGCCTTAATAGCTGGTTGATTTACAGTCTCAGAGGTGGTGTTAATTGCTATCTTAATCTTTCTTTGCTTTTCTGCACTGTGCAGCTCTATTGATTCTGTTTTTCCCAATCTCCAAATTCCCTTGTGTTTTTCTTATGATATTTTGAGGTGGTACACTTGGTTCCTTAAATATCATAGGTGAGATGTTAACAGTTCTAGGTGGAGATACACGGGCAATCAATCTATTCACCCAACTTCTCTGTATGTTTGGAAAAGTTCGGAATTAAAAACCCAGGATAAATAAACTAAGGCCTATTTCTTCAGCCACATTCAAAGTCCCTGTAGTCTCACATCTGGAAACCCTGCAGTCTGCCTAGGCCGTGTCCTCCACCTCAGGCCAAGGTTGCAGCAGGTCCTTATTCTCTTGTCCATGATGAAGCTTTTCGTGGGGGGTCCGGGTAGCAAAATACTCTCACCCTGTCCTCACTCTGTGGAATCTTCCATACAACCCGAACTAGGGATTGCTTGTGTGTCCCCCTCCCACCTGTCACTCTTTCCCCACCCCTCCCCACGTGATGCTGTGGGAACCCAAACCCCAGCACCTCCTAGATGAGGGCAGTGGTAGGGCGCTAGGTGGAGATGGGGAGAGGAGGAAAGACAGGGAGGGGACTCCTGGCTCTTGGGGTCCAAGGGGATTCCAGAGAAAGTGAGGGAGGGGAGCCCCAGTCCCAGAGATTGAGGAGGACAGGATCTTGGTGGTCCCAGCTGGGCCAGGGGCCCCAGGACCCTAGCATTAAGGTGTAGCCCCTGTGCCACTTGTGGATGAAGCTGCCCTTGGGGATCCACTCACTGGCAGACGTGGTGGTGTCTGGGTGTTAAATCTATACACCATATGTAATAATGGTGGGCATCTGTTTGGTGCCTTAGTTTGTTGCCTCGCTCATACTCCTGACCAGCCCCACATCCTCGTGCATGTGTGGGTGTAACTTTACATTGGATATACAGATGCGACTGGACTTTAAATGGGCTTACATCTGGATAAACCCATCGTAAAGTCAAAAAAATATTAAGTTGGACCATCATAGGTTAGGGACTGTCTGTAGTTTTTACTTATTAATTATGTTATTGACTTAAACTATGTTCTGGGTGGGATGCATAGAGGAGAGTTACCATGGGAGGGTAAGAGTATAGTAGGAGTATTAGAGTGCATGAGCTGAAAACACTTTGCTTTCTACTTTACAACATAAGCTTTTTTTGTTATAAAATCCTTGTTAGGGAGAGTGAGACGCTGGTGCTGAAGCTTTGGAGTGGAAAATGGGTCATCTTCACAAGGGTGTTCCCAGATGATGCAAAGGAGAGTTAATGCAGGAAGGGGCTGGGATGGGGAGAGTCTGTGGAGTCTGAGACAGCCCTTTAATAAGCAGTTCCTTGGACCTTGCATGGAAAGAGAGGAGAGGAACTTGTGTGGAAAGAAAGAAGCCCAAGGCTTGAGGGATGGAGAATATTCTACTAACAGGCCACCCCTTGTCCCTCCAGGTGGCAGTGTGTCTAGGGGGGTCTGGAACTTGGGTTTTGACCAGGGTTTGCAGAGCACTGAATCCCAGCCGCGTCATGAGTTGGCTGTGTCCCTATGCCCCAGGGCCCCCCTCAGGGAGAATGGGGATAATGATAGTCATAATGATAAATGGGGACAGATAATGCTTTGAGAAGCACTGAAGTAACATTTTGTCTGAATGGACTGTGTTTTAAAATCAGGAGTTGTTCGAGGCTGAAATGAAATATCAGCATCATAGAATCTCCAGGATATAAAAAGAAATTAGAAATGTTACCAAAATAATATACAGTATTATCACAACTTTATTAAGATGTTTAGTAGCCAAATATTTTAACCAGCATCTTAACAAGTGGATCTTTTCTTACAGTATTTAATTTTTTTTTTTTTTTTTTTTGAGACGGAGTTTTGCTCTTTTGTCCGGGCTGAAGTGAAGTGGCGCGATCTTGGCTCACTGCAACCTCTGCCCCCCCAGGTTCAAGCGATTCTCTCTCCTGCCTCAGCCTCCTGAGTAGATGGAATTATAGGCGCCTGCCACCACACCCAGCTAATTTTTGTATTTTTAGTAGAGATGGGGTTTCACCATGTTGGCCAGGCTGGTCTTGAACTCCTGACCTCAGGTGATCCACCCGCCTTGGCCTCCCAAAGTGCTAGGATTACAGGTGTCAGCCACCGCGCCCAGCCCTTAAAATTTTTTTTATAGGAAATGACTAAATGGAGTCAGGGGAGAGGCCAGAAATGCATAAACAAAAGCAATTAGTATTTAGTGCGGGTTTTGAATTTACATGGTTGTCAATTCCCTTTGCAAAAACTTAACAAATTACTTTAACATAATTGCCAGTTTGTGTGAGTTCTTGATCAAATAGCTATCAACAAGATAATGTGCATATATATGTGTGTATATGTGTATATATGTATATACACATATACACATATGTGTGTATATGTGTATACACACACACACTAACTTTATAAATAAGTTGAAATTTATATGTAGGATATATGTAAGCAGTATAGTATATAAATATAAATTACATTTTAACTTTTAATTTTATAATAATTTCAGTCACAGAAAATATACAAAAATAGCACAAATAATTCCCTTGTACTTTCCCCTAAATTTGCCTTCTTTCTGTAACTTTTTTTTTTGAGATAGAGTCTGGCTGCAACGCCCAGGCTGGAGTCAGTGGCGCCATCTCAGCTCACTGCAGCCTCCGCCTCCCGGGTTCACGCCATTCTCCCACCTCAGCCTCCCAAGTAGCTGTGATTACAGGCACCTGTCATTACACCTGGCTAATTTTTGTGTTTTTAGTAGAGACAGGGTTTCACTATGTTGGCCAGGCTGGTCTCAAACTCCTGACCTCAAGTGATCTGCCTGCCTCAGCCTCCCAAAGTGCTGGGATTACAGGCGTGAGCCACCGCGCCCGGCTCTGTAACTTTTTTCTGAGCCATTTGCAAGTAAGTTGCAGGCGTAATGTCCCTTTACTTAAGGGGGCATAATTTGTTAGATTGCATCTCTGATACTATAGAGCATATTTGTGACTCTAAATAAGATGAAGGGACAAGATACGTTCTAAAAACAAGGACATTCGCCAAAGTGTAATTACTGAAATCGGGAAATTAACATAGAGACAGTACAATTGTCTCATCTATGGAACTTATTAAGATTTTGCCAGTTGTCTTACTGATAGATGTCTTTTGTAGAAGAGGAAAACATTTTTACTTTTATTTATTCATTTTTTTTGGCTTTAGGATGAGTTCAACATCACATCTTATGCTTAATTGTCTCTTAGTCTCCTTTAGTCTGGAAGTTCTTCGGCCTGTCTCTCATGTTCTTGACTCTTTTTTTTTTTTTTTGAGACGGAGTCTCGCTCTGTCGCCCGGGCTGGAGTGCAGTGAAGCGATCTCAGCTCACTGCAACCTCCACCTCCCGGGTTCACGCCGTTCTCCTGCCTCAGCCTCCTGAGTAGCTGAGACTACAGGCGCCCGCCACCACGCCTGGCTAATTATTTGTATTTTAGTAGAGACGGGATTTCACCGTGTTAGACAGGATGGTCTCGATCTCCTGACCTCGTGATCCACCCGCCTTGGCCTCCCAAAGTGCTGGTATTACAGGCGTGAGCCACCGCGCCCGGCCATGTTCTTGACTCTTTAAAGATTACAGGCCATTTATTTTGCAGAAGAACCTTGACTTTTTTTTTTTTTTCTGGTGTTTCTTCATGAGTAGCTTTAGGTTGTACATTTTGGGCAGGAAAGATAGGGTGTTCTTATTGTATCTCCTCAGGAACGTTATCTATTTTTCCCATTATAGGTGATACTAATTTTGTTTTCTTGGTTAAAATCATGTGTTCCAGCTTTCTCCAAGAAAGTTACTACTTTTCTTCTTTGTAATTAATCAGTACTTTATGGGACATACTTTGAGACTATGTAAATATCCCATTTCTCATCAAACCTTTACCCAATGGTTTTAGTGGCCATTGATGATTCTTGCCAGAAACAATTTCCACTGTGACAGTTGCCAAATTGATGATCAGTTTTTAAAAATTGACAGTGTAGGGCAGGAGCAATAATTTTTTCAGTTGCTAGATTGTTTCTGTGACACTATAGAACATATTTGTGCATACTAAATAAGGTGAAAGTATGAGATATCTTGGGGTCTCTCATTTTTAAAAAATAACAGGTTTATTTTCTCTGAAGCTTTTATAGTCTTTATTATGTCTGGATCAAAGATGATTTATCAAGAAACTATACTGCAAGATTTTGGAGTTTTTTCCTTACGAAATGTTGAGATAGCAAAGTTGACATTCTGCTCAGCATTTTTCATAGGATGTGAGTAACTTCCTAATTAGGTTTTTATCTTGATGACTCCTGTGGAGTTTTTCACAGTCTGGATTTTGCTAAGTGCAACCTCATGATATCTTTTAACATGTTGCTCTATCCACTGAAGTTCTTGAAAATTATTAGATTTAGATTTTTGGTCAAGATTCAGAGTGTTTCTCTCTCTCTCCCATTCCCTCTCTCCTTTTTTAACTTATTTTTGCAAGACTGCTTCATATAATAGATGTTGTTTTCCATCAGAGATACTGATTATCTCTCTGTGATGTCAGCAGCTACTAATTATCAGCACCCACATCCTTTACCTCATTTGCAGTTTCAAAATGGTGATAGTCTATTTGTATCATTCCCTTGTCTATCAGTTATAATATTTTTAAAAAGAGAAACTACCCCTCACCAACTCTTTAGTTACCTCAGATCAGAGGTCAGCAAACTAGAGTCTACAGGCTGAGACCAGTTTGCCACTTACTTTGATAAATAAAGTTTTATTAGAACACAGCTATATTCATGCATTTGCATATTGTTTAGGGCAGCTTTGGGGCACTACAAGGTGCCCAGTTAATTAGCTGTGATTGAAGCCATATGTGGCCCACCGAGCTGGAAAGATTTTCTGTCAGGCCCTTTGCAGTAAAAATTTGCTGACCCTTGTTTTAGATCATATGGGGAAAGCAATTTAAATGCCTCATTCTTTCCCTTTATATACCAGTTTCCTCCTGGTTTCATGGCACCCTGTAAAGGTGACCAATGAAGCTTAAAATATTATGAAATAGATTTAAACCTACTTAATGTCTTTCAATCCATTTGCAATTATTATCCTTATTGATACCCAAACTGTCCCATCTTTAGCCAGGGGGAGCCTCTTCAGGCTGGCTTCTGAGTCCTTGTGACACAATCCTGGTGGTCTTGGATGCTTCTCTGCTTACTGGTCTGGCAGGATACTCCAGCACACCTTGTACATTTCTTGTCCCAGGCCAGGAGCTGGCCATTTCTAGAAGAAGCTCTGTCTTCTTTTAGTGGAGAATGTTACTTACAGACCACTGTCTGAACCCTAGGGTTGCATATATAGCTACTAAAGGTTATTGTGTTTAATGTTATGAGTGCACTAAGCAGTTCTGTAGCGACTAGAGGTAGAATATAATATGCCTATTGTAATTTTAAAACAATAAGCATTTATTTGCTCTAAAAGGATATACCATTCTCTCTCTCTCTTTTTTTTTTTTTTTGAGACAGAGTCTCACTCTGTCACCGAGGCTGGAGTGCAGGGGCGCGATCTTGGCTCACTGCAACCCCAGCCTCCCAAGTTCAAGCAATTCTCCTGCCTCAGCCTCCCAAGTAGCTGAGATTACAGGCACGTGCCACCATGCCCGGCTAATTTTCGTAGTTTTAGTAGAGACAGGGTTTCACCATGTTGGCCAGGCTGGTCTTAAACTCTAGACCTCGGGTTATCTGCCCATCTCGGCCTCCCAAAGTGCTGGGATTACAGGTGTGAGCCACCACGTCCAGCCTAGTCTCTTTTTTTAAATGTACTCTTAATATTGGTGATTCTGTTCATCAATCCCCCTACTTAATAGTTGTATAATTTTACATGATAATTGCTTTCTACATAAAATTAATATTTTTCATGCTTATATTTTACTCTTTCAACAAAAAATAAGCATATATATATTTCTACCAACTGATACATTTCAAGAGATAAGGGTCACAAGGAGATTTTCACTCAAGTTGCACGTGGAATGTTTACCTGTTTTTGAAAGGGCATGCTCAGATAATGACAGCAGATTTGAACAATGCTTCGTTTCCTTAGTTCTCACATTGCTACATGGATGGGATATGTTGGTCACCTATGTGATTACATCATCATCAATCAGGCAGAAGTTCAGTCCTTCTGAAGATTCATGCTAAAGCTGGATAACAGATTTCCATTGACTAGTATAGGCTGAAGCCATACTTTGATGTATTCCCAGGATCTACCTCATAGTTGCAAAGATTAAATAAGGTTGCATATAAGCATGTAGAACAGTGCCTGGCACACACAGCAAGGGTTTTGTTAAGATAAACTCATTATCTGTTTTAGTGGTCCTGGGTTTCATGATCTTGCTAGCCTTTATAAATTTTTTTTTTTTTTTTTTTGAGATGGAGTCTTGCTCTGTCACCCAGGCTGGAGTACAGTGGCACGATCTTGGCTCATTGCAAGCTCCGCCTCCCGGGTTCACGCCATTCTCCTGCCTCAGCCTCCCAAGTAGCTGGGACTATAGGTGCCCACCACCACGCCCGGCTAATTTTTTGTATTTTTAGTAAAGATGGGATTTCACCGTGTTAGCCAGGTTGGTCTCGATCTCCTGACCTTGTGATCCACCCACCTCGGCCTCCCAAAGTCCTGGGATTACAGGCGTGAGCCACTGCACCCGGCTAGCCTCTATAAAATTTAATCTCTACACTGCACTATTCCTAGGACACTAACTTATGTTTAATTTTGGATTGCTAGTTTTCTAGAATACATATTCTTAAGTATGTTGGCTGTCATATTTCTCTTTTGATGATCATTGTCGCTAACACCATTCTTTGCACACAAAGTCTGCCTTCTTTCTGCATATGTGTGAATATCTGTTACTGTTGATTTACATTTCCCTCTTTTTTATGCACAGTATGTAATAAAATAAACAGCAAAAGCTGTCTTCCTCTTAGACATTTTAGGTTAACAAGGGAAATCATTGTTCACTTCGGGTATCTTTCCATGTGTAATTTTTGATAAGTTGATTACTGGTGGTTGTTCATTTTTATTTTGCTTTTTATGGAAGTTTTCTCAATTCGTCCCAGAATTGAGGCTGTACATCCTTTAAAAATAAATAAAGCCGAGGTCTGTGCTAGAGTTAGAACATTGAATCTGGCTCGCTGGTTTGTGCTATGGACTTTCCTTCATCTGTGTTACTGGGAGTATGTGAGCAGTTGTAGAGGCCATATCGTTTTATAGGCCTGTGCCAAGGAAAATACTTGAGAATTACATTAGCAACTCCAAGGTATTTTGGCTGCTCTGAGAGGACACATGATAGTTTTCCAGTTATATGAACAAGAGCTTTTGTTTTATACTGAAGTTTCTTATAGGCTATGAGAACAATAGTGCCTCTTTAAGTACTTCCCAGAGTAACATCCTTGGGATGTTATTAGGTAGAACGTGCTGGGCTTCATTTCTGCAGGACTTCTCAGGCCTTTAACATGCCAGTGAATCTCACAGAAGGGAGTGTATTATGCAGGATTCCTTGGGTTTGTTTGACCAAGGCTTTCCTTGTGTTTGGAATACTACCCCTCCACCTACTCCCCGTCACCCCATGCGTAAGTCTCACCTCATACTTCCCTGCCTCCCAGCCTTAGATGTGGTTTCCCTGCTGTAAGTTCTCAGCTCTCTGTACTTGAGCACATTTCACTGTCGGTAAATATGTGGCCTAATAATGATCTGATCCTCTGGATCTTAAACTCACTGAAGAAGGCAGGCAGTGGATTTGTTTTGTTCCTTCCCTCCTGTGTTCTCAGCACCAGATATAAGGAAGGCCGTCAAACAAGTATTTGCCGTCCAAGTGAGTGAGGCACCCATAGAACTTTTTTTTTTTTTGAGACAGTTTTGTTCTGTTGCTTAGGCCAGAGTGCGGTAGCACAATTTCAGCTCACTGCAACCTCTGCCTCCCGGGTTCAAGCAACTCTCCTGCCTCAGCCTTCTGAGTAGCTGGGACTACAGGTGCGTGCCACCATGCCTGGCTAATTTTTGTATTTTTAGTAAAGACGGGGTTTCACCATGTTGGCCAGGCTAGTCTCAAACTCCTGACCTTGTGATCCTCCTGCCCTGGCCTCCCAAAGTACTGGGATTACAGGTCTGAGGCACCACACCCAGCAGAACATTTTTTCTCCAAGTAGCATCTCATGGTGAGAGGTGAAGCCAGCTGGACTTCCTTGGTCGAATGGGTACTTGGAGAACTTTTCTGTCTTACGAGAGGTTTGTAAAATGCACCAATCAGCACTCTGTAAAATGGACCAATCAGCACTCTGTAAAATGGACCAATCAGCAGGACATGGGCGGGGACAAATAAGGGAATAAAAGCTGGCCACCCCAGCCAGCAGCAGCAGCAACGCTCTGTGGAAGCTTTGTTCTTTCGGTCTTCACAATAAATCTTGCTGCTGTTCACTCTTTGGGTCCGTGCCACCTTTAAGAGCTGTAACGCTCACTGTGAAGGTCCACAGCTTCATTCTTGAAGTCAGCGAGACCATGAACCCACTGGAAGGAACCAATTCTGGACACAGTGGGACTTGTGCTCCACAGAACCCACTTTGAGAACCATAGATTGGTCTATGGAACTGCTCTAGTCTTCGTACTTCATTTTCAAGTACAAATCACTAGAATACTATAGATCTTCATAATTCTAGTTAATTTACTTCATGTTTTCAGCTAACAGGGAACTGTTAACTAATTTAAAGATGAGGCTCAGCACTTGAAATAGATTGTCTTAGTGGCCCACAGAGAATCAGCCAGGATTAGGACGTTAATTTCCTGATACCTGTCCTAGGGCCAGTTACCCACCAGGCCCGTCTGCACCCCACTCTAACATTGTTAGTTACATAAATAGGAACCAGTGTTTTAGACTGTTGGGGGAGGGGGGAAATCAGATGCCCCTTTGTACACTAATTAACGCAGGCAGAACAAAAGGCCCAGCTTGGTTTTCAAGTTCAAGTTTGGCTCATATGTGGTCCTCAGTGAAGATTATGATCTTGAATAAATTAAAAACAAATGTTAAAGAAGTCATAATGAGGTAAAAAAAGGAGTTCAGGATTCTGGCCTTTAAAGACTCAGGGTAAACAGACTTCTCTTTAAAGCTGATGTTCACCTCCCCTCCTCCACTTTACCAGTCCCTCTTTGGAACTTCTGTGTTCCGTCTTCGTGATAATTGTTCATTTTTACTTCAGTGAGCCAAGTGGGTAGGTATGTACGTCTATGGTCTCATGTCGGTGAGCACAAGCCTCATTCACCAAGCTCTGCTGAACTAGGAAAATAGTACATTGAGAAGTCTGGTCAAATCCACTAAGTCAAAGGGATTTGCACATTTGGCAAAATGCCCTCTTCCTCAGGAATGACCACCGCAGCCTGCTGCCCCAGTCCAGCTTCAGCTTCCTTTTCCTCCAGGGTGCTCAAGGCGAGTGTTCAGGAAGGGAGCACACAGAATCCCCCTGTGTTCGTCTCCCCCAGGCCAAGTTCCCAGTACATTCTTGACCAGGGCAGACCAGATGTGGGGAGCTCTGGGGCCAGTGCGTTTATGCACTAAATGGGACTCTGTATGTATATGCCAAATTAAGTCTGCAGGCAGTCTTTACGAGCACAGTAACCGTTTTACAGATGTAAAGAAGCTCAAAAGTCCTGTGTATGTTTGTAGTCTCATTCCCTGTAAAGTTTCCATGAGCACATTTCAAGGCCTCTGTACACAGAAATTGAGTTCCTCTGCTCTCACCAGCTTACCTCTTCACTGTATCAAAGTTCGCATCTTATTATTCTGTGTGTGTATGTGTATACGCGCATGCATGCACATGTGTGCATGATGAATAAGTTCTCAGCTTGGGGCAGCATTGCTGCCCAGGAGACATTTGGCAATGCCTGGAGATATTTTGGTTAGAAATATTTTGGTTAGAAATATTTTGGTTAGACTTGGGTGGGGCTGGGGGCACATTCTACTAGCATCTAGAGGGTAAAGGTCAGGGATGTTGCTAACCATCTTACAATGCATAGGATGGTTCCTCACAACAAAGAATTATCTGGCCCCAAATGTCCATAGCCGAGGCTGAGAATCCCTGGTGTACATATACACATATTATATATACACACAAATAAAAACATATTCAGTATATATTTATTTACTGGAAGAGGCCTTAGAGACCCATTTGAATTTTAGTTATAGTTGAGGAAACTGAGGCTCAGAGAGGTGAACAGTGTTCCTAATGTCACAAAGCTCTTGAGAAGCATAGCAGGCCCAGAACTTGGGCTTCTGGCTTCTCTGAACAGTGCTTTTTGCAGTGATAATAGTTCTTTCCGAACTACTGCTAGATTGAGAACCCTCATTCTTTGGGTGTTCTCTGTGTCCCAGAGGAATATTGCATGCATTACTTTGTTTAGTCCTCAGAATGACCCTGCAAGTAGGAACTGGTTATTCATCCTTTACTCAAGAGGAAATCAAGGCCCAGAGAGGTCAAGATCCTTGCCTGAGGCCATTCAGCAAGCCTGGGGCAGGGACTGGCTTGGAAACCAGATTCACCCAGCCCCTGCCATGTGGCACCACCTCCCCCAGGGCCATGCTGACAGCTTGTGTAAGCCTGAGGGACAAGGCAGTGAAGATGCTGAACTGGGGACCCATGGGGTTCCTTCCAATAGTTGCATTCTGAAACTCCAGTTTGGAAATGGTTAATAATGCCTGAACCTTGTCCCTAAGAGGCCCTGAGCTATTGAACCCATGGGGTTTTCGGGTCTGCAGCCATTGCTTAGGAGGCCTCTGGGTGAAGAGCAAGAATGATGGTGGCCAATCTACCTGCAAGGACCAGGGGAGCTGGGTAGGGGCAGGATGGAGGGGCCCTGACTGGCTCTCCTGCCTTCCCCTCCCCTCCTCTCCCTCCTTCCCTCCTTAAGGGAGGTCTCGGGGTTAATGCGAGGTGAGGGGCAGTTAGTGGTAATTGTTCATCATTTGTGCAGATGGGGGCATGGCTTTTAGAGGTGCCTTCTGGGATGGAGAGAGCCTGGGAACTCAGAATGCTACATGGCGGACAGAGGAAAGCAGGCATTTCCAGGGAAGGAGGAAGGACTGGAGTTGCTCCTGGGAAGGTCAGCTTTACAGACTCCTGGCCATAGTGGTGTAAGGTGCTAGCTGAGTGGGCAGAAGGCGGGGCAGGGGCTAGGAGAGCTGACAGCAAGTGTGGTGCATGGCCCTCAACGTCCACCCCAGTCTAGTCCAGGACTCCTGCTCTGGCTTCTGCAGCCAAACCCAAACGGACTGGTAAATGACTTCATTTAACTTCCCGTGCCCACCAGCATGGCACTTTAGAACATAGGAGACCCAGTCCCCTCTGGGAGTCCTCTCTCTCCCCTCTCCTTTTGGGTCTGGTGTCCAGGAGACCATGCACATGACTCCGTGTGAAGCTGAAGCCAGTCCAGAACTCCGAGGCCCAAACCCCTGCAGGCTGTCTTAGTGCTTATTCAATGTATTTTGTCTTGGGGTGATATGAGCCTGTTTAAAAATAATGTCTGCCCAAACTCTTGCCTGAGAGAGGTTGGGGGCAGAAAGAAAGCTCACATTTGAGTCCTAAGAAAAGTCATTGTGTCTCTATTGCCAAAATCATGATAGCTCAGGTCAGGTTAGTTTCGGAGGTGTGATAAAGTTTTTATCTCTTTTGGAAAAAAACTCCCGGGATTTTCTATCGTGGACATATCTTTCATCTACATGTCCAGCTTTAAGAAAATGTGATTATGCCTCTCTGTAAGTGGATAATTGAGCAGAACAGCATGCTAATTTCTCTCTGTCAGGCCTTGGTTGAAGGCCGGCCCTTTGGAGGTGGTCCAGGCCCTGTGGCCACAGCTCACCTACTGAAGGGCCTCCTGGTACTGCCACAAGCTGGGACCCAGCCACACTTTCTGTTTGTCCTCGGAAGGTTTGCTCCACCCTAAGGTAGATCTCTGTTACTGAAGAATGTGTCTTTAAATCTACCTGCATTTCCATGTCTGGTTACAAATTGTCTTAACCCCAGGCAAGTTGCTGTCTCAGAGTTGGCTGCGAGGATGTTGAAGCATAACCCGGCTTTGTGGTAGAGGAGGGCTTTGTAGCACCGTGGACAGTGCGGTTCAGCCTTCGATCAATAAATAGAAGCAGGCTCCAGCTTCAGGAAAAGGGGAGTCTTGGACCGAGAGAGATTGGCGTTTGAGACAGGAAACACTTCCTGGTGTTCCTGCAGTGTCTGCGGCTTCTTCCCAGCCTTTTAGGCCTTTCCTAGGGTTTACAGACCACCCCTCGAGCCTGTGTTCTCCTCCTGATGGTGCCCAGGCGCCCGGGGCTCCCTGGGCAGACCATTCACTTCGGGAACCTGGTCTCCTGCTCAGCCTGCAGCTTCTGTAGGTTTAGCTGTCTGTTGGTTGCTCTGGGCTACTCAGGGACCAGTTGTGCAGGCACTGTCCTCTTTTGGCCTTTCTTCCGGCCTTACCAAGTTGTGGTGGTTGTCTGCATGCCCAGTGAAACCTTCTGCAGAAAGGACCAGGAAGGGCACACATTGGCTGCCTGCACTTGGGAAGATCTGAGGGAATGTGAAAGGAAACAGGTTGGCAGTTCCTGGTGCCTTCCAGACCAGTGCCTGCCCTCTCCTTTGCTTGTGGTACTGGCCCTTTGACCTACTGGAGATGGGAGAAGCCCCAGAGAAATTCAAGATCGCCTTCAGGCTTCCTTGACCCAAGGCCTGTGGGAAGGCTTGCGCCCTGGGATGCTTAGGGTGAAGTGTAACATCTGGCCTTCTCCAAGTCCCTCTCACAGCAGGCCTGGCCTGACATCCTGCCGGCCTTGCTGGTTTCCTTCTGCCCTTCACAAAGTCCCTCCTTGCTGGCTTTCTCGTGTGCCAGGGGGACCCAGCTTCCTCCACAAGCGTCTCTGTTGCTTCCCCCTTTGTTTGGCCCCCTCCTGTCCCCAGGCTCCCTGACCGATGCCCACTGGCTCTGTAGGTTTCACAGGCACCTGGGACACTGTCACATGGTGGGGGAGTTCACGCCATGTCCCATCTCCAGCCAGTGCTTTTCTCACTCTACCTAAAGGCTTTTTTCCTTTCAAAAATTTTAAATTAGCATACAGAAAGATTGAGTCTTTGGGTATACAGTTTACGAGTTTTAACACATGTACAGATTCATGTAACCACTGCTATAGTTCCAAATTCCTAAAATCTCCTGTGCCACCCCTTTGTAGTCATGCCTCCTTCCCCCTGGCAGCCACTGCTCTGTTCTCCAACACTCCAACAGAGATTTGTTGGCCGCATTGTGTGCATCTTCTGAGAAATGTCCTTGGTACCTTCTGATGTAGGATAAAGACATGCAAATCACCTCCACTCTCCTGTAGCCTCCCATCTTCCTTGGGATCACAGGCATGTGTCACCACGCCCAGCAAATTTTCGTATTTTTAGTAGAGATGGGGTTTCACCATGTTGGCCAGGCTGGTCTCGAACTCCTGACCTCAGGTGATCAGCCCACCTCAGCCTCCCAAAGTGCCGGGATTGCAGGTGTGAGCTACTGCGCTCGGCCTTATTTTTTGAAGTCTTGGTACACCTTTTTTTAAAAAAAGAAGCAGGCTGGGTGCAGTGGCTCACACCTGTAATCCTAGCACTTTCGGAGGCCGAGGTGGGAGGCTCCTTGCTTGAGCCCAGGAGTTCCAGACCAGTCTGAGCAACAGGGCGAAACCCCATCTCTACAAAAAATACAAAAATTAGCCAGGTGTGGTAGCAAGCCCCTGTCCCAACTACTCAGGAGGCCGAGGTGGGAGGATCACTTTAGCTTGGGAAGCAGAGGTTGCAGTGAGCCTAGATGCGCCACTGCACTCCAGCCTGGGGGACAGAGCAGGACTCTGTCTCAAAAAGAAAAGAAAAAAGAAGCCGCTTAGTTTTGTTCCAGAAGATCATTTGCAATCATCAATGAGAACCCGCACATCATTCCTGTTTAATTGGTGTAAAACAGGGGTGGCTGTCGGGGTCTGTCCGTGTGGAGGAATGAGGACCACAGTCCACTGGCCCACAGGTACATGCATGCCCTTAGTGGGCCGACTTCTGGGAATACACCAGCATCCGTAGAGCTAAGGATTTACCGTATGCCTTGTCCTCAGAAAAATCGCTTCCCCTGCCCATGTCGCCCTGATTACTGTAACAGCTTCAACGCATGAACCAGATTGTTCTCATTTAATGAAGTGTTGACTCTGGAGTCTCCAGGATAACTTGCAGTTGCCCAATTTCCTGGTGAATTTTCAGGTTCTCTAGTGGTTTGGAGACATGAATGAACTCAGGAATTTTTTAAGGTAAATAAAGTCTATGAAGTGTGATTTACTTTCTTGGTTTTTGGCGCCTGAACTTGAAGTGATGGGCCCTAGCTAGAGGGGCATGGAAGTCAGTCTGAAGGCTGCAGTTATCTTTGCAGCAGGGAGAAGCTGGGCTCTGAGCTGTGAGCAAGGGAGGTGCTTCGGGGCCGGTGGAGCTGCTTCACTGAGCTGGGAGCTCTCCTGCCCTCCCCGGGCTTGCTTCCCCTGCCTCCTGGGATGGGGATGGCTGGCCTCAGAGGAAGGGAAAGATTGCTGTTGGCAGAGGATGAACTCACCCCTGCGGTGTTGGTCTTTGGTCTGGGGAGCCAGGTTAACACGTGAAGCTCAAGGAGCACAGAAGTCCCTGTTTCTATCTTTGTGCAGTTTTGGTCCAGGGTAAAAGGATGAGAGTGCCTTTCCACACTGTGGCCTGCGGGTTTGTGGTGATTAACTTGTGGTGGGGCCTGCACTCTAGGGTCATCCACTTGGTCAGGTTGGTGCCAGGATGCTGGCCTGAGAGCAGGAGCCAGGGCTGGAAGCAGGGCTGGGCGTGGCTGGGTCTTTCGAGGCAGAGCTCAGAGGCTTGTGGTGATCAAACAGAGCCGGAGGGGGAGCCAGGGGAACAGTCCCACATGGGAAACAGAGGCTGAGGGTCTAGCGAGGCAGGCCCAGCAAGGCAAGCCAGGTGTTGGGCCACAGGCCTGGTGGTCTGCCCTCAAGATAGAGGTTTGGAGAGCAGTGCCCTGAAGTTCCCCCAAAAGTTGAGATTTAAAAAAAAAAAAATCAGAATACACATGCCTGGCTGGGTGTGGTGATGCATGCCTGTAGTCCCAGCTACTCTGGAGGCTGAGGCAGGAGGGTTGCTTGAGCCCAGGAGTTTGAGGCTGCAGTGAAGTATGATTACGCCACTGCACCCCACCCTGAGCAACAGAGGGAGACCCTTCTCTCTCAAAAAAAATAAATAAATAATTTTAAAAAAAGAAAGTCCGCATGCCTGACTTCTGTGCCCAGAATCTCTGGACATGGGGCCCTGGAACATACATTTATTCAAAGCTCACTTTTAAAAGTTGGTACACAGGTAGGGTGGCCACAGTGGGATCCCAGGCTGCTCTGTGGATCCAGGTAGAAGGCAGCCCCTGCTGGAAGGTCAGGCACTACTTTACCCAAGCCAGGCCACCCCTTATTAAACACCAGCTTCACTCGAGCAGTGGTTCCCAAATTTTCTTGGTCTGTGAAGACGTATTTTCTCTATTTTTAGCCAAACAGAATGATTTTAGTCCATCATGGGTCAAACCTTCTGATATTCTTTAGTCCCCATGGAAGACATTCTTGTTTCTCCTTTAAGACCATCTCTGGGGTCACCTTCGGTTGCCTTGGGGGTGTTTGAGCCTCTGCCGCAGGGACACTGATAAGGACATGAGTTGTGGTACGCCCCGTTTTGTGTAGCAGCTGTCAGTTTGTTTCTGGAATGAGACTGAGCTTCTAGAAGTCTGGGCATTTGGTTCTGGTTCACCTTTGAGCTGCTGGCACGGAGGAGCTTTGTAACACAAGCTTACTGAATTGATGTTTTAGTGAAAGGGAGAAAAGTCCTTTTCAGCTCCCTTTTTCCCACCATTCCCCGCTGTTCATCCGAATTACTCATCCACACATAGCCAGTAAAGGGCGCCGTAGACTGAACCTGTAGGAAACCAGACTCCAGGCAGCCCCAGAGCACACTCCCCAGAACCACTAAAATAAACACAAAATGCACTCTCGCCGGATTCTGAGAAGGAAAGGCCCTCCAAGGTCGTAGGGTCCAGTGGCTCTCAACCCTGGCTGCACATTTGAATCATCTGGGGAGCTTTTTAGAAATGGTCATGCCCAGCCTCCACCCACAAAGATTTTGATTCAACTGGTCTGGGGTGGGGCTCAGGCTTTGCTGGAATTTTCTAAAAGCTCCCCAGGGGCTTCTAATATGCAGCCAAGTTTGCAAACCACTGCTCTAGTTGAAAGCTCCTCACTGAATATCTGAATGAAAGGATTAAACAGATCCCTGCCTAGTGAGGTATTGGCCCCCCTCCCCCATAAGACCATGGGCTGGTGGTAGAGTTGCCAGCAGTTCTTTCCTGGATTCCCTATGCCCCTCCATCACCCAGTCACATCATCCAACAGACCTACCTCGGACCATCCCTCCTGCCCGACCAGAAGCAGACTCCGAACAGAATCTAATTTCAGATCGATCAGTGGGCAAACATAAAGGATGTGATAAGCTCCAAAGTAAGATTTCCTTGTTTCAGGCCATACGTTTGATTTTGAATGTTGTATTTTTGTATTAATTTGTTAGGGCTGCCATAACAAAGTACCGCATGCTAGGAGGCTTAAACAACAGAAAGAGTCATTGTCTCACAGCTCTGGAGGCTGGAAGTCTGAGATCAAGGTGTCGGCAGGGTTGGTTCCCTCTGAGGCTGTGCGGGAGGGATCTGCTCCAGGCCTCTCTCCTTGGCTTGTAGGGGGCTGCCTTCTCCCTGTGTATTCAAACAGTCTTCCCTCTGTGGATGTCTGTCTCTGTTCCTGCTTTTTATAAGGATAGCAGTCCAATTGGATTAGGGCTTACTGTAATGACCTCATTTAACTTGATTATCTCCTTATGTGGAGACAGGGTCTCCACATAGTACACATACATAGTACACCCTGTCTCCACATAAGGTCACCGTCTGAGATGTACTGGGGGTTAGGACTCCAACATAACTTTTTTTGTTGGGGGTGTATGAGGGGGATTCAATTCAACCCATAACAAATATCTTCCAAGCCGGCCACTTTGACTGCAGCCTTTAACGGGTAGCTGCATATTTTTTTTTCTTTACACCCACTCTCACCCTCAAATTGCTCAAAACACCGGAGCCCAGGGCTGGTTGCCTGTCAGCGTTCAGCACGAACCTGCCCACTGACTGGCGTCTGCTCCCTGGCTTCTGGGTACACTCAGAGGATGATTGTTTGCATTCAGGCTCCTCCAGAGATGAATATAATTCCCCTAATTTCCTCACAGTGGCAGCAGTGGCTGAAGGGAGAGGTGAACTGTGAGAGATGGGCCCCTCTTGCCTAAGATGAAGGCTGGGGTCAGGGGCAGTGTTAAACATCAGCTGGAGAGGATTGTGAAAACTCTTTGGACAAGAGGGGTTTGTTTTAAAGCGAGGCTACTTTGGAATGGACATCTCATTAGTGAACAGGTTGGGGAGTGGCAGGGTTATGGAGAGGAGGAGGCGTTCCATTCCCGTAGCTATTCTGTATCAACCGCTGGGGTCAGAGGCTCTCAGCTGGAGTCCACCCACAGACAGAATTCAGGGAAGCTCCAAAAACCTGAATGGAAAGAAATTACATTTTATTTTCACTAACTGAAAATTGGCATTTTCTTCAATTATGAATGTAGACTATAAACCACAGGGACATTAACAGTTCTCATGACTGTCACCAGTAGCAATTGCAAAGTGCATTTTTAAAAAATGTTTGTGGGTACATAGTACACCGATGTATTTATAGGTACATGAAAGCAAAGTTAATTTTTTACAGTGTGGTAGAGTCATTGTAAATGTCTTGATATACTGTTATCCTTAGCAATTCTTAATACTTCAGAATTAAGGTTGTTATGAGATTCGCTGCTAGGTCTTATTTAATATGTTAATTAAATATTACCATGGTGGAAAATATAAAATATTTTGATAACTGCATTTTACTGTAATTGGTTTCCTTTGCAATGCTGTGTATTTAATTTGTGCATTTAGCATCATTCTGTGGAGGCCTCTGTGGGCTTCCCTAGCCTACCAAGGAGTGGTCTGTGGCATTGAAGAGGATAGGGATCCTTGGTTTGCATTTATAGTAACTGTTTCCTGTTCCCAGTCAGTGAATAAATCCTGTAAGTGGAGATAACTCTAGATTACAGTCTTGACCATCGCTTGATTTATTAATAGTTAAATTTACAGCTCCTCTTTTTGGCTCCTTGAGGCTGCCGTGTGTGTGCACACATGTGCGCCTGTGTAGACTACGGCTTGCCTTCTTTTCAAAGACATCAGAGATTAGGTGATTAGGTAGAAGCTTTTGAACAAGCCCAGCCTTAAATCTGCCCTCCAGTCCTGTTAGATCCTTCTTGGGAAGCTGGTCCCTGTCCCTGGCCAGTCAGTCTCAAGTGAGTGGGGCTGAGAGGAGCTGCAGGCAAAATAAATACCCACTCCTTCCAGAGTTACTTGCCTTGAGACGTGACCTTCTGGGTCACTCTGGAAATGTGCAAAGTTCCAGTGCCCGAGTGGCGTGTGTTGGAGACGCTGAGGCTGGTTGGATGACAACACTAAAGCTGGGGTTGGAAGACCTGTTTGGGGCGGCCTGGAAAAACATGTATGGTGCCAGATCATGGGCCCTGGTTGATGTGAAAATAATCTGCTGTAGATCATTAGGTTTATGGAACTTGGTTTGTTTTTTGTTTTAATTCTTATTTTTAAATAATGATAGACTTAGGTTGCAAAAATAGGACATAAGATTCGGGAGAACTTCCTCCAGCTTCCCCAGTGGTGTCATCTTATGTAGCTGAAGTTCAATATCAAAACTAGAACATCAACACTGACACATTACTGTTAACTAGACTACAGACCTTCAGCCCTCACCATTCTTCATGTTTTGTGTGTGTGTGTAGTTTGTGTGGACAGGTCTATGCAGTTTTATCCCATGTATAAATTTGTGTAACTAACACCACAATCAGATACAGAGCTGTTTTATGGAACTTATTTTAAAACTTGATCGGGAGGCAAATGGCAGTGAGTTTGCATCAGTTCTGTTAAATTGTCCTTTAGCCTCAGGTCACAGTGGTGGTTGTAACATCTGCCTCCTGAGTCACCTGTCTGGTCAGCCTTGGGGCTGGAGGTAGAGATTTGACTGTAGGGCTGAGCCCCAGAGTATTTGGAGTCCAGTGCTAGGTGGGCTATTATTTACAGGGCTCAGCCTGGATCTGGAGCACTGCAGCAGGAGTCTTGGGTGCCAGTGGCCTCTTGCTTCACAGGCACAAGCACTCTGGGGCTAGACCTTGGGAGCAGAGTATGTTTCTCTGGGCTGGAGAGCAGGAATAATGTGAGTGAGGGGCAGGGCACAAGGGCACCAGCTGAGTCCTCAGGGGTTCAGAGAAGAGCTCCAGGCCTCATAGGCAATGAGGGGACAGGTCAGGAATAAATAGAGATGCCCTGACTAGACCTGGGTGGCGTGGTAAGGGTTGTAGGGTAAGGTCTTAGCCTGGTGGGCATGGGGGTACCCAGGAGCCCTGCCCTATCCTTCCCATGCACACTGGAACTGACTGTGCTGAGTACAGTCAGATCGGACATCACTGCTGGGCATGGCTTCCTACAGCCTATAATGTGAGATCCGATTACCACAGTAGATGGGAAGGCATTTGATACAAATCCCAGAGCACACTCAAAAACTAAGGTGGTGGTTTTGTCCCAAAGCTGGTCATGGGTTGATTGTCTCTTTAGCACCTCTCAGTTGACCAGGACATCTGATTAAGTGGAAAGCTACATTCTCCAACCACAAAAGATAATAATGTTCATACTGTGTCTGGGTTTTATGGTTTTAGATATCTGGCAATGCTGGTGCGTGTATTTTTTTCTTTTTTCAGACGGAGTCTTGCTCTGTCGCCCAGGCTGGAGTGCACTGACGTGATCTCGGCTCACTGCAAGCTCTGCCTCCTGGGTTCACGCCATTCTCCCGCCTCAGCCTCCCGAGTAGCTGGGACTACAGGCGCCGGCCACCACACCCGGCTAATTTTGGTGCATGTATTTCTATTTTTATTTTTCGTTTGCCATTTCTTCCAGTTTCCTTGGTTAAAGTTTTCAGCTAAGTACTTACCTTTATAGTCAGAGATAACGCCTACTCTACACCTGCAAGTATCATTCTCCCACCCTACCTTTTCTCCTGGCTGATTCCAGCAATGTGGGACTGGCTGGGGGGTAAGGGGCTAGCACATGGTACAAGACCAGCTCCCAAGAGCAAGTGTTGAGTGCAACCACTATGGAAAACAGTATAGAGGTTCTTCAAAAAACAAAAAATTAATTAAAAATTAAAGAATTATATGATTCAGCAATCTCATTACTGGGTATATATCCAAAAAAATTGTGAAATCACTGTCAAAGAGACGATCTGTACCCCCACATTCACTGCAGCACTATTCACAATAGCCAAGTTACAGAAACAACCTGAGTATCCGTCGACAGATGGATGGCTAAAGGAAATGTGGGCTCTGCACGCAATGGAATATCATTCAGCTTTTTAAAAGAAGGAGCCAGGCATGGTGGTTCATGCCTGTATTCCCCAGCACTTTGGGAGGTTGAGGCAGGAAGATCACTTGAGCCCAGAAGTTCGAGACCAGCCTGGCCAACACAGTGAGACCCCGTGTCTAAGAAAAATACAAAAATAAGCTGAGCATGGTGGCACATGCCCGTAGTTTCGGCTACTCGGGAGACTGAGGTGGGAGGATCGCTTGAGCCCAGGAGGTCGAGGCTGCAGTGAGCCAAGATCCCACCACTGTACTCCAGCTTGGGCAACAGAACAAGACCCTATTTCAAAAAAATAAACAAGGAGAAGGAAATCCTGCCGTTTGTGACAACAAATGGATGGACCTGGAGGACATCATGCTAAGTGAAATAAGCTAGTCACAGGACAAATATTGTATGATTCTGCCTGTATGTGGGATCGAAAATAGTCAAACTTAAAGAACGCTGGTTGCCAGGGAATGGGGGAAGAGGGAAATGTGTTGTTCGGTGGGTGTAAAGTTACAGATATGAGATGAGTAAGCTCTGCAGCTCCGCTGTACAACATAGTGCCCATGGTTTAGAGTTGGGCACTTACAACTTTATTAAGAGGGTCAATCTCATGTTAAGTGTTCTTACCAAACACACACACACACACACACACACACACACAAAGGGACACAAGGAAGCTTTTGGAGGTGATGATGTGTTTATTACCCTGACCATGGTGATGGTATTATGGATGTATGCACGTGTTCAAACTCATGAAATTATCTATATTAAATATGTGCAGTTTTTTGGTATATCAATCATACCTCAACAAAATTGTAAAAAACAAAAAAAGAGTAAGTGTGGGAACAGTGAAGATGGAGAAGGAGGGGTAGGGGTGGTTTAACCAGGCAGGCCCTACACTGTCCCTGAGGGGGACACCTCAGGTGGTGTGGGGGTGTCGGGGAGTCATGGAGCTGGGTGCTGCCGAGTCTGAGCACCATCCACCCACCGCCTGGTAGAGCTGCGTGGACTGAACCTGGGACAGGCTATCAGAGGAGGGCCACAGGTCCATCTGTAAATACGACTTTTTTTTTTTTTGAGACAGAGCCTCACTCTGTCACCCAGGCTGGAGTGCAGTGGTGCAATCTTGGCTCACTGCAACCTCCGCCTCCCGGAATCAAGTGATTCTCATGCCTCAGCCTTCTGCGTAGCTGGGACTACAGGCACCCGCTACCACACCCGGCTAATTTTTGTATTTTAGTAGAGATGGAGTTTCACCATATTGGCCAGGCTGGTCTCAAACTCCTGACCTCATGTGATCCACCCACCTCGGCCTCCCAAAGTGCTGGGATTACAGGTGTGAAACACCGCACCCAGTCTAAATATGATTTTTGAAACTAAACTTGTGGCAGGAGGACAGGGTTGCTGCAATCCCAGGACAGAATAAATCTGAGAACCTCCTGCCTCTATTTCCTCCATTCAACTTCCCTTGCCCATTAGTGTCAGTTTCATCTTCCAAAAAACACCATCATTTCATAACTTCATTTCTAGGAAAGCCACAATTGCTCCTTTTCACTTCACACACCAAGTCTAAACTTCCCTGTGTAACTCTCAAGGCTTTCCCCATCTGACCTCACTCGGTCAGGTCAGCCTTCCTTCTCATCAGTCCTTCATTCAGCAGTCTCTGAACCTTCCCCACTGAACACACCTAGTGCGCTTCTACCTCCTTCCAGACTCTACCCCCTAGCATGCTGGCCTAACAACATTGGCTTTGATGACCTGAACTCCAGATTCGCCTGCTGTCCACAGTTTCTTTCTTTCTTTTTTTTTTTTTAATGAGATGGAGTTTCGCTCTGTTGCCCAGGCTGGAGTACAGTGGTGCAGTCATAGCTCACTGCAACCTCGAACTCCTGGGCTCAAGTGATCCTCCCACCTCAGCCTCCCAAAGTGCACATTTTCTCATATGTACCTCACAATCAAACACAATTGCCTTTTTATAGGATGTATTATCTTATAACTTCTACCTGTCATTTATCTATGTGTGATTGGTGAACAAGACAAAGCATATTGTGTTGTTCCCTAATTGTTTCAGTGCAGAGGCCTTGTCTCCCTAGCCAACGGGAGGGGAGGGATTTTTAACCAAGGCTGTATTTTTTGGTCTGCTCTGGGCACCCGTGCTGCCATGTACCTGCATCTGTGCTTGCTAGGTGACAGTACAACCAGCTCCCATGATGCAGGGCCACACAGCCCTGGTCTGGGTTCTTCCTTGGCAGACTCGTCCAGCACAGACTGGAGTTTATAATTACAGTAGTCATTAGCCTGGAATGCAAGGGCCTGGCAATCAGGATTTTTTAAGATAATGTTTAGGTTTTACTTGGGCACAAGATAGTTAAACTCATTTTGAGATAATTGTGAAAGATCCAAATTGAAAAAGAAGAGCCAACAATACTTTCTTGTTACTAAAAGTTGATATCGCATAAACCTGCGTTCTGCAAACTTGGATCTAGAGCATGACAAGATAGCCTTGAAAGATGAATATTTCAGAGAGAGGAGGATGAGATCCCAAGGGCCAGCAGTGTGCTCACTCTCTGGAATAGCTCCTGCAGCCCAGTGAGTAGAGTTGTGTACCCCACCTTCCCTTCTTTGTGGAGACTGGAGCTGACTTTGCTCTGCTGGGTCATCTTAGGGTTGGGGCAGAGACTGTATCTTCCATAGGTGGATTTCATTTTCAGAAGCATCAAGCCTGGCATTTTCAACAAAGTGAGCAATCTCACTTTGTAAAATCAAGTCAATTTTGGAGGAGTAAAAGTCATACATATTCATCAAAAGAAAATTGAGCAATATAGAAAATTGAGATATAAAAAAATTTAAGGAGCAAATAGCTATGCTCAGGGTTTGGAGTGCCAAATCATGGGTTTGTTCCTGGTGCCATGCCACTGTGTTCTAAAACAAGCCAGAGCCTCCAATTATAATCAGTAGCTCTTCCTTGGTTCCTTTTGCCACTGCCTTCCTGCTGTTATCCAAAGACTTCTTCCCTTATTGTAAAGGGGGAGAGTTCTCTCTGATTCTTCTTCCTCTCTCTCTCTCGCTCTCTCTCTTTCTGCTAATTGGAGAAACTTCTGTCTCATAAAGATCTTAGTACCCGGACATCCCAGGAAAGAAAAATGGTGCCCAGGAAACCCACTCAGAGTGGAGTTTTGAAAGTGATTTTTTCCCGTCTGCCCAGGAAGCCAGCACATAGTAGGTGTGATGCAGTCTCCCTTGCTGCAGCCATTCCCCGACTGGAACCACAACAGAAAGACAACAGATGGGCTGTGGACAAAAGAATTTCCTTGGATTTTCCTGCCTAGGGACATCTTGGAAAATGCATATCTTGAAATTAGTTCTGTAGCCGCTTGTCAAAGGAATAATGAGGCTGTTGGTTTTTTAGACTTTGGGAAGGTGCCTGTTCTCATGCTGCTAATAAAGCCATACCTGAGACTGGGTAATTTATAAAGAAAAAAAGGTTAATGAACTCACAGTTCCACATGGCTGGGGAGGCCTCACAGCAGAAGGGAAAGGAGAAGCAGAGGCACGTCTTACATGGTGGCAGGCAAGAGAGCATGTGCAGGGGAACTCCCCTTTATAAAACCATCAGCTCTCATGAGACTTATTCACTGTCACGTGAACAGCATGGGAAAGACCTGCCATCATGATTCAGTTACCTCCCACCGGGTCCCTTCCATGACTCGTGGGAATTGTGGGAGCTACAATTCGAGATTTAGGTGGGGTCAGAGCCAAACCACATGAGAAGGATTATGTCAGAATGATTTGGGGGTGCTGTTTTAAAATGCACATCCTGGGCTTCACCCCTGTAATTTCCGCTCCAGATAGGACAGAACTGGGAATCCACAACAACTTCTAGGGTGATTCTGACCACAGCCAGGCTTGAGAGCTTTGTGGTGTGTACTGCTACTCACAGGACTGGGCAGTAGACATGAATGAGATGATCTGCCTTTGTCAGAGTCCTTCAGAGCTTCTGTTGTGGGTAAATATTGGGAAAGCCAATCCTCTTCAATAGGGTTCATATGAAATTTTATAAGCCATTTTTATAAGTCAGAAATAGTTGATGGTTAGCAATTCTATGCAGTTTCACTGATAGAGCCAGGAAGTGAGGCTGGTTGGGGCTTGGAGTTGACCATCTCCTGCCTGCTAGCTTTGCCGCCTTGGCCAAATAATTTGGACTCTCCAAGCCTCCATCTTGCATCTCCAGAATGGGGATTGTGACATCTCCTTTGCCAGATTCTTGTAAAATGTAGAGTTTACCGTGTACATGTCAAGTGTCCCTGGTACCTCAGTAGCTACTGTTTTTATCCTATTGTGATAACCATTCCCATCTTCCCCCCTCCCCCCACACTGCCCTAAACACATCCCGGGTTACTGCCTGAGTCCTCGTAGACCTTGGGGAGACCAGTTTCTCAGTCTTCACTGCTCCTAGGTGTTCTCCCGCACCGTCCAATGAGATGTGCAGTGTCCTCCCCGAGGCCTGTTTGAAATATGTCCTTGATGTTGCCACCAGAAGGCCCTGATTGCAGCCACGTGTCCACCAGGGGAGCCCCGCAGTGCTTCCCACCTCACATCCCACTCAGCCACGTCCAGCTTGGTATACCAACAAGCATCAGACAATGATGTTAGGGCCATGGGGTGCCATTGAGGTAATGGTCGGCCCTCCTCTCCCTTGGAGAGAAGGCAGAATTCTTCCCACTGAGCTGACCTCCCCGTGGCCCCTGTGGCCACCACCCCCACACCAACTTTGTTTGATCCATACTTCTTATTCCCAAACTCACTTGGCACACTCTTGTCACACAGCCTTTCACTTGTTCTGTGCCTCCTTCACCTAGAACATTCTTGTTTGTTTGATTGTTTGAGACAGTCTCGCTCTGTCGCCCAGGCTGGAGTGCAGTGGCGCGATCTCGGCTCACAGCAACCTCTGCCTCCCAGGTTCAAGCGATTCTCCTGCCTCAGCCTCCTGAGTAGCTGGGATTATAGGCAGGTGCCACCACGCCTGGCTAGTTTTGTATTTTTAGTAGAGACGGGGTTTCACTATGTTGGTCAGGCTGGTCTCGAACTCCTGACCTCAGGTGATCTGCCCGCCTTGGCCTCCCAAAGTGCTAGATTTATAGGCGTGAGCCACCGCGCCCGGCCACCTAGAACATTCTTTATCCTTTCACAACTGCAGGCTTGCTCCCCACTTCTTCCCTCCTTTAGTTTAACCGTCACCTCCTCAGTGAGGCCTCCCCTGACCACCCTATTTACAATTGCAGCGTCCGCCCCACCTCCAGCCCTCTTCACCCCTCTCCTGGATTTATTTGAGTCCAGAGCACCCCTGCCATCATTGGTCATTGCCCGTCTCCACTCGCTACCACAGCAGCGCCACAAGGGCTTGTTCACTGGTCTACCCCAGCACCCGGACAGTGTCAGCACACCGGAGGTGCCCAAGAAACGTTTCTAAAAGAACGAATAAATGAGTGGCAGCAGTATTTTAAAAGATCGAAATTTCCCGCCTTTGCCCACACACACCTTATTTCCTGAGAAAAGTTAAACTTGCCAAATAAATATTCCTTTCAAAAGGAAAATGAAGATAACAAGCTTGTCTTCTCCCCATCTTTTCCTGCTCTGTCTGAGCAGAGGGGCCTCACCGGGTGACTGATTGAAACTATTCATTCTGAGCATTGGCACAAGCACAGACCTGCCCTTGCACAGTTGAGCTGCAGGGGTGTGGAGGAGCAGGGGAGTGGGTACGGAGGGGGTGGGGGGCTCCAAACAGCAGGTAGGTGTTGGCCCACAGCCTGACAGGGAGCACTGGAGACAGGCAGGAGGCAGAAAAACAGAAACAGCACCATGGGGGGATATATAGAAGCACTCTGCGGGGAGGAGGGGCGCATGATTTTGATTACAGCACAGGGTACCTATTGATTGAATTATTAATAAAGATTAAATTGAATCACACATATCCTATATATGAAGGCAGGGGAATCGCAAATACATTTATGCCAGTTTTTGTTTTTCAAGAGACAGGGATATCGAAGTCTCCTAAACTCAAGGGGTCCTCTGGCCTCAGCCTCCTGAGCAGTTGGAACTATAGGCACATACTACGGTGCCTGGTTTAAGCCAGTTTTTAAACAACAGCTTTACTGAGATTTGCATTCCATAGAATTCATTCTTTTTTTTTCTGAGACGGAGTCTGTCTCTGTTGCCTAGGCTGGAGTGCAATGGCGCGATCTCGGCTCACTGCAACCTCTGCCTCTTGGGTTTAAGCGATTCTCCTGCCTCGGCCTCCTGAGTAGCTAGGATTACAGACCCGCACCACCACGCCTGGCTAATTTTTGTATTTTTAGTAGAGACAAGGTTTCACCATGTTGGTCAGGCTGGTCTCGAACTCCTGACCTTGTGATCCGCCCGCCTCAGCCTCACAAAGTGCTGGGATTACATGCGTGAGCCACCGCGCCCGGCCAGAATTCATTCTTATAAAGGGTACAATTCAGCAGTTTTCAATATATTCACAGGATTGTGCAACCATCACCACTATCTAAATTTAGAATATTTTCATCACTGCATTAGCAGTCACTTTGTTCTCCTCTCCCCCAACCTTTGGCAGCCACCGGCCTTCTTTTTCTATGTTCTGGACCTGTCATATAAAGGGAATCGTACAGTGTGTGGTCTTTGTGATTGGTGTCTTTCACTTAGCCTGGTGTTTTCAAGGTTCCTCTGTGTCATGGTGTGTATCAGCACTTCCTCCGTTTTTGTTGCCAAATACTGTACTGCATTATATGGATATACTACATTTTGTATATCCATTCATCATTTGGGTTCGTTCTACTTCATGGCTACCACTGAGTCATTTGGAAATGTGATGCAAGGCTCAAGGCTAATGGGGTTTCCTCGCTTCCAAAAAAGAGGTGATGTTGCCCACCTGGCAGGTGGGTATGAGGCTCAGCAATGGTACATGCATCTCATTTAACTGGTCACTGTCAACTCCAAAAATGGGCCTTCCCCCATTTCTGTGGCTGTTCTGTGCTGGTGTGCAGTGTGTAAGATGGTCAGTGTTCCTGTGTTTTGACTGGTGAGTCAAGTCTGAACTCACTAGCCTAGCACCTGAGAGCCTCCTCATGGGATAGCATCCCCCTGACTCCGCCTGACAACCATCATTTCTCTTCAGTTTTCACTCCTGCCCAACTGGTTTCTTCGCAGTCTATGCCCAGGGCCTCCAGCTTTCTCACACTTGGGCCCTGCTGGGGCATCCAGCCTCTGCTCCTACATCCTTGGGTCACTGCAGGTCCCTGCCCGACCCTACCTTTCTTCCTCCGGACCTCATATTAGACCAGCTCCTCAGGCCTTTTTGGACATGACCGTCTCAAAGTGTTACTATGTTTAAGTGTGTGGTTTTTTGTTTATGTGTGTGGTTTTGTGTCTTTGATATCGTTGATTTGCCTTATGGCCTCAACCAAACCCTCACTGTAACATGGCACAGGCAGCGCCATGTGACATCCTTGTCCCTGGCCCGCCCGGCGCAGCTCACAGTGGGCTCTCTGTGAATGCTGGCTGGCTGAGTGTCTGGGAGTTGTGAGCCCTTTGCCATGTAACTGGAGAGGGTGGAAGTGTGAATGGAGACACCTGCTCAGTTGTACAATGCTCTTTGGACAGGGGATCAGGTTTAAATCAGTTTGAAGCCTGCTTTACCACCCCCTGCCCCCACAATTGTTATTTCCTGAAAGCATATGGTTGGCTGAGCTAGCTGAAAAATTACCCGAATTTTGATAAAAATTTGAACCATGGATTTCCTTTCTGACCATGCCTAGCTGTGTAAATTCCACAGGATAGTAACAGGTGCCTGGCCACCATCCAGCAAGACCCCTGATAACGTCCATGCAGTGGGGAGCCACGGGGGCAAGTGCTTCCCCTCCCTCCTGGTCATAGGCTTGAGCATGGGTAGCCAGGATGGGGGGTGGGTGCAACTTGAGATAAGCAAATCGACAACAATGAGGTACACCCTGTTCTTTGTCCTCTTGTCAACTTGTGATTTCCCGATGGATCAGGTAATCCCCAGTAGCAGATAACTCAGTTGAATTTTTTCACTGTCGCTGTTATCTGTATTCATTGTCTGCCTAAATAGTAGTGAACAGAGAAAAAAAGAACATTAAAATAGGAAGCTGGGAATGACAGGAAGAGGGACTGTAGGCCTGGTAAACAAAAGTTGGCTGTAACATGAGCCAGGATATGGAAGCGTGACCAATACTTTGGACTCTCTCAATGCTGGCCCTCTGCGGTTCATGGCTCTCCTCCCTTTCTCGCTGTCACCAGCCACGTTTAGGTCAGTCTTTGTTTTTGGCTGTTGTTCCTGAAGACGCATTTATCAGGTGGATCTCTTAAAATCAGGGTTAGGGATTGGAAGTCTAGCTGGGACAATTCCTGTGAAGACAGACTTCCTTCTGATGAAATATTTACTAGCTTTTGTAGGAAGCCATCTCCTCCTCTTTGCTGTGATAAGAGGTACTCCCCACCTTTCTGTCTCATGGCAAGGGTGGAAACTGATGATATTTGTAGGGCATACTGGGGTGAGCCAACAGGCTGGAGGCAGCCAACCCTGGGCATGCAAAGAAGCACCGTTTGGAAGCTCTGGTGTAGCTCTCGTGCAGCAGCAGTCCAGGCCCTGGGACATCTGAGTTTGAGGCTTCAGTCCTCCGCTGACTGACCATATGTTTACACTGCAGCCTGTTGTGGTATGAAATGAGATCTGGAAGCACCTGAGCTCCCCAGTGTCTGCAGGTAGATGATTATTTAATACCCTCTTCCCATACATCTTCATGGTCAGGAGACTGGACCTTGGCAATTCTGTTATTAGACAGCTCCACTCGTAGGGAATTTCTCCCTTATATTTAGCTGTTGTTTTCTCCTCCATTCCACTGTCTGGAGTCCCCATGGCAAGTTCGCATCCTCTTTCATGTCCCTGGCTCCAAAGGCTTTGGTGTCTCCAGGTAAGTAGTTCTCACATGGGCTATGACCCCTCATCCTTCATTATCCTAGAAAAATAATGCTTTTCTGAAAATTGTATATTCCATGGGAAAATCAGTAGATTTTGGAAGCCTGACATCTTAGTCCGTTCTGGCTGCTATAACAAAGTGCTGGCCAGGCACAGTGGTTCACGCCTGTAATCCCAGGACTTCAGGAGGCTGAAGCAGGTGGATCAGTTGAAGTCAGGAGTTCAGGACCAGCCTGGCCAACATGGTGAAACCTTGTCTCTACTAAAAATACAAAAATTAGCCTGGTGTGGTGGCAGGCACCTGTAATCCAAGCTACTCAGGAGGCTGAGGCAGGAGAATCGCTTAAACCCAGGAGGTGGAGGTTTCAGTGAGCCGAGATCGCACCACTGCACTCCAGCCTGGGTGACAGAGCGAGACTCTGTCTCAAAAAAAAAAAAAAAAAAAAAAATCCAACCACAAAGTGCCAGAGGGTGAGTGGACTATAAACTGCAGACATTTATTCTCATAGTTTGGGAGGATAGAGGGTGAGATCAGGGTGGTGGCACTGTCGGGTTTTGGTGAGGACCCTCTTCCAAGTTGCAGACTGCTGACTTCTTGCATTCCTCATACAGTGGAAAGAGAACAAGCCAGCTCTCTGGCCTCTTCTTATAAGGGCACTAATCCCATTCATCAGGGCTCCACCCTCATGACCTAATTACCACCCAAAGGCCCCACCTCCAAATACCATCACATTGGGGATTGGATTTCAACACAGGAATTTGGTGGCAGGGGTGTGGGGCACAAACACCTTATAATATTTGCCATATGTTTTAAAAAAATTTTAAGTATAAAGTCAACATCCACCACACTATATAAAAGAGAGACCTGGAGTGGTGGCTCATGCCTGTATTCCCAGCACTTTGGGAGGTCGAGGAAGAAGGATCACTTGAGCCCAGGCATTTGAAAGTGGCCTGGGCAAGAAAACAAGACCCCATCTCTACAAAATAATAAAAAACTAGCCAGGTGTGGTGGCGCATGCCTGTAGTCCCAGCTACTCGGGAGTCCGAGGCAGTAGGATTGCTTGAGCCCAGGAGTTTGAGGCTGCAGTGAGCCATGATTGCGCCACTGCACTCCAGCCTGGGCAACAGAGCAAGACCCTGTCTCTAAAAAATAAAAATAAAAAAATGAAAAAAGGGAAAAGACGATTATAATCCTACCACCTAACAAACTGTTTTCATTTGAGTCTTATCTTTGTCTTTATTCTGATGAATTCATATTTTATATAGTTAAAATCAAAGCATAGGTACACAGTTTTTGGTGGTTTCTTCATTTCATTATATAATGATTTCCCTCAAAGTTCTAGGCATTATAAGATGAAGACGACAGAACACAGATATCATGTAGCTGCAGTAAGCATTGGGATGGCTGCACACCATTCTGTGGAACGGATATAGAGTCATTTGTTAACCAGTGATACTGACAGAGAGCAAGCAGATCAGTGAAGACAGGAGCAGGGCCCCCGAGCCCTGAGAAAAAGCAGGGACCTTGCCAGGTGAGGAAAAAAATGGTATGAGGTAGGGCTACACTACGCTCCCAGAGACGTCTCCATGGACAGTGAGCTCTTTAGAGGGGAAAGGAGTAAGCTTTTGAACCATTTGAATTATTTAGAAGAAAAAAACACAGTGCCTTTCTTACACACTTTTCAGAATTTCCTGTGTTTTCACCTGCCATTAGCTGGTTACTGTTTGGGCTTCCTTTCATGGTGGTAAACACAGTTTGTTTTGTTTAGCCATTTCCTTCCCCCTCAAATACCAACACAGATCAATTCAGTCTTTGCCTGAGTCATACATGGTTCATGTGTCTCTTTCCTTCCATCTATCTCCCCTTAATTCACACTATTTACTGAACTCCTCCTGTGCACCCAAGTCTCCAGAAGGAGCTGGAGAAGGAGCAGGGTGGCAGGGGTGGGAAGGGGACAGCTGTGTGGAAGGCAGCGGGGCTGGAATCCTGGCATCTAGGCCCTTTCACGCTCCCACTCAGAGGGCTCTCTCTTCAGGCCAGAAATGCTGATATTTAATGAGCACTTACTAGATGGTTATTTGTCCATTTTATAGACAGGGAAATTGAGGCCTGCCAGTGTTAATTGACCTTTCTACGGCCTAGAATCTGAAGTTGGTGCAGCCTCACTGAAGCCCTGGCTCAGCCATGGTTGCCACCCATCCTGTCTGAGCTTTGAGAACCACAGAGACAAGACAGGCGGCAGGGCTGTGATTTTAGACACTCTTGTCTTAGGTGTCTCAAGGTGGGGGTCACTTTGGAGCCTCAGCCAACCCCACTGTGATTGGATCTCCTGCCTACAGCCTGTTTCAAAGGGAAGTGGAGTTTAGGGAGACAGTCAAGAGGATGGATGGAAGAAAGGGGCTGGTTAACCTGAGAGGAGAGAAAGTAACTACCCACCCGTCAGAGCCTGGGGCTGATAAGGGAGGGCTCCTGGAAGACAGAGCTGGTGCTTCTCTCCACCTCTGAGCTGCTTTCCCTCCAGGGCCACTGGCTTCTGCAGGCGTTGTTGTCTTTTGCTCCTAAACAGCAAAAAGAGACTAATTGCCTTTATTGCCATGTTAAAATCAATAGAGCCACTCACCCTGAGTTCAAAATGATACGACCTAGGGAATGAAATTGGGACCACCTGTGGTTTGTTTCCTATTAGCCAGGCACAGAACAGTTTCTTGTTTCCCTTGGAATGAAACACAACCTGAGTCCTGGAGGAATAGTTCTCAAATGCATCCGGATCTCCTGGAGAGCCTGTTAACACACAAGCTGAGCTCCATTCCCAGAGTGTTTGATTCGGGGATTCTGGGGTGGGGCCCTGAGAATTTGTATTTCTAAGTTCTCAGGTGATGCAGATGCTGCTGGTCCCAGATGGGACTCTGAGAACCTCTATACTAGGTCATCTCTCAGACTTGGGCCTTTGTTCTCATCTTCCCCCTCCAAAACCTAACATAATCCACTACATGTGGTAGAGAGCCATCAAAAAGAGAGTTTCAGTCAAGGGGCTCTGGCTAAGTCCTGGAGCTGAGCTGCCCCCTCCCTTGCTCTGCTCACACCTTTCACCCCTCAGACTGAAACCCTCCGTTACCTGCTGCTATGCAGGGATTAGGATTAGAACAGGGCTGAGTGGGCTGGTACGGGGAGGGCCCTGCTGTGGTGTTGGTTTAGCTCCTTTTAGCACAAGGAATTTGATGAGCTAAGCATTTTCCACGGCAAGTGCATAAAAAAGATTTCTTACCATTTTTTGAAAGAAAGAAATATATCCTTTCTCTTGAGTCATCACTATTGTTAGTTGCTGAATGAAAAAAAAAGACTTAAAGCTCTGTTCTTTGAACACTTTTCTCTGGGTGCCTTTCTGTAGCTGTAGAAGATCTCTTGGGTTAAATTTTAATAATTGTTAATGGCTTCACACATAGGGGGTGTCTTGCCCTCCTGTGTAGGGTGTCACTGCCCAGGACGTGGCTTAGCCGGGTCCTGGGAACAGCTGCAAGGACTGTTGGAGAAAGGGGCAGGGGGCACTGGCTGGGGAGAGGGCCGAGAAGATCTCCTTTGAGAGATGGGGAGGGAGATGTGAGGCTGAGAATCTAGTATTGAGTTTCTAAACTTCTGATCTGCAAAGTGGTTTTTTTTTTTGTTTTTGTTTTTGTTTTTTTTTTTGGTAGAGACAGGGTCTTGCTATGTTGTATGTTACCCAGGCTGGTCTTGAGCTCCTGGCCTCAAGTGATTGTCCCGCCTTGGCCTCCCATAATGTTGGGATTACAGATGTGAGCTACGGTGCCCCAAAGTGCTCTTTTTGTTGAACAGTGTGTGAGCCCAGCTACCTGGAGGGTGTGTCTACCTGCCTGACCCTCAGCCATCGCAGCCTCATGACGGCTACACCCCGCACATTATCATACCCCTCAAATGTGCCTTCCAACCCCACACAGATTTCTTGTGGTTCCCATCCTGGTGAATCTTCTCAGTTATCCACATTACAGACCTCAGTGGAATCTTCCACACCACCTGGCTCATGATGGTCTCTGCTCCTTGCCTTTCACGTTCTTCAGAGGCTAGTGACTTCCTAAAGTGAGGATTGAGGAAATAACAACCACGATAAGAGTTACAGCTGACCCTGGAGTGTTTCCTGTGCACCAGGAGCCCGTTCCAAGTATCTGTATTTATTCACTCGTGTCATCTGTAGCAGCCCCAACACATAGGTTAGGACCTGTCACTAGTCCCATTTATAGGTAAGGAAGCTGAGGTGCTGGGAGGTTGCATGATGTGCCGAGCATCTCACAGCCAGCAAATAGCAAGTAGCTAGACCGCTTCCTCCCTGGCAGGTCTGAAGCACATGATTCCTAGCCCCAGCCTTCCTAAGGGCCCCTAACAGACGGTGGCCTTCCCCTGGCATCCAGAGTGGCTCTGCTGACTGGAGCAGTCAACTGTTTCTCCTCTGCAGTTCCTGAAGGAAGGAGAAAAGGGGGAGGCTGGTGGGTTCAGGTTTCGTAGACCTAAGAGGCCAGCTGCCCTGTGACCCCTCCTGAGTTGGGGCTTCTTTTTGGGGGATTAGGGAGGAGAGTTATAAGAGAAAGAGGTGCGGAGAGCAGGGAGCACCTGAGAGAGGGCTGGAAGAAGTGGTAAATAGATGGACCTGCCCAATGAGAGTAGCCAGCGTGTGCATGTGAGGGGCAGGTAGCACAGAGGGAATGTATTCCTTGTCTAACTTGGCATATAGCCAAAAGCTAGGTGTAAGTTAGTAAACTACAGCCTTCAAAACAGCCCCTGGGAAAGGCCCTGCTTTGGAGGGTAGAAGGACATATAGGAGGCTCCCAGAGGTACGGGTGTGCCTCCCTGCTGGGCATGGGCCCGCCTGCTGGGGGCAGCAGCAAAAGGAAGCAAGTAGCCCGGAGGAAAAAAAGAACTATGTGTGTGACTGTGTGGTGGCCAGGAGAGAGGGAGAGGGTTCAGCACACACAGGGAACCCCAGGCAGCTCCCAGAGCCCAGGGGAAGCATTCCTTTTTGTAGTTGAATGATCCCAGGGGAGCAAAAGGCTGGCTGGAGGAGAGGGAGAGGAATTCTGCTTGGAGGAGAAGGTCTGGGGCCAAACTGCCCCAGCTAAGGTGACTGGTCCGTGTGTCTGCATCTTAAATCTGAGACCATTGGTTCCTTTGCACCTGTGTAGTATCCTCAGGGAGGGTTCCCAGGGCGCTCGTCTGGTGTTGCCCCTCTTTGAGGCACCTCACTCATTGACCATTAAGCAAGCATCGAGTGGGTGTCAGTTTAACAAGTGTCTTGTGTTCAGTGCCAAGGCCAGGGGCAGGTACAAGGCATGCTGAATGCAGCCCCTGCCACAGGATCCATGTTTCAATAGGGAGGGAGACGCAGAACTTTGCGTAAAACTGAAACCTTATGGGGCGGGCCCTGTGGTGTCTAAGGCCACACTGGGAGTCTCAGATCCTGCCAAAGGACAGGGGAAAAGGGAGCAGCTGGTGGACATGGGGAGGAGGCAGGATGGACGGGGCGCCTGAAGGAATTAAGTGGGATTTCGGTTGGAGAGGAAAAGCAAAGATGGCAGGGAGAGACGAGGCCCTCAAAACTGAGCTTGTTCGTCAGATGGGAGATGGACATCCAAGCCTCTCCATGAGGTCTGGCACGTGATCTGGGGCACGGTCTGTTCTGCAGTCATAGCTGCTGGCCTGCGGGACCTGCAGGCAGAGTCCCTGATACTCACTCTCTGTGAGTTAAGGCCAGATGCAGGCTTCAGACACCTTTAACTGAGAAGCAGGTGGGTGCTGGCCTGGGGTGCCAGGGAGCTGAGGGTAGAAGGAATGTATTAATGCCAGCAGCTGCTCTCTGATCCTGGCCCTCTGTGACTTCCTCTTCACCCATTGTAGCATACCAGCCAGACTGTGAAGGAATGAATGAAGTGGGTAGAGAGGTTCCCGGTCAGGCTGTTCCAGGCAGGATAAGATAACCCTGGTTCTCTGCACTCCAGAGAGCTTGTGCTACCAGCTTTTGATGCTAGAAAACCCCAGGTGGGAAATGGCCCTCTGAGTAGACTGGACATGAAGCTGGTGATGATTACTGCTTCAGCAGGGACAGAATAACCACTTTCAAAATAACACCCCGAATGGCTTAGCACAATACAAGTTGATTTCTCTCCCCATCACGGTCCAATGCAAGTCTGCATCAGCACTGCCTGTTCATTCAGGAACCCAGATCTCCCTGTCTAAGAGCTCTGCTGTCTTCCTGAGTGGTGGCTCCCACTTGGAGTGTCAGAATCACCTGAGGACTTGTGAAAATACATTGCTGGGTCCCCACCTCCAGAGGAAAGGTCCTGAGAATCTGCATTGCCAACAAGTTCTCAGAGGATGCCGATGCTGCTGGTCCAGGGAGCGCACTGAGAATCCCCGCTCTAGGGCTTCGTGGTTCCTCACTAGAGCTTCTGCTTCAAGGGGTGAGAGAGCAGAAGTCAGACACAATGGCCCCACTTCACTCCAAGGAAGCCTGAGAAATGTAGTCCTTTTGTGCACCCAGGAGGAAAATCAAATGGTATTGTCTGTGCCACAGTGAAAAGGGGCAGCACAGAGCCGGGTTTAACCTGGTATCTGCCTGAAATACTAGATATCAAAATGCATTTCAAATGGATGGGCAAGTCAGCCAAGAGTGTCACTGACTCATAGGCATACATGCCTTTCAAGAAGGCAGATCATGAATGGAGGTCATTACTAATGTATAACTTGTCCTATTGTGCTAGCACCAAGGGGAGTCACCTAGGACTTGGGTTCCTAGGATGGATGGCCCGTGGTGTCCCTAGTCCAAGCTTTATATCCTAGGCCTAGGGAAGAATGCGTCAGACAGTAGTCAGATCATCATTGGACCTGATGGACTTTGCTTCTGACATTTCCATGATTTTGACATGTCTTTCTTGGTGTCTTTGCTGCCTGGTGTCTCTCAGAGCCCATAACCCTGCTGGCTTGAATAAGGCAGTAGGTGTTTTATATTCAGAATCTTAGCCATGGTGAATAAGCATGTCATATATAGTTCAGCCCTGATTTTGGGGAAAATCATCGGGCGAGTCAGCAAGTTTATGTCTGTGCCGAGCATTCTGGAGGATGTAAGAGAACATGACTCCAGGCTGTTTGGAGAGGCAAAAGCAACCCAAATAAAGTAAGTGAGGACTTAGTGCAGACTGCAAGTGTATTAGCCAGAGGTGGCATTACAGAGCCCAGCTCAGGATACGGAATGGCTCCAGCAACTCTGTACTGCTCAACCCACTTCTGGAGCTTCAGGCTTAGTTCTAGGAGCTGCAGTTTCACCAGGACTTAGACAAACAGATGATAGCAAGGGTCTGGGAGGCCTCTGCCTGGAGAAGAGGGAAAGTCAAGGGGCATTTCAGCCATTGAAATCTTTGTAAAGTTGGGTCGTGGTTGTGGGAAGAGAGGTGATACAAGGTGTCATTCCAGGAAGGAAAGCTAGGCCTAAGTTCTCTCCTCTTCTCAGTGGAGTGAGGTTGTTTTTTGTCTTGGGGTATGTAGGCACCAGAACTGTTCACACAGTTTGGCAGATTTCATGTTAAGGAAATGACTTTGGGAAGAAAAGGAGGTGTCCATGTGGGTTAGAAATCTGGAAGGGCATTTTCCATGGAGCGAGCCTTTAGCCAAGCTCTAAAGGCCAGGTAGGATTTGGGTGAGCAGGAGGAGAGGACGCTGCAGTCAGCAGATGGGCAGTGAGGCGGGGAAGAAAGGCGGAACCAGGCCTGGTATCAGAGCTGGGGCTGGCAGGGGAGAGGCAGTGTTCGGGAAAGTGGAGTCCGCCTGAAGATTGTGGGACCTTCCGTGGGGAAGGTAACCCGGAAGCAGTTTCAGATTGGGTATTGGAGGAGAATGAGCGGACAAGGAGCAAATTTAAGAGCCAGCTTTCAGGAAATAGGTCTATAGTCCTTGGTGGTTCTGGTGTCTAGATGATGCTGGTGATTATGAAGTCTCTTTGCAGCCCCAGCCCTTGGAGCATGCAGGTGGAAGGCCAGATTCCTCACCTGGAGAGCTCCGCAGAAGATGATCTCATCAACCTACCCTTTTCTTGGCCCATCTTCATGGTGTGTAAGGACAAGGCTGCAGCACTTGGACCCTCTCTCAGGGGATGCTGCTGTGCTTAGACTGAGGTGGCCCTGCTGATGTTCCCTGCCCTTGGTATAGGGGCGGGACAAGGCTAGGGAAACTAACGGCTGTGCTCCCCTCTCTTCTACCTGGGCTAGGTCTTTGCTGTTCAGTTTGGCCAGGCGGGCTGGGCTGTCACATGAGTGATCCCTTCTGATCCTCACAGCACCCTTACAAGGCAAAGACTCTTAGCAGCCAATCTGTTTTGTTTCTGACTGAAACAAGCTCAGAGAGTCAAGGGCCTGGCCCAGGGTGTCACAGCAAAGTTCAGTGACAGGTTCTACCTGTGTCTTAGTTCTCTGACTCCACATCTAGAGCTTGTTCTCTTCCACCATTCAAGATCTTTTATAGCCCCAGATGAAGAATTTCATGTTTCTTAGGAAAGTGACTACCTGGGCAAGGACTTAGCGACGCCTGAGAAATTAGCTTCAGGAGAGTGTGCCCTAGTAATGATAAGTGACGTAATAACCAGCCTGTATTGAGGGTCTACTCTGTGCCAGGCCAGCGTTTGAACTCATGAATCTGCATCACAGCATTTTTTTTTTTAAGAGATGGTGTGTTGCTCTGTCACCCAGGCTGGAGTGCAGTGGTGCTATCGTAGCTCACTGTAGCCTCAAACTCCTAGGCTAAAGCGATCCCCCTGCCTCAGCCACCCCATTAGCTGGGACTACAAGCAAGTGCCACCACACTCAGCAACATCACGTCTTACAGAAGAGGAAATGGGAGGCACAGAGAAGAGAGAGGTTAAATGAGCTGTCTGGGGTCACACAGGTAGAGCCAGTCTCAAGCAGGAGCCAGCCGATAGTCTCACACTGAACCACAGGGCAGCCAGAGCTCCTCATGGAAGCTCGCTTGTTTATGTGGCCCAGCTCCAGAGAGGGTTGTCCTGTCTATCTCTGCTTGTGGGTTTTCTGGGGAGGCTGCATTGGAGAGAGAGGATGTGTCTCAGCCTGACACACCACACTCTGCTGAGGTTGTGGCAGTCCCTGGCTTGGGGTTAGGACATCTTAGGAAGTGGCAGCTCACGCCTGTGGCGGGTTTTTGTGATGGGCTGATAGAGAGGAAGGTGGTCAGAACTGGGAGGGCCCTCACTGTGCGGGTAGCCCCATGTTGGTGGAGGCCTCCTAGTCTGTTTGTATGCACTGCTGCCTCATTTAACTTGAGACTTAGATCCTCGGAGCAGCCTGCCAGGAGATACGAGTTTACCTCCCAGTCAGGAGACAACACAGGGGATTTTTTTTTTTTTTTTTTTTTTTTGAGACGGAGTCTCGCTCTGTCGCCTAGGCTGGAGTGCAGTGGTGCAATCTCGGCTCACTGCAAGCTCTGCCTCCCAGGTTCACTCCGTTCTCCTGCCTCAGCCTCCCGAGTAGCTGGGACTACAGGTGCCTGCCACCACGCCTGGCTAGTTTTTTGTATTTTTTAGTAGAGACGGGGTTTCATCGTGTTAGCCAGGATGGTCTCAATCTCCTGACCTCGTGATCCGCCTGCCTCGGCCTCCCAGAGTGCTGGGATTACAAGCGTGAGCCACCGCGCCCGGCCGCAGGGGACTTTATTTTAGAGCCCGATCAAAGTAACATGGAAAAGCTAAAGGTTCTCTGAGCTGCAGTGGCTCCTCCTTTCCATGAGGGGGCGCCATCCAGAGTCAGCGCTTCCTCTGAACACATCCCACTTGAATGGGACAGGCAGCCATGGTAGCCATAGAGCATATGGGCCCACACTGCTTGCATTTAAATTTTCACTCCTGTTGTTTCCATGATGAGCATTCCTCAGGTTCTATGCCATAAATTTATAATTTGGGAAATATGGTCACCATTACCATATGGCTCCCATTGTGTCTTCTAATTTAGCAAAGATGATAAATTTGTTTCCTGAAAATTTTAGGGTTAAAAGCATTCAATTGGATTTGATTCGTTGGGAGTTGGTGATGTGCCTGATGTATCTGTAACAGGAATATCCCATTCTTCAACCATGCTGCACACAGAGTTAGGAGTCCCAAAGAAGGCATTTGCCTGAATAATTCCATAAAACGTGTATGTAAAAGAAGTCATAAACGGAGGAAGGAAAATACTAGGTAGGTAATAAAGACATTTTTCATACTTTTATCCTGTTTGGAATATAAATTCTTTGTTCTCAGCTAGATTTGTACTGTACTAATGAGGAAAGGTAAACAACAACGAACTGCCACCCTTTGACATGTATATACACTCCTTTTCTTTGCATGTGAGTTGGTGGATACCATGTATAAATGTCTGCACATGTTGGCTGAGTGTAGTTTGGTGAACATACTCCGTCCCCTGCCCCCAGCCCTGACTAAGATGCAGCACCAGATACACATTTTGGAAGAACTGACCTTATTGTTGTCAAGTAGGTGGAACTTGTCAGAACGTCATCTTTTTCCTCTTACCCCTCCCACCCTCATTCATTCTCCAAGTGCCCTTTTCATTTCACTTCCTTTTAGATCCTCCTCTCAGCTGTCAGCTAAAGAAGACCTGATACTCTGATTCACCCCAAGATTCAAAGCTCTCATTTCTTATCTCTCCCAGAAGAATTTTCTGGATGAGCCTTTAAGCCAAAGGTATGACTGTCTAATAGCGGAATTTCAGTCATCTGGGACAGACTAGATGGGGAGATGTTAAGGAAAGAGACTCTTCCTGGTGTACCCAGAATTATAGAACTCAGATGTCCTCATGTGCCCTGTGTTTCTTGCTAAAAGTTGTATAGTTTTGTGTTTTACATTGAAGTCTTAAGTCTTACATTTAAGATCCATTTTGAGTTACTTTTCATATAAGGTGTAATGTTTAGGTTGAGGTTGATTTTTTTCCCCCTCCTGTAGATGTCCACTTGCTGTAGCACACTTTGTTGAAAGGACTACCTCTCACCATTGAATTGTTTTTACACCTTTGTAAAAAAGCAAGTGGGCAATTTGTGTTCTCTATTGTGTTCCATTGATCTCCATGTCTAGCCCTCTACCAAGACCATGCTGTCACAGTTACTGGAGCTATATAGTAAGCCTTAACACTGGGAAGAGAGATTCCTTTATTCTTTTTCAAAATAGTTTTGGCTCTTCTAGGGCCTTTCTCTTATGTTCACAAGGAAACTTATACATGTGAATGTTCATAACACCTTCATTCAAAATAGCCTCAATCTGGAAACTATCCAGATGTTCTTCAGTGGTGTATGGTTGACCAAACTGTGGTATATCTATACCATGGAATACAGCAATAAAAAAGAAAAAATTATTGATCACATGCAACAATATAGGCGAGCCTCAAGGAAATGATGCTGAACGAAAAAGTCAGTCTCCAAAGGTTATATACTGCATTTGCCATTTATATAACATTCGTGAAATGACAAAATTATAGCGAGGGGGAACAGATGAGTGGTTGCCAGGTGCTAGGGATGAGGGGAATAAGGGATAGGTGTTGCTCAAAAGGGGTAGCATGAGAGAATCTGGTGGTAATGGTACAGTTTAGTATTTTGATTGTGGTTGTTACACAAAGCTACACATGTGACAAAATTACATAGGGCTACACATACACACACACACACGAGTGTTTGTAAAACTGGTGAAATCTGAGAAAGTTCTGTGGAGTGTGCCAATCTCAATATCCTAGTTTTGATAGCATGCTAGTTAGCTATGCAAGACGTTAACATCGGGGGAGGCTAGGCTAGATGCTTGGAACCTCCCTGTACACTTTTTTTCCAACTTCCTATGAATCTATAATCATTTTGAAATAAAAAGTTAAAACAATATTACATTCTGTTTATGTCACATCAAGAATGGCAAACCTGTAAAAATATGGACATACAGTTGCCTCTGCAAAAGGAGGCTTCATCTGATTTCATAACATTTTATTTGTTTAGAAAAACCTGGTCTTGAAGCAAACATAACAAAATGTTAACATTTGTGAATTTAGGATGATGGATTTTATTTGTTGTGTTTTTCCCTGTCCTTTATTATGTGTTTGAATCATTCCATTATTTAAAAAATAAAATAAATGTAAACAAAAGCAATAATTATGCCAGGGTATGTATCTCCCTGGTATCTTGGTCCACTCACAAAAGTGGTCTGAATGTTTAATATTTCCTTAGTAAAACTGCTACTTGGTCACAGGCTTCTCTCCATGAATTACTAACTCCGGGTTGGGAAGCCTAAGAACATAATCCATCTTTTTTATTATGACAAGCTAATTTAATTTTAATTGCTCCTTATAGTATTGCATTATGAGGAGGAACTATCTTTAATTATCTTTTTGGGGGGGTGTTTCTAAAGTAATGTGATCTCAGAAGCAGAGCATCGTCCCTTCCAAAGTAGCCACCTGACTGTGAACTTAAAATATTTGTGTGCAACAGTGTAAATAGACTTCTCTGCTCCTCCAACTGGTGGAGGCTGCCCTTCCCCCCGAAGCAATTAAAAGAATTCCAGATGGGTGATTCTCCCCTTCCTGGTCCTATTTAAAAATACAAGTGTCGCTTCGGGGATTTTTTTTTTCCTGGAATATACCAAGTGAGTGACACAAGAATTGGGACTCTCCATTCCTGATTTAAATATTGGCCGTGTCCTTTCGAGATCATTTTTCTTGGTGACATGTTAGACAATCTCAGGTCAGTCTGTGTCCTTAAAGATCACTGTGGGTGTCAGGAATGCTGCTTACAGATGTACATGATGGGCACATGGAGGCGCCCTTCAGGGCCTTTGGCTCAGATCCCCATCCTGCTCTTAAAGAAAAGGGCATTCTGTTATTTATTTGTTGGATTTTAATTTCTGCCTCTAGCCCTCTAAGGCTTCTCCATGTAGTGCCATCCTCTGCTGCTGTTACCACCATCAGGGGTGGGGGTAGGGGTGCTGTACAGTTGGCGGCCAGAGGATGCCATTGAAAAGTGGAGAAGTCTTCACACTGCTCTTTGTGGAAGGACGGCCTCCCTTCCCGTGGGCAAACCCCGGGGCTGGAGCCCTCCCAGCTGCCCAGTGGCTTTTGTGTGTGTGCAGCTTTCAGCTCCTGTCCATCAGGCTGAAAGGGCCCATTCAGGGGCATTCATGCGCCTCCGAGACCCCGGCCGCCTGGACACAATCAGCTGAGAGGGGCGCTGCGAGCCTTGCACATGAGAATGCGCCCACTCGGCCTGCCTCCAATTGTTTGGAGAAGCCCAGGGCCCGGGAGTGAGCCCAGAGGAATGACACTGGACAGCCACTTGGGGTTCATTCATTCTGTGCACTTGGAGCCTCTGGAAGGGAGGGGTGGGAATACCTTGCAGTGAGCTGGGAATGAGCAAGTTCAGGGCTGCTAGGGCTTATCTTTGGTCCTGACCTTCAGCTTTTATCTTTGTGTACACCTCTTGGAGCCCCTGCTTAAGGGTAGAGACCTTGTCTTCTTTATCTTTATAGTCCCACATACCTGAGGCACTCAGTAAGTCCTTGTTGAAGGAGTGAACTACATTGCTGCTCCTTTCATATAGCCCCAGGCACACTGATGTACTTTACTGTCCTTTGAAGAGGCCACAGAATATTTTGCCTCTTGGGGTGTGATCACCTTACTGAAAAGACTGGGCTCACCTCTTAGGTCAAGGAGAGTAGACTTTGAGATCTTGGAGGGACGAAGGACATTTTCAAGGTGGGAAGTTGCCGTAGAACAGAGTGCTGATGGCCAGGGATCTGCATTTGGAATTTGAGAGGCTGAGTAAGGAGCACCATAGGCCTCTGCAGAGGCCAGTCTTGGGTGGCTGGTTTGCAGGAAAGGGCAGGACCTGGTGCTGACTTGGAACCAGTTGGTGGTAGATGTGGAGATGGGAGAATGGACTTCATGGACACTTACCATATGGCAGCCAACACCCTGGGAACCTCTGGCACCTGATGACTGACCTAGGAACATGGGGGAATGAAAAGCACAGGCCAAGATGCTAAGGAGCCTTTGTGTTTCTTAGTTTTACAAAATTGTGTTTAAGGATCACAGCAGCAGCAGTCACAGTAGTAGCCAAAGAGATAGTAGAATCTTCTATTTATTGGGAACTTACTGGACTAAGAGCTTTGTACATAATACTTCACTGACTTAAGCTGTTCTGTTGTTATATACACCCACGTATGAGTGGTAAGTGCTGCAGGCATTTTAAGGTAGGAAAGGTTATTATTCCCATTTATGGACGCAATACCTGAGGCTCAGAAATATTAAGTGGCTTCCCAAGGTGAGTGGCAGAGCTTCAGTGGAAACGGGGGCTTAGGCTCTTAGCAACTGAGGCGAGGGCTGCTGCCAGCATTAATGACTCTGGTGCAGTGAACTGAGTTATCTTTATAATTTCTCCTTCAATTTTAAGTGTTAAGAAAGAAGGAAGAAAAGGAAAAATACCTCTACTAGTCTTTAAGAGCCTTATAACTTATTTGGAGAAACGCAGCACACAATATAGAAACACTTGCCAAGCTGCCAGTGCCGAGTGGTGGTATCAGTGCTGAGGACAGATAGGGAAAAGCTTTCCTACTTGTCACATACCCTGGGGAGGTGATCACAAACCCACTGCATGGCCTTCCTCCCAAGGAAGGAGTTAGGTTGCCCCATGGCTAAGGGAGGGATGTAGAACCACTTAACATGACATTGGTTTCAAACCCTCTGGTCCCGCCAGCTTCTTCTGTTAGGCACAGGTGCTATGTGACATCTCACAGACCCTGATCTGGTGCCAGCCCAGGCCAGATCACCAAACCCTGCCTGGCCTCAGCTCCCTGCACTATGCAATGGTATAGAAGTGGGATGGCACCTCTCATAGGGTTAGTTAGTATTTGCATGCTGTGTGCTCTGTACTACTCTGTTTAGTGCATTTAGAAGTTGATTTCCTTGGCACGTGACTCATGCCTGTAATCCCAGCACTTTCGGAGGCTGAGGAGGGCAGATCACGAGGTCAGGAGTTCGAGACCAGCCTGATCAACGTGGTGAAACTCTGTCTCTACTAAAAATACAAAGATTAGGTGGGTGTGGTGGCAGGTGCCTGTAATCCCAGCTACTCGGAAGGCTGAGGCAGGAGAATCGCTTGCAGCTGGAAGGCAGAGGTTGCAGTGAGCTGAGATTTTGTCACTGCACTCCAGCCTGGGCAACAAGAGTGAAACTCCATCTCAAAAAAAAAAAAAAAAGAAGTTTATTTTATTTCCTCATTGGATGTGACCAACTTCCTACAAAGGGAAGAAACTTCATCTTCAAGTCCCTAGGATAAAGCTTTTCATAGGGAGGGGACAAAAATTTAACTCCAGGTCACCAAGAGAAGTCATTTTGCAGCATGGAACTTAGTGCACTTTTGTTTTCACTATGGTCCCAGAATCCATTTGTCCTCTGACAAGGGGACTCTGTGCTGCATAGGGCTGGGTGTTCCAGCTATGTAGCCCTGTGCCTGATGGCAGGTGCAGCCACAGTTAGCTGAGGGGCAGTGGTCTCCATTCAGAGGTCTGCTTCCTTCTACCCTATTTCACCCTAATGAAGATATGTCATCTTGCAAATGACTACATGTTTTCTATCCTCCTCATTTCTAATCCTGAATTTAAGCATTGGAAAGAGCTTGAGCAAATCAGTCAGCTACCGCCCCTCTCCCCCAAACTCAGTCTAGTCATCTGCAAAATGGAGCTAGCAGTGAAAACAGTATGTATTAAATGAGATGATACATGTGAAACATGTAGAGCTCTAATTTTATTTTTTTTTTATTTATTTTTTTGAGACAGAGTCCCGATCTGTTGCCCAGGCAGTGGTGTGATGTTGGCTCACTGCAACCTCCGCCTCCCGGATTCAAGCGATTCTCATGCGTCAGCCTCCTGGGTAGTTGAGATTACAGGCATGTATGCCCAACTGATTTTTGTATTTTTAGTAGAGATGGGGTTTTCAGCATGTTGTTCAGGCTGGTCTCGAACTCCTGGCCTCAGGTGATCCATCTGCCTCGGCCTCCCAGAGTGCTGGGATTACACGTGTGAGCCGTGGCACCTGGCCTAACTAATCTTTTTTTTTTTTTTTTTAAGTGCACTGCACTGAAGTGCAGTGGTGTGATCACAGCTCATTGCAACCTTGAACTCCTGGGCTCAAGTGATCCTCCTGCCTCAGCCTCCCGAGTAAGTGGGATACAGGCATGCACTACCATCCTTGGCTAATTTTTTTTAAATTTTTTGTAGAGAAATTTTTGTTTCTCTACCAAGTTTTTGTTGCCCAGGCTGGTCTTGAACTCATGGCCTCAAGCAATCCTCCCACCTCAGCCTCATAAAGCACCAGGATTACAGGCATAAGCCACTGTGCCCGCTCTGTCTTATCTAACTGGGTAATCACTCAATAAAATTAAGTTCTTATTTTTTCATTTGAATGAATTGTATCGATACCTGGGAGAAGCCAAAGGTTGCTTTGTTAGTTGTAACTCCGCTGACTGACCACCTTTGCTGTGCTTGATATTTATGTAGAGCACTCAGGCTAAAATGCCCATGGCTTCCCTGTCCTTTTATTCTCGTGGGTGATGGCGAGTAGAGCACAGAGGGCCAAGTGACTTGTCCAATCTGCGTAGACAGTAACAGTTCCCCATCCATGGCTCTTTCCACAGCTGAGGAGCCAAAGTCTCAGGCAGGTCTCAAAGCTGGCAAGTTTAAACTAAGTGATATTTAGTCTGGGTGGGATACTGATCATGCATTTTTCTTTCTTTTTTCTTGCTCTAAAGGGCATTATTAGGGCCGGGTGCAGTGGCTCATGCCTGTAATCTTAGCACTTTGGGAGGCCAAGGTGGCAGGATTGCTTGAACCCAGGAGTTCAAGACCAGCCTAGGCAACAAAGCGAGACCTCATGTCTATATTTAAAAATAAATAAGTAAATAAATAGAGGGCATTATCAGGACAGCTGGCAGCATTTGAATAAAGTCTGTGGATTGAGTGATAGTATTCTACCAGCGGTAGTTTTCTGTTCTTTGTTCCTTCTCCTCTACCACTGCTCCACTTGACTAGCCTTAAAAAATAAAAAGCAATTAAAATAAATAAGATGGCAATTTTATGACTAGGTAAACTGGTATTGTAAGAAAATGTCTTTTTTGGGAAATACAGAAGTATTTAGACAAAAGGGGACATCATGTGTGCATCTTACTCTAAAATGGTTTGGGGAAAAATGCATATAGAGAGAGAGATAAAGTAAGTGTAGTTAAATGTTAACATTTGGGGTATGTAGGTGAGTGGTATGTGGAAGTTCATTTTACTATTCTTGCAACTTTTGTATAAGTCTGAAATTATTTTAGTATTTAAAAGTTTAAAAAAAAAAAGGCCCTCCTGTGGCTGAGGTGGTAGGAGGGTTAGTGTGAAAAGATGGGAGAGGGGCTATGGGATGGAGAGGGGTGGGGCAGAACCCTGGAAGGTGACCCCCTGGGAGTGGATGGCTGAAGACATGTGAATGAAGAGAGGAGAAGGGGGGAATAAACTGAATAAGAAAAGTCCCCCAAACAGAGCACCTTCCCACCGAAACAGGAGGGATTACCTTCGGGAAATGATGTGGGCAGACTCTAAGGCATTGCCAAGTTGGAATTACAGAATTCAGGAGTGGTGGCTCACACCTGTAATCCCAGCACTTTGGGGAGGCCAAGGCGGGTGGATTACTTGAGGCCAGGAGTTCGAGACCAGCCTGGTCAACATGGCAAAACCCCATCTCTACTAAAAATACAAAAATTAGCCGGGTGTGGTGGCGCACGCCTGTAATCCCAGCTACTTGGGAGGCTGAGGCAGGAGAATCAGGCTGATAATGAGCCAAGAGAAGAGGAGAAACCAAGTCTGCCAGGAGAAATATGAATTTGGACCTTGGAGAATGAAAATTGTAGGAAAAGTAGGCAGGGTAGATGGGCAGGGAAACCCAAAGCATGGTCAGGGCATCTTCTGAGGATGATGGGGATCCTGCAACTAAGCCAGCCAAACTTGAGTCTAGAATTGTGTGCCCCCAGGTGCCCTTGAGCCCAGGGTAAATAGCTGGTGTGATTACAGCAACCAGCAGTGTGTGCCATATCACAGTAAACACTCCAGGAGTGGGTTCTCACAGAAGAATCAGGAGGAAACCCCTGGCATGAGATTCAGAGCAGAATCCCCCTCAAGTTCTTGGATGGTGGCAGCAGCTGCTGTGGAGTCTCTGTTGCAAGCTTTTAGTTCGCAGGCACACTGGTTCAAGTTTAATCACCACAAAAATACTGCTTTGTGTGAAAATAATACATGAGTAGTCCTTATTGCAAAAGGTTCAAAGCAAACAGAAGGAATACATCAGAGGCCTCTTTCAGCTCCACCCCCCAGTCCCACCCCCGAGGTAACAGGTGTGGACAGTTCGTCTCCCTACAGTCCTTTTTCGCAGCATTTGCCCTATGGCGTAGTGGCTGGGACTGTGGGCTTTGAAGCAAGATCATCTGGGTTCACCAACTACCTCCACTACCTACAAACCTTGTAACCTTGAGCAAGTTACCTACCCTTTTCTCTGCCTACATTTTCTCATCTGTAAAGTCAGGATAATAACAGTCTAGACCTAATAGGGTTGTCATGGAGACTGAATGAGTTGGTAGGTGAAAAGAACCAGCACCTGGCACAGTCAGTGCTCAAGAAATGTTAACGTGCATGGGACGTGGTGGCTTATGCCTGTAATTGCAACACTTTGGGAGGCTGAGGCAAGAGGATCACTGGAGCCCAAAAGGTCAAGGGTGCAGTGAGTTGTGATTGTGCCACTGCACTTCATGCTGGGTGACAGAGCGAGGAGACACTGTCTCAAAAATAAATCAATAAATAAGATCTCATTACATATGAAGACCGATTTTCTTGCTTGCTTGCTTTTTGCTTGCTTTTTTGCTTTCCTTTCTTTTTTTCCTTCTTTCTTTTTTTGAGACAGGGTCTCACTCTGTTGCCCAAGCTAGAGTGCAGTGATGGGATCATGGCTCACTGCAGCCTCAACCTCCCAGGCTCAGGAGATCCTCTCACTGCAGCCTCCCGAGTAGCTGGGACTAGAGGGGCACGCCACCACCCCCGGCCAATTTTTGTATTTTTTGTAGAGATGGGGTCTCGCCATGTTGCCCAGACTGGTCTCATAATCCTGGGCTCAAGCCATCCTCCTGCCTCGGCCTCCCAAAGTGCTGGGATTACAGGTGTGAGCCACCATACCTGGCCCTATTTTCTTTCTTAAAAACCATAAAAAGAGTCCTACTCTGAATATTTTTATCAGTAGCATTCTTAGTTTTGAGCAGTAGGTATCAGCTGACTGAGATCAGAAAAAGGATTTCTTTAAAGGACATTGGGGTGGTTCCCAGTCTTGCTGGGATGGCTGTGGACTCAAACCATGGAGACCAGGCAGCAGCCCAGTCTGCACCCACAATAGTCACAAAACCAGAGTGGTGAGGACACTGTGCTGTTGATGTTGCTGGCATTTCCAGCTTCCAGAGTGGGAGGTGAACCCTGCGTCCTGCCAGGACTCATACGAGAAGCAGGGATTCCTAAACTCGGGACAGGAGTTCAGATGCCAGGGGCAAGTGTATCCCTGAATAGTTTATGATTCATTTGAGCCTTTTGTGCCCACATAAACGATGTCATTCTTCTTCTCTTAAAGACAAACTTCGCTATATTGCTTAGGCTGGACTCAAACTCCTGGGCTCAAGGGATCCTCCCACCTCAACATCCTGAGTAGCTAGGACTATAGGCGCAGGCCACTGCACCCAGCACATGTTATTCTGCACATTTACCTGTGCCAGGTGCTGTGCAGCAGTGATTCTCAGCCCAGCAGCACATTGGAATTACCTGGGGAGCTTGGATGATTTGGAATGTCCAGGCCGGGCCTGGTGGTAGGTCCCAGCCATCAGGACTATTTTTTTTTTTTTTAAGAGACAGGGTCTCACTATGTTGCCCAGGCTGGTATTAAACGTTTGACCCCAAGTGATGCTCCCACCTTGACCTCCTAAAGTGCTGGGATTACAGGTGCAAGCCACCACACCCAGCCCGGACTTTATAAGGTTCCAGGTGATTCCAATGTGTAGTCAAGGTTAATAACCACAGCTTCTAGAGGATAGTGCATTTAATAATCACCTCTATATTGGGTAGGTGATGTTTTTCTGAATTTATACATGGGAAACCAAGCCTGAGAAAGCATTCCTGCCTTGCTTTATGTCACCCAGTAAGTGAGGCATTCCCACTGCCCAACCCCTTCCCCTGACTGCAGTGACTGCTGCTGCTTGCCTGGATGGGGAGGAGGAGCAAGCCTCTTCCTCAGCCCCCGGCACTCCCCAGCCACACCAACCTGCCGCAGGCCATCCAAACTCCACGGTTTCAGGGCCTTGCGTGCAGGTTTCTCTGCCTAGGTTGGTGTTACCTCACTTCTCACTTGGACAGTTTCCACTTACCACCCCCAGCCTAAGTAAGTCCTCCTCTTCTTTTTCCTTTGTGTTACTAAAACAGTATGTGATTGTATATGTATTAATATGTATTAATCCGAGCACTTTGCAGGGCCGAGGAAGGTAGATCACCTGAGGTCAGGAGTTCGAGACCAGCCTGGCCGACACGGTGAAACCCAGTCTGTACTAAAAATACAAAAATTAGCCAGGTGCGGTGGCAAACGCCTGTAATCCCAGCTATTTGGGAGGCTGAGGCAGGAGAATCGCTTGAACCCGGGAGGCAGAGGTTACAGTGCACCACTGCACTCTAGCCTGGGCAACAAGAGCGAAACTCTGTCTCAAAAAATATATATATATTTCGGGAGTGGGGTGGCACAAATAGGCAGAATGTCTGCTAAGGCTCCTTGTGGGACAGTGATGAAAGAAACACCAACAAACACTGATGCGACTAAAGGCTATCCTAGGATCAAAAGGCAGTCTACTAAAAGTCCATTAATTAGCATTTGCTACCACTTATCTGTGGAAATTAAGATTTTTTTTTGGTTCTCTGCAATCAAAACAAAATTCAAAAATAAAATATTAGCTGATGTGGCTGATATAAGACAACTGTCAATCGTCACCCTGCCTTTTAGGATGCAGCAAAACACCTTTGTTCTTCTTACAGATTCATCTGATTTTTGTGTTGGAGATTTGAGATTTTGCTCGTTACTGAAAATGTTTCCTCTGCTGAGAGTTTGAGCAGCCTCCTGGTTGTGCAGAGTGGCCAGGGTTGGGCTCAGCTGGCCAGGTGGCAGGTGCAAAGCAGGGTTCTAGAAGAGAGTCTGCCTGTGGCCTCATAGGGGTAACTTACTTCAGTGAGCAGTGTTGGGTGCCTGAGTGAGGAAGTAGAGGTGGCAGAGGAGGGGTCCAGTGGGCTGTCTGGGCCATGTGAGGCTGTCTGCAGGACTCCTCAGAAAGGTTCAGGACTCACGTTCAGTGCAAGGGAAGACAAAGACCTTTATTGCTACAAAGTTGGGTGGGAGACTGAAGTCCTCAGATGGTCTACAAGCTTGAAAACCAAATCAAGTTGACCAACAACCTTCAGTTACAGTCATGTGGTATTGCTGCGACTTCTGAATTTCCCATTTGGGGTTTTATTAGCTTTTAGTAAAAGGCGACATTGTGAAGAAACCCAGATTAGAATTCAGTTTATAAAACAGCTGAGTGAGAAAGTGGGATAGGGGAGCCAGGGAACTACATAGAAAATCATTGAGCAATTACTCAACACAATTAGAGCCCAAACACCACCATCTCATGTGCACTCCTTGAGCTGGCAAGTAGGGAAGGGGGTGCAGAGCCGGAGCTCAGGGAGAGGTGTCCGTGGCTCCCTCACTTCTGGTCTCAGAGGCCTGGAGTGTCCTCTGTTCTGAGCATTTTCCACAGGCAGGGGCTGGTTTCAGGCCCAGACAGACTCCCAAAGCTAAACAAATGAGCAGCCCTCGCTGGCCATGACTTTGCCATTTAGAAGTGGCTTTGGGGCTCCAGAATGAATGGGGAGCCTAATGCAGACCCAACTGACCAACTTCGGCAGCTTTGGGGAAAGTAATAAAAATGAGCCCAGGGGTTTGAGACAAGCCTGGGCAACAAAGTGAGATCCCGTCTCTACAAAAAATTAGCTGGGTGTGGTGGCACACGCCTGTGGTCCTAGCTACTCTGGAGGCTGTGGCAGGAAGATCGCATGAGCCCAAGAGGTTGAGGCTGCAGTAAGCTGTGTTTGTGACACTACACTCTAGCCTGGGTGACAGAATGAGACCCTTTCTCCAAAATAAAAAGAAAAAAGAAAATGAGACCAGTAGTGATCTAAATAAGTGAGCACTTTGGGATGGCTTCCCAGAGATAAGTAGGTGATGTAAACCTCATCTTCCCAGCCCTGTAAAGAAAAAAGGTTTTTTGTGGGGGTAGGAGGAGGCTCCATTTCATCAAATCTGAAGGTGGACTTGAGAGTTTATAGTTTTCCCAGACTGTGAGGCTCCACCCAGGCTTTCTGTCTCTGCCAGTGCCAAGATGCTGCCTGTCCTACCACCTGTGCTGAGAGGGTGTCCCTAATGTCCATGATGGTTCAGGCTGGAGTAACTAGAAAAAGAACTCAGTTTCCTTCCCAAGGAAGAAACTGTAATTCAGTCCCTGCCCAGCTCACAATGGTGATCTCAGTATGTCTCTTAGCCATTTTGCATTTAAGATTCTCTGTCTATAAAATGGCAATCTGCTGATCTTAAAAAAAATGTGGAAGAGACAATAAAATAAAATCCCAGTTCTACTGAGTTCTAACAGCCAGAAACCGTGAGCCATTTAAAATTTTGTTTGTCTCATGTTTATGAGAAAGGATAAAATAACAGATATCTAAACCAACACCAGGGACTCTTTTAAAAGCTCAAATTCTAGGGCAGTGGTTCTCAACTCAGGCTGCACATTAGAGTCAACTGGGGAGCTTTTGAAAACACCAGTCCCCAAACTCCACCCCAGACCAATTAAATCATAATCTCTAGGAAGGAGGTCCAAGCGTCTGTATGTCTTTAAAAGCTCCCCGAGTGATTCTAATGGGCTGCCAGGGTTGGGAGTCATTGTTGGGGTATGCCAGTTGGATATAAAGATTCAGATTTATTTCCAGAAATATTATACAAGATAATTTTTTTATTTCTCTAATAGCTGAAAAATATATCTTATTTATTTATTTTATTGAGATATAAATCACATACCATGAAATTCATCCTCTTATTAAAGTATGCAGTTCAGTGGCTTTAGTATACTCACGGAGTTGTGCAACCATCACCACTCTCTAATTCCAGAAAAAACCCTTAGCTGTTAGCAGTCACTCTCCTTTATCTCCTGACAACCACTCCTCTACTTTCTGTCTCCATGGAGTTGCCCATTCTAGGCATTTCGTCAGATGGAGTCATACAACATGTGGCCTTTTATGTCCAGCTTTTTTCACTTAGTCTAATGCTTTCAGGGTTCACCTATATTGTAGCGTGTATCTGTACTTCATTCCATTTTATTTTTGGATAATATCCCATCGTGTGGATATCCCACATTTTGTTTGTCGATTCATCCATTGGTGGACGTTGGGGTTGTTTCCACTTTTTGGCTATTGTGGACAGTGCTGCTGTGAGCATTCTTGTACAGGTTTTTGTAAGGACATATGGTTTCAGTTATATTGGGTATACAGTTGACCTTTGAACTATGCAGGGGTTAGGACGCCAACCCCTCATGCAGTCGAAAATCCATGTATAACTTTTGGCTCCACAAAACTTAACTACTAATAGCCTACTCTCGATTAACAACTTATTTTGTAGGCTATATGTATTATATACTGTATTCTTACAATAAAGTAAGCTAAAGAAAAGGAAATGTTATTATGAAAACCATAAGGAAGAGAAAATACTGTATTAATACCATAAGTTTACATTGTCTGTCTACAAGAGGAATTGTTTGTCTGAAATGACAGGCAACTACACAGCTGCAGACCTCAATTTCTGGTACATATCAAGCAATTCAACTTTTTCCTGTAATGTCATGACTCTTCTCTTTTCTTGGGAGCACTTTCAGCATCACTAGTGGCACTTCATATGGGGCTCATGGTATTATTCAGGGTTTATGGTATTGCACTAAACACGATGAAAACTACATGAGAACCGCAAGAGATCACTTTTTACTGGAATAAGCAGTTTACTGGAGAGATGAGCAGCTCACATAGAGATCACTAGCATCTAGCTGTTGGATACCTGCGACACTTGAGTTACCTGCGACACTTGAGTTACCTGCGACACTTGAGTTCACGGCAATAGCAACAGGAGGTGGCTGTGAAATTATTACAATAGTGGCCAGGCACGGTGGCTCACGTCTGTAATCCTAGCATTTTGGGAGGCCGAGGTGGGTGGATTACCTGAGGTCGGGAGTTCAAGTCTAGCCTGGCCAACATGGTGAAACCCTGTCTCTACTAAAAAATATAAAAAATTAGCTGGTGCAGTGGTGTGCGCCTGTAATTCCAGCTACTCAGGAGGCCGAGGCACAAGAATTCGCTTGAACCTGGGAGGCGGAGGTTGCAGTGAGCCAAGATCACACTACTGCACTCTAGCCTGGGCTACAGAGAGAGACTTCGTCTCAAGAAAACAAAAACAAAAACAAAAAAATTATTACAGTCATACAGTATGCACTGTATTTAATTTTATGCAGTGATTATATTGCATCTTTATGTTTGTTTACATTTCTCTGACTATAAATGGTGCCATGTACAGTCTGTGTGTGCAAAAGTTTTGATAAATTTTAATGTTTTATGATAGATTTATGGATATTTGTGGTAGTAAATGATAAAATAGACTAGTATCTACGTAGATTTGATGCATTCATGACATACCTTTTTCTTAATTTTTTCAGCATTTCTAGGCTACATAGTTTACAAGTTTTTCCAAATTGTCACAAATCTCCAAAAAATGTTCCAATATATTTATTGAAATAAATTCACATGTAAGTGGATCTACAAAGTTCAAACCTGTTTTGTTCAAGGGTCAACTGTATATCTAGGAGTGGAATTGCTGGGTTGCGTGGTCACTTTATGTTTAACCATTTGAGGAGCCGCCAGCCTGTTTTCCAAAATGGCTACACCATTTTACATTGCCATCAGCAGTGTATGAGGGTTCCGGTTTCTCTACATCCTCATCAACACTTGGCATTATTTTCTGTCCTTTTGACTATAGCTATCCTAATGGATGTGAAGTGGTATGTCATTGTAGTTTGGTTTACCTTTTCCTGATGGCTAATGAAGTTGGGTACCCTTTAATGTATTTATTGGCCATTGTTAAGTCTTCTCTGGAGAAATGTCTATTCAAGTCTTTTGACTTTTTATTTATTTATTTATTTATTTATTTATTTTATTTTATTTTTTTGAGATGGAGTCTCACTGTCACCCAGGCTGAAGTGCAGTGGTGCGATCTCAGCTCACTGTAACCTCCACCTTGCAAATTCAAGTGATTCTCCTGCCTTAGCCTTCTGAGTAGCTGGGACTACAGGCACATGTCACCATGCCCAGTTAATGTTTTGTATTTTTAGTAGAGATGGGGTTTCACCGTGTTGGCCAGGCTGGTCTCTAATCCTGACCTCAAGTGATCTGCCTGCCTTGGACCCCCCAAAGTGCTGGGATTACAGGCATGAGCCACCATGCCCGGGCTCTTTTGACCTTTTAAAATTGAGTTATTTGTCTTTTTATTGTTGAGTTGCAAGAGCTCTTTCTTTATGTATTCTGGGTACTAGATCCTTATTAAATACATTATTTGCAAATATTTTCTCTCATTCTGTGGGTTGTCTTTTCACTTTCTTTGTAGTATTCTTTGAAGCACAAAAGTTTTTAATTTTGATGAAGTCTAATTTAGCTATATTTTCTGTTATCATTTGTGCTTTAGGTGTCATATCTAAGCAACCACTGCCTAGTCCTAGGTCATAAAAAATATGTCTTTAATTTATTCTAAGATATTTATAATTTCAGTTCTTAGAGGTCTTTGATCAATTCTGAGTTAATTTTTACATACAGTGTTAGGCAGATTTTATCACTCCAAAAAGGTAGGAGTACAGCTTCATTCTGTGCAAGATAAGTTGATCATATTAGAATATTAGAGCAGGCCACGGGGCTTGGGAGCTCTAGTCCCTTATTGTAATGGTGAGGCACGTAAGGTACTGTGAGGTTCAATTGAGAGATAAACACTGACTCTAAAGGCCTATTTGAACCTAAAGTACCTCCGAACTCTTTTTCTTTTTTTTTGAGACAGAGTCTCGCTCTTTCGCCCAGGCTGGAGTGCAGTGGTGCCATCTAGGCTCACTGCAAGCTCCACCTCCTGGGTTCACGCCATTCTCCTGCCTCAGCCTCCCAAGTAGCTGGGACTACAGGCACCCGCCACCACGCCCGGCTAATTTTTTGTATTTTTTTGGTAGAGACGGGGTTTCACCATGTTAGCCAGGATGGTCTTGATCTCCTGACCTCGTGATCCGCCCGCCTTGGCCTCTCAAAGTACTGGGATTACAGGCATGAGCCACCGCGCCCGCCCAGTACCTCCTAACTCTTATGAAAGGTTAAAGTGTATTCTCCATAGTTTCTCTGTTCAGTCAATTTTAATAGCATTTCTAACATTGGGAAGCTATAACTTATTTCTGAGGTATTATGTGTATCTTAACACCAGAACATGACCAGAACATTGCATGGCTCTGTCACAGGTGAGTTGCCAAACTCACTGTCATATTTTTAAAGATCTTAATTCTTTGGTAGATAACCAAGATTAGTTGAAATGCATGTTCAGATTATGGATACATCAGACTCAGCTAAATGGAAAATGTATACCATAGAAGAAAATATATTCCAATCAGACATGGTGGCTCACGCCTGTAATTCCAGCACTTTGGGAGGCCAAGATGGAAGGATCACTTAAGGCCAGGAGTTCAAGACCAGCCTGAGCAACATAGCAAGACCCTGTCTCTACAAAAAAAAATTTTAAATTAGCCAGGCGTGGTGGTGTGTGCCTGTAGTCACAGCTACTCAGGAGGCTGAGGTGGGAGGATCACTTGAGCCCAGGAGGTCGAGGCTGCAGTGAGCCATGTTCACACCACTGCACTCCAGCCTGGGTGACAGAGTGAGACCCTATCTCAAAAAAAGAAAAAAGAAAAAAAAAGGAAAGAAAGAAAGAAAAGGAAGGAAGGGAAGAAGGGAAGAAAATAAATTCTAAATAGATTAAAAAGAAGTTTAAAAAACTTAAAAGATACCTTTAACAGTATTGAAAACGATGTTGAAGCATCCTATAAAAGCCACAGCAAGTGATAATGATGTGATAATAGATGAAAAGAACGCAAGGGAAATCTCCTAAACGACTCAAACTATACAGGGAGGGGCGGTTTGGAAGGGGGAGTTAGATCCCTACCTCATGCCACACTCAAATATATCAACTGAATGAAAGATTTATTTCATTATTCTTTTTATATTTAATAAAGAGATGCTTGCTAATGGAGGTAAAAAAAATCAAACAGTACAAGTAAAATGAAATTCTTCCTTGATTTTCTTTTCCCCTCTCTGCCTAGCTCCACTTCACTCACTGCTATTTGGTGTGTGTTCTTCCTGGCTGGTTTGAATATATACATATACAACTACTATGTATTATTTTGTGGATTTTTTAACACAAAGAGGATTCTGTTATTTCTATTTGATAACTTGCTTCCCCCCCCCCCCCCACTTAATAGGGTATCTCAGAGACCTTTCGATGTCAGTACATACGCGCTTACCTCATTCTAATTAGCCACTGTGTGGTATTCCATAGTAGAGATGTACCTTGTAAGCATTCCCATGTTGGTAGGCATGTTAAGAAGAAAAAAAGAACATACTTGAACACACCTTTGTGTGCCCAAACTAGTCTTTCTCCAGCATAGATTGCTAGTAGTAGATTTACTGGGTCTGATAGTATTTGTGCATTTTATTTTATTTTATTTTGTAGAGGCGGGGTCTTACTATGTTGCCCAGGCTGGACTTGAACTCCTGGGCTTAAGCAAACCTCCCACTTCAGCCTACCAAGTAGTTGGAACTGTAGGCACGTGCACCACGCCCAGCTAGCATTTTAAATTTTAATAAATTCTGCCAAAATACCATCCAAAAAAAGGCTTTGTGAAATTACACTGTAATGAATAGTATGGGAGTGATACCCTTGCCAACTTTTTAAAAATTTAAATTAATCCAATGGGCAGAAATTATACCTCATTTAAATTTTTTTTTTTAATAAGCAGAGAAAATACTTGTAGAAGGTATTACTTAGTTTTGTTTGTTTTTTTTCTTTAGTCTATACACAGAAAACTACCTGGGGCTCTCTTTGACAGCACATAAACTAAAATTGGAACAGTACAGAGAAGAGTAGCATGGCTCCTGTGCAAGAATGATGCACACATTTGTGAAGCGTTTCATATTTTAAACAACATATTTAGAGATAGAAAAGGGAAAACTACCTAGAAGTGGAATGAGATTAGGAGAATTAGGAGGATTAGTTAGAATTTTTTCTGGTTAGAATTTTTATTTTCTAAATTGAAATTCTAGTTTCAAGTTGTTTTAAAATAATACAATTTTAGTTTCAAGTTGTTTTAAAATAATAAATGTATATTGCTTTTGGAACTTGAAAAAGAATAAAGATATTTTTTAAAAGAAAAATAAAGCCCTCTTGCAGCATAATTTACGTTGCATTTTCTCTCTCAGTGCTGAGCAGGCCTAGAGTTGAAGGTCGTGAGTGAACTGTATATTAAAAGCCTTTGTCTTCCGGCTGTAGCAATACCATACTTCTGTATGGCCAATTGTCAACTAAAGCCTGTATCTTGAAATGATGGACTCATGTGCAGATAGATTGTTGTGTGCATCTACACTCCCGGCCTGTTCATAGAAGACTTCCGGGGCAGCAAGCAGAAATGCTTGTCAGCCCACATTGTTTTTTTTTTTTTTTCAATACAGAGTCTCTGTTACCCAGTCTGGAGTACAGTGGTGTAATCTTGGCTCGCTGCAGCCTCTGCCTCCCAGGTTCAAGCGATCCTCCCACCTCAGCCTCCCAAGTAGCTTGGATTACAAGCCTGCTAATTTTTGTATTTTTTTTTAGTAGAGAAGGGGTTTCACCATGTAGGCCAGGCTGGTTTCGAACTCCTGACCTCAAGTGATCTACCTGCCTTGGCCTCCCAAAGTGTTGGGATTACAGGCGTGAGCCGCTGCACCCAGCCTCCATATTCTTTATTCTAGCTGCTCAAGCAGTTTTCTCCACACCTGTGCTTCTTTAAAACAGTGGACTTGATGGAAAAATTGAATGTTACCACTTTAGTTGGATCCTGGAGATGGATAATTCATTGATAAGGACTGCCATCCACTTGGATGCTTTCTTCAGAGCCCTGTCACCAAGAACAGATTGGCAGTCCATTCTGTAATTCACAGCATACCTTTATTGCTGACAAAGTTCCAAGTGAAGGTACCTGTTAGCTGGGGCTATTAACTCCCTCTTGTTGGGCTCCTGTACCCTGTCTGCAGGGGCTAGGGCCAGTGGCCATGATGAGAAATGAGCACACGTGGCTCAAGAACAGAGCCTGTGATTTGCCCATTGGTACTGAGTCCACCTTGGTGGGAAGTCAGTGGCAATTCTTCCACCCACACACCACTGACCTTGCCTTGTTGGTGGCCATCTTGTGTGTTGGCTCTTGACCAGAGACGCTCTGCAGTCACTCTGTGGGGCTGTTTGACCACAAAATGTGTCACTGGGTTAGTGGTTTTATGCCAAGGTAAGATTCTGATAGAAGGCAGTTAAGGTGGTAGTGTAAAAGCTGCATGAACAATCATGGTTCTTCTTGAATACAAAACAGTAATCTCTGCCACTAATTCATTGACTGCCAAGTCCCAGGCTCTGGGATGGGTACTCTTTGTAAGTCATGATTTCATTTAATTTCCCAAAAAGTCCATCCCATCACCTGTAATCTCACAGCTAGCATGTGGCCGACACTATATTGAGAGTGGGGTTTGTGCTAATCCAGACTCAGCAAAATCTTGACTACTGGGACCCTTTCATCTCATCCAACATATTTGAGGGATCTCCTGTGGGCCAGGCACTGATCCTAGTGCTGGAAGTCCAGAGATAATGCCTCCCTTCAAAGAGTTTCTAGTTCAATAAAGAGAGCCTCATTTAATCAAAAGTGTTGCACATACTATAATTTTAGGAGAAAATTAATCCCAGGAAACAAACGTCTTAGGAGATATTTTACTCTAGGAAAAAAAGATAATCCAATCTTTTAAGGATTTGTTTTTAGGACAATACACATTAAATCATTCTCCTGAATGTGAATGTTGACACCACTCTCTGGTCAGAAATGTCATTCAGAACAACAGTGTTAAGGCGCGTGCGTGGTATTCTGTCACCCAAAATGTGTTAGCTATGTTTACTCCTCATACCAAGATTTTTCTCAGACACTCAAGAAGCATCTTCACTGATGCAGAACAAATAGGAATTTAAACCCACATTTTCATAATTGATTTTAGTACTCTTTTATAATCAGTGTAGGGGCAAACATTTTAAGTTTGTTCATCCCTTCTATAAATCTTGTAAATAAAGTTAATACTTGCATGTCACTGATGAATTCACTTCCAAGTTACTGCCTGTGACCTACCATGCACACAAAGCAGTGGTTGCTGGCAGGTGTGGCCTGACCCTTGTTGTCTTTCACACCACTTTGTCCCTCAGTCACAACCACCAAGCTCCGTCCACTGCACCTGCCCACGTCCTGTGTGCTCTGCACATCCCTGATTCCCTAATCATACACAGGTTCCTCCTTTTTCCTTTCTCACAGCACCCTTGGCACTTATCTGAAACATAGCTTTGTATTTTTTTGTACACACAGCTGCCGGCTAGCTATCCCTCCAAGAGCAAATACTGTGTCTGTTCTCTTCACCCATTTATAAAATGGTCATCATGGTGCCTCACTCATCATTAGCTTTTACTAAAGGGTGGGTAGATGGAACGTGAAAGGGTAGGTGGGTGGATGGATGGACAGCTGGAATAGTTCTTTCACCAAGCAGAGATGGCCCCTAACTTATGATGGTTTGACTGAACAATTTTTTGATTTTATGGTGGTGCAAAAGTGATACACGTTCAGTAGAAACCGTACTTCAGTGCTGTATTCAACAGATTACATTAGATATTCAACACTGTTATTAAAAAGGCTTTGCGTTAGGTGTTTTTGCCCAACTGTAGGCTAATGTAAGTATTCTGAGTGTAAGGTAGGCTAGGCTAAGCATTGATGTTCAGTAGATTACGTCTATTAAATGCATTTTTTTTGGGGGGCGGGGACAGAGTCTTGCTCTGTCGCCCAGGCTGGAGTTCAGTGGCGCCATCTCGGCCCACTGCAAGCTCTGCCTCCCGGGTTCACGCCATTCTCCTGCCTCAGCCTCCTGAGTAGCTGGGACTACAGGCGCCCGCCACCACACATGGCCAATTTTTTGTGTTTTTAGTAGAGACAGGGTTTCACCGTGTTAGCCAGGATGGTCTCGATCTCCTGACCTTGTGATCCACCAGCCTCGGCCTCCCAAAGTGCTGGGATTACAAGTGTGAGCCACCACACCTGGCCTATTAAATGCATTTTTGACTTAGTATATTTTCAGCCTACAATGGGTTTATCAGGATATAACCCCGTTGTAAGTGGAGGAACATCTGTACTTGAGTATGGGGTACTTTCTAGTACTGGCCTGTTGCAGTGAATCAGATGTCACCTCTCAAGTCACCTTCTGGCAGGAGAGAGAGACATACGTATACAGCGTGTCAGGTGGGAAAGGGCACTATGAGCAAATAGAGCAGATAAAGCAGAGTAAGGCAGGTAGAGAGAAGAGGTGGGGATGTTGTTGTCCGTGTGTGTCACCGCATGGAGAAGGTGATATATAAGCAGAGACCCGAAGGAAGTGAAGGGATGAACCGTATCCAGTTCATGGCTAAATTCTCACCATTCCATGTTTTCAGAGTGAATTCTATCTGTGTGTCTATCTTGTCTCATGGTGCAGTTTTAGTTTTTGCCACACATCTAAAGCTAAATACACCAGGTTTAGTGGAAGAGGGCCTCTGGAAGGATGGAAATGGGAGCTGCCTCTTTTTGTGGAAGGGACAATTCCAGGGTGGGAAAAAGATATTTATGGGCCACATTTTTTATATCTTCAATTTACTTTTTATTATCTTGAGGAAGTAATAGATCATTGAAAATGTGAATTTTTTTACTTCTCCTGTTGAGAGACAATATGAAGTTAATAAGAACAAGATTACTTTACAAAACATTCTGGGCTTGGCAGGTTCAGCCTCATTTGTATGTCATTGATTTCTTTACATTTTTCTCTGCATCTGTTGTAGGATTTTACAGGAGTCATAGAATAACGGGGTCAAATATTTCTCTTAATCTGAAAGGCGCCACATTAAAACAGGGTGGTCTGGTTGTAAGCGTTTCCTCCGAGTGGGACAGACGAATGTTACATATCCAGTTCAGGTAGCAGGCAAGCTGTTTCCGATTGCCAGGAAGGCCCTTAGAACCAGCTGGCCTTCGTTAAGTTAGGCTAGAGAGCGAATAAGGCAGTATATCTCTAAGCAGTAGCCCAAAGAGGAAAGTGATTGCTGTCTCCAATGGAGGGATCACAAAGGTGTGGAGGCCTGAGTGACCTGTTCACCTTCCTTTGCCTGCAACTGTGGACACAGTTATATGTGAGGTGGTGGCACTTGTCCTATTCGGGTACATGCATGAGATGGAAAGGCTTAGCTGACCATTCTGCAGCCCTTTCCAAACTAGGTGTTTCAGTGGCAGTGCCAGTACTTGCTGGGAATCCTGCTGCTTTTCCTGTGGTCTGCCCGTTGCTTATGCTCTGAAAAGGCACTGTTTGAAACCTCAATGCCCTAAGGAGCATCTTGGGTGAGAAGAGAGATTGGGAAACTACACAGAGGATGCTCAGGAACTTCAAACCTGGAAAATGCCAGGGCAGTAATTCTCAGAGTGTGGTCCACAGACCCCTGCTTCAGAATCATCACAGGTGCTTGTCGAAATGCAGACTCCTGGGCCCATTCCAAAGCGCAGAAGGTGCAGCACTGGAATTAAGGGGCTGTCTCCCAGGGGTGACAGGCACATACACCCAGGCAATGGGGAGCGACACCTTTGCACAGAAACCCACCGAGGCAGCTATTGCATTTCCTGATTATGAGGTGATTTATTTCCTCTAAAAATGTATCCTATAGCCCTTTCCCAGGGAGTCTAATTTAGCAGATCTGGGGTGGTTCCAGACAGGGAAATCAGTTAGAATATTAATGAATTAGGAAACTGTTTTCATTTTTTAGCAGGGATCTCTGTTTGAGACATGGGTGTCTCTTGGTAAACTCTAAGGCAATTGGATCTCCATATTCTTAGAATCCTGGCAAAGGGGAGAATTCAGAAGGGCCCCACCTAGGCTGTGCCCATGATGAACTGGATATAGTCTTCACAGGTCAGTGTTGATTCAGCAGTATTTCTTGAGACCAGCCCTGGGTGAGGCCCCATGGGGAACACTCCCAGCCATGTTACCATTAACTGGCTCCTTATAGTAACCCAGCTGTGCCTTTCCCCTTGCCTCCTCTGAGAGGCCTCGCTCCTGCCTGGCCCCTTCCCCACACACATGGGCATCCCCATCTTCATTCTACCTTCTGCCCTGCTGGGGAGGCTGAGGGCCCAGCACAGCTATGGCCCCTGGCTGGAGCCCTGTAGTTTCTCCCCTTGGCAGGCATCTCCACTAGTGCCATAGGGTTGGTGCTAGGTAGACAAGTGTGAAGGGCTAGGAGAGGAGGACAGGGGTTTTGCATTGGCACAGTAGCCAAGACAGCAAAGGTTGGAAAAGAACAGGTAAAACTATCACAGTTTGCAGATTGTCTACCTGGAAAACCCAAGAGAGTCAAGTGAAAACACCATAGCCAAGATTTGTCCAGGGGAGGAAGAGGTTTCACCAGGCCATTGAAGGAAGTTTCAGACAACAGTGCGGAGGGAGGGCTGGGTTCATCCAGGTTGTTCCCAGCCCTTTGTCCTTGTCTGTTAGGGCCTCTTTCTTCCATGGGGCGTGGCAAGGGAATAGCGACTTAGTGTTCTAAATAATAACATGGTCATTTCCGGAGTACTTGCCATGTGCCAGGCATCATTCTAAACATGTATGTTAACTAATTTAATCCTCACAACAGCCCTGTGAGGTGGCGATTTCGGTCAGCATCATCTCATTACCTCCACATGCAGGGAGGGAAAATGAAGTGTGGAGAATCGCAGCAACCTGCCTAAGGGTCACATAGCTAACAAGTGGCAGAGCCCAGGAACCTGCGCGAGGCACCACCCACTCTGCACTGCCTCCCGTCACACAGCAAGATGGGTCTATCTCCCAGAGGCACCTTGACTTCTGCACTCATAAAATAGGCCACACAGTAGAGATTCAGTACGCATTGTTGAATAGCTTTCATCTCTAGGGCAGTTTTCTGTCTTCAAGACAAACAGTGGCCTGAGAGCTCTGAGAATTTAGGTATCCAGGGATCCAATTGCTTTCTTATTTACTGAGAGATAGGCATGTCTCTGGTGAGATCCTGCCAAACATAAACTCCTCCTTATTAATAAATTTAGGAATTGTCTGGAACCACCACGATGGAGACTATCAACAATATGTACATCAGTTCTCTGAGTTGAAAGGTGTGTGCACAGCACTGCCCCTGATGTCTGTGACTTTCGGTCAGAGACTTAACCTCTCTGATCTTTAGATCTTCACTGGTTTAAAAAGAAAGAGCTGGGTCAGTATTACCAACCTCAACAGGTCATTATGAGGATTAAATGAGACAACACATGGGAAGGGTCTCATCCAGTGCTGGCTCGTAGTGGGATCTCCATGAAGGTAAGTCTATCCCTGTGCCTTCCAGGAGGGGCAACAGCTATGTGGGATTTCATAAAACGATGCATTATAGGACCTGCTCCCTGCCCTCACCTAGCTTATAATTTAGGCAAGAAGAGTTTCTGAAACCACAGACATAGAAATCATAATTCCAGGCCACAGCAGGGGAGACCCCACATGGCAGTGCCTGGTCTGGTCTTTAGAGCAGGCATGACCTATGCCCGTGGGCCCACATCCCTTGTAGCTGTGATTTGGGGCAGGAACAGTGATTTTACAAAGTTAAAAAAGGCATGTAAAAATCCAGACTTTCGGCCAGGAATGGTAGCTCATGCCTGTAATCCCAGCACTCTGGGAGGCCGAGGCGGGTGGGTCACCTGAGGTCAGGAATTCAAGACCAGCCTGGCCAACATGATGAAACCCCATCTCTAGTAAAAATACAAAAATCAGTCGGATGTGGTGGCACGCGCCTGTAATCCCAGCTACTCGGGATGCTGAGGCAGGAGAATCGCTTGAACCTGGGAGGCAGAGGTTGCAGTGAGCTGAGATCACGCCGCTGCACTCCAGCCTGGGCGACAGAGCAAGACTCCATCTCAAAAAAAAAAAAAAAAAAAAAAAAAAATTCCAGACTTCTAGCCTGTCTCAAAAAATCAGGAGGTATGGCAAGAATGGGCTCAAATTCCTACACGGTAACAGTCAGCAGCCCCCAGATGGGCTGTGGCCACCCCTCCTGCAGAGCTCTGTGGTGTGTCTGGGCTGAGTGGGGCTGGGTTCAAACCCTGGACCCACCACTTACCAGCTGGCATGACCTCAAGCAGGTTACCTGACCTCTTCTGTACATCTGGGCAGTGGCAGTACCTGCGTCCTGATCTTGTTGTGGGGATTTGCTGAGCTTCAGTCTGTGTAAAAGCCCAGAAGCACCTGATAATTATTATTGTGGCTGCTGTTATTATCTTGACTCCTCTATGCCCAACCCTGGGAAGCATTCATGTGCTTGCTCTGTGGGTCGGAAGAAGGAAAACTCATCACAGCCTGGGGATTGATGGACTTTTTAGAGGACCTGTCTTTTGAATTGGGCCTGAACTGCGAGAGGGAAGAGCCATGCTAGGCAGGGGGACAGCAAGAGTAAAAGCGCAGAGGTGGAAAGTGTGCACCGTGTCAAGTGGCTGTCAGCAGGGTCCTTTTATGACTGATGAGTTTTCTTTTGTTTCTGTGTGAGTTGCAAATGGGTTTGGGTCTTGGTGCACGTCAGTATCTTGGACCCCTGAGGAAGGATGTCATCACCCCCAGGTTGAGCATGCACAGCCTTCTTCAGGACGGTGAGACGAACCCGCTGAGCAGGCTGTGGGCAAGGTCACTGTGGGGTCCAAACAGAGACATGGGGAGGGTCAGAGGACCCTTCTGTGTCATTACGGGATTGGGAAGTGGAATGGCCCTAAGATGTCCCCTGGGACTCGAATGTGACAAAACCTTGTCCCTCAGCAGAAGAGAATCTAGAAAATCTGTCTGGTGGAGTCCTGGAAGTGGGTGAGGTGTGGGGTGGGGTGAGAAGGGGTTGTGCAAGACTGGACTGGTGACCCAAGGGAGGCCCAGAAAACGCCTTGAAGGGGAGCACAAAGATGGGCAGGAGAAACCTCCAGTTTCCCTGTGGCTGGGGTGGGGGGAGGGTTTGGGGGCCAGGTGCATGAATGGACCCCAGCTCCTTTTTGGGTGGGAGCAGCCATGACAAGGAACTGTATTAAACTTCGAAATGCAGAACTCTAGAGTAGCCTGTGTCTACACTGATTTTAAGTTATGAATTTTCTAGTGGTTCTTATTATAGGTAATGAGACATATTCCCTACAAATCAGGAATATCCTATAATTCTATGGTTTCCACCTCCCAATGACACCTCTCTGATTGTCTCACACTTAGAAGTAATACCCAAAAATAGCCTTTGAGGAATCCTATGCCCCAGTGTTTTATTTGGAAGGTAAGGTCACTGTATTTATGTATCAGCCATAAATACTTGAATGAGAGTGAAAATTCCTAAGGATTTGCCATTTCCGGCTGATGGCACTAGATCCCTTGGAAGTGTCCCATGTCATAATATGCCAACACATTTAGAATTTTCAACAGTCATGGAAACAAACAGGTGCTTGGGGCAGCTAAAAATAACCACCCTGGGAAGTGAAACTGTGGCAGTGCCAAGGAGCTAAGGTGGGCAGTACTGCGCTTTTGGGTGAGGTCAAAACTCTGGAGGGAAGGCCAAGAAAAGAAAATTCTGCCCATGCCCCTCCTCCCAGCACCCAGGAGTGTGTTTTCTCTTCTCAGAATCTCTGTCTGATGTGCTAGCCTTTTTGTGTCATTTCGACTGAAACGTCTCACAGCTCCAACCCACTGCCCCCATATCTTGCATAGCTTTCTGTCCAGATTTCTGAATTAAAGGCTGGATCCAGAGGGTGTCCCACTGTGCATGGATGGGGGGCTTCCTCCCACCCCAGTGGGATGCTCCTGCTGCCATTCTCACCCCGGAACGCCCCTGACTCAGCCACCTCCGGGGCGGTGAGAGGTGTGAGGGATGATCGGGGAGTGCCATGCTCAGCAGCCTGAACCGTGTCAGGGAACCCAGGCATTCCAGCCTGTGTCATCCTCCCCCTCCCGTGAAGAGCCACAGCCACATCCTCCATGCCCTGCTGCACTTCCTGAGGAGTGAAAGATGGTGGCTGTCAGCGTGTCAAGGATGACGGGTGGCAAGAGGGGTAAACACAGCTTGTTACTACCAGATTCGATTACCGGGTGATGCTCGAAGACAAATGGCCTGGGGCCTTTCTGCCCCTTGAGGGCAGGGGCAGTCTTAGTCACCAGGAGCAGGGTCCTATGAGGAGGAGTTAGGGATGTTGTGGAATTGTCTCCCAAAGCCAGTGCCAGCCGATAGGACTAGTTGTGTTATCTCGAGTTTTCGTTGTTGGTAGTTTTGAATTGGGAGCCTTGATTTGACCCTGAGAATAACCAAAACTGTACAAAAGACATGTGTATTCAAAACAAGACACAATAAGGCTCAAAAACAAAACTGTCTATGGTGATAAAGGTTAGAGTAGGAGTTACCTTGGGGGCAGAGGAATGTTGGCTGGGACAGGATATGCAAGAACCTCTAGAATGGTTCTGGAATGTTCTGTATCTTGATCTGGTGGTGGTGACACAAGTTTATACAGATGTATTAATTGAGCTGTACATTTAAGATGTGGGGAATCGCTCTGAACCTATTCTGGTAACAGGGGCTCCCCGAGTTTTAAAAAAGATGTGTACATTTTACTGTATATATGCTATATCTCAGTGAATAAGTAACAATAAAGAAAAATATGCATAAAGGTGGACTGTGAACAGAAACACCTTGGCAACATTTGAATAACCTAGCTTTTACCATATTTGGAGTTTGCTGTCCCCTGGTCCTAGGTGCTAAAAACCTGATTTGGTTCAGTCCAGACATTTAAAACACCAGCCAGCTATGGAGAGTAAAATAATGGCAAGTCTCTTCCTAGTTTGACCATCAAGAGAGTAATTTGGAAACTCCAGCCCTGTGCCCTGAAACCAGAGTCTGTCCATCCCTCTACAATTAGATGAGATTCCTGGGGCATCAAGGTCAAGCAGATCCAGCTTTGAATTGCTGTTCTGCCACTTTAACACCGGGACCTTCTGAAAAACAGTTGCCCTCTCTCAGGTTCCGTTTCTTTGTGAATTGGGTGAACTCTTGAGTGTTCTTTAGCAAAGGAGTACCTGTAACGTGCTCCACCCAGTGGTGAGTCCGTAGCAGGTGATCAATAAATGCTAAAGATGCTGATTGTCATTGTCACCACTATCACGAAATTGTGCAGCGTTCGAGGGAACTCCAGGGAGCCACATACCCTCGCCAGTGATGTACCTCTACAATGGCTTCAACAAACAGTTCCCACACAACGCAACTTTTCCTACAGTTGGGTGGGCTCCAGGGTGCAGAGGCCCCCCGCCTTGCTTGGCAGGTTGGCTTGGCTGGAGCCTTTGCTGGTTCTCAGAGCGGGAACATGGTCGAGTTGGCCAACAGTGTACCCACGTTGAAGCAGCTGTGCCGAACATCTGGCTCTGATTATCTGGCTGGGAATGGCCGGGGGTGGGAGCACTGTGATTTATAGATTGCTCCTTTGGCTGTAAATCCCATCTGTAATTGTGACTTCTCTGTCCCTAATTGTTTGCAGAGAAGAGAGGAGCTCAATGGCTTACAATCCCTGGCAGAGCCCAAGGCTGCTGGGGTGGGGGTGGGGGGGGGTGAGGGGGGTGGTGAGGTTTGTTGCTAGGACACGGCTGTCTTTGTTTTGGTCCCTGCTCAGCAGTGTTTTTAAGGCCCTGTATACATTTCTCTGTATTGTTAATGTAATTTGTTCAGGCAGTGAACAGCCAAGTTCAGCCGAAGGAATCCGATACTCATAACAGAAACACCAGAGGCCAGGTTTTTGTGGTCAAATTAGGGTTTTGAGGCCTCTGAAGAGAATGAAATGTTGGCGCTGGGCGGGGGACAATCTCCCTTTCTCCTCTTGTGGTGATGCTGGCCTGGGTTCAGCTTCCTTGAGGAGCTTGGCTTTGGGGCACCAAGTCCACTGCATTCAGGGCTGTGTTAGGTGGGGAGCCCGGCTGCCCTTCTCCGAGAAAGGGAATGCAGATTTTATTCAAAAGGGAAGAAAAGGCACTAACAAAGTATGAGCAAGTTTGGGCCCTGCCTGCCCAGCCTTTCCTTCCCCGTGGCTCCGGGCAGCTTTTTTCCCCCCATCCCCCACCCTGCATTACTTGACTGGTGAGGAAATAATAGTTGGGCTCTGCTGAGAAGGTATGTGACTGTGCAAAATGCAATTTGCCCGTTTCCGCTGCCCATGAAGACCCGACAGCCCACTTGCCATCTGGGAACCTCGCGCCCTGCTGTGCTTGGAGTTTTCGGAAACGATGGATTCCAAACAACTTCCAGTGAGCAATTGGTGATATTAAGTTAACTGAGTTCATCTTACCCTTTTTATTTTGCCTCAGAGAGTAAAATAAGATAGAAGCAAACATACCAGCCCACAAACATGTCCATGCTTCCTTTTGCTTCTAGAAGGCGTATGTTGGGAAATTAATCAGACCAACGTTAGCCCCTTCCTCCCGGCCCTGGAAGAATGCCTGGTGTGTGTGCATCCCCCTCTCCAGTTAGCAATTACCGAACAACTTCTGTGGCTACCAAGGAGAGCATGATAGGGTCCCAGCCCTCCAGAGCTTACAATGTAAGAGAACAAACAGGAACATGAGTCTTTACAATACCTGCAGTGAGCGCCAACAAAGTGGAATAAAATGTCACCTGAAATACCTGAGAAAGGGGCTTCTCAAGCTTGGAGAAGGCAGAGGCTTTGGAGAGATGTTTGATCTGAGCCTTGCAGGAGACCGTCCAAGTGTGGGTTCTAGTACTACCTGGATGCAAGCCTTCCTCCGCCTGTGTCCCAGCAAGGAAGAGTTGCCTTCTTAATGACCCCATTCATTGTCCCTAGAACGTGGTGATTTACCAGAAGTCTTCAGAGGCAAGCCATCTTCAATTCAGAAGGGGAATCCCACATGTGTGTTGAATATGAGGCATTGTTTAAGACACCTCCTGCCCTCACCACATTGGCAAACTGACAGCGTCAACTTGAAACAAGTCTGCACATTGTGGCCATTTTCACTCCACAACAAATGTTTGTAAGTGGCCACCTAAGCCTGTGAACTTCCTAACTTTGATAATTACAAACACGAGGTAGATAAGATTGAAGCAAACCTGGCAAGTTATACTGACTTGCAGCTGAAGCACTCTGAGAAACAGAACAATTTGTTCACAGAAAAAGGAAATTAAGGTGTTTCTACACTCTTTAATTTCCAAGGTCTTTGTTTAAAGTGAATGAGTTCAAATGAGGGAAGACACATTCTGCTCACGTTTGATGTCACTCACTACTCATGTCGCAGCATAGGGTGTCACAGCCTGTGTCCCAGCTTCTTCCCATGGGCACCATGCTCTTCAGCCATACAGACTCGGACATTCCACTGCCAACCAGTATCCTCACCAATGACCCCAAGGTGCTGTTGAGGCACTTTTCTTTTTCAGAGTTTACTGACATCCTACCCACCACTGAGTAGCATGTTCCTTGCCCATGATTCCCTTCTGTACTCCCTCCCCCAATACCCTGTATAGGCCAAGTATCCCTTATCCAAAATGTTTGGGGCCAGAAGTGTTTCGCAGTTTTGGAACTCTTATTGGATTTGGGAATATTTGCATTATACTGACCAGCTGAGCATCTGTAATTGGAAAATCTGACATGCCCCAGTCAGCATCTCATTTGAGTGTCATGTTGGCACTCAAGAAGTTTCAGATTTTTGAGCATTTTGGATTTTGTATTTTCGATTTTGGGGTTAGGGATGCTCAACTTGTACTAGCATTAAATTAGGTCTAATCAGTTTTTATCAAAATAATTTTTTTCTTTTTTGTCTCCTTCACTAGACCATGGAATTCCTTGGAATCAAAAATCATGTCCTCTTCTCCCGTGCCTAGAAGAATGCCCGAGAGGTGTTCACTATGTATTTATAGGGTGAAATTTTCCTATATATGTCTTATATCCCTTAAGAAATTTTTTTCCAGACAATAAATGCTCCCTTTTCAAAGCACTATAATTAACTCTAGGTGTTTTTGATTTAAAATGTTCTGAAATGCATCCCACACTTTTCTAACTTTACTTATTTTATTTATTTATTTATTTATTTATTTATTTATTTTTGAGACAAGATCTTGCTCTGTCACCCAGGCCTGGAGTGCAGTGGCACGATCTTGGCTCACTGCAATTCCGCCTCCTGGGCTCAAGCAATCCTTCTGCCTCAGCCTCCTGAATAACTGGGACTATAAGCACATGCCACCATGCCTGGCTAATTTTTGTATTTTTTGAAGAGATGGGGTTTCACCATGTTGCCCAGGTTGGTCTTGAACTCCTAGGTTCAAGGGATTTGCCTGCCTTGGCCTCCCAAAGTTCTGGGATTACAGGCGTGAGCTACCACGCCCAGCGTTATCTGACTTCTAGTGGTTCCAAACATCTATATTAAAATCATGAACTAGGAAATATTTAGTTAAAATATCTTTTTATTCCAATGGGGGGGGGAAAACTGGTGATAGTGTTCTTTCCTAAAGCTTTTGCATTTTTTCCTCTAGGAGAGGTCCTTGGATATTTACCCAGGCTTTCCTGACTTGATAAAAGAACACTGCTTGATTATATAGTGCAGTCATCTGCAGATTAAGTGGCAGCTGACCATCTAGGCAGGGGAAAATATGAGAAGTAATAATATAAAAGGATACTCTGTGATGGACGGGCATAATGGTGAATAAGATGTTCAGAGCCAGGAGCACTGGGTCACACCTGTAATCCCAATACTTTGGGATGCTGAAGCAGGAGGATCACTTGAGGCCAGGAGTTCAAGACCAGCCAGGTCAACATAGCCAGACCCTGTCTCTACAAAAAATAAAATAAAATAGGCACACACCTGTAATCCCAGCTACTCAGGAGGCTGAGGTGAGAGGATGGCTTGAGCCCAGAAGTTAGGGGCTGCAGTGAGCCACGCTTGTGCCCCTGAACTCCAGCTTGGGCAACAGAGTGAAACCCCATCTCAAAAAACAATTTTTTTTCCCCAGAAAATGCTGTTGTATGCTTTCCATTGAAAGAAAGAAGCAGGATCAGAGAAATGCAGACTAAAACAATGAGACGGCAAAAGTTAAAGTCTAAGCATACTGGTGTTGGCGAGGATGTTTGTTAATAAATGACACATTTGCGTATTATATTGAGGAATGATTTGGCAATATCTAGTAAAATCAAAGATGCACATATCTTATGACCCAGCAAATCTACTACACATGAGCACAAGGGACATGAACAAGAACGCTCCTTGCTGCATTGTTTACAGTAGCATAAACTAGAAACAACATATGTGGCCATCTATGTATTAAATAAATAAATATAGTCATCTAGTAGAATATAGTGAATTAACTCAGATCTACATGTATTAACATGAATAAATTCTAAAAGTGTAACACTCATTAGAAAAAGTAAGTGGCTAGGCTGGGCACAGTTGCTCACACCTATAATCCCAGCACTTTGGGAGGCCGAGGCAGTGGGATCACTTGAACCCAGGAGTTTAAGACCAGCATGGGCAGCATAGTGAGACCTCATCTCTTTGAAAAGAAAGAAAGAAAAAATAAGGGGCTAAAAAATACCTAAAATGTAGTGCCATTTATAAGAATGTTTGTAACTCCCAAGAGAATGATAATTGCATTTGGTTATACAGGAGAATGCCCTGGTGTTTAGGAGATCTGGGCTGAGGTATTTGAGGGTAAGGTGTTACAATGTTGACAACTGACTTTCAAATGGTTCTGCAAAATTAAAATGTGTTTGTGTGAATACATACATAGGGGAGGGAGGTAAGCAAAGCCAATGTGTGAACATGTTAACGATGATTGATCTGGATGAAGGACAGATGGGTGTTTATTGTACTTTTCCTATAACTTTCCTGTAAAATGGAACTTTTCAAAATAAAAAATTGAAGACACTCATTGAACCTATAAATTGTGGATAATACATATGTAGTGAAATATATTCAATGAAAAACATGCAGAGGTATGACAAGCAGTACCTTTAGGACAACATTACTTCTGGGAGGGCAGATAAATGAATGACAGATCGGATACTTGAGCTATATCAATAACACTTTATTTCTTTAAGAAAAAAAAGAGGTGGGGAGCTCTAGATTAATATGGGAAAATGATAAGCTATTCAATCTGGTGTCCATTAGTGTCTCTACTTACTTTCTGTACTTAAAAAAAAATATATATATATGTATATATATTTTTTGAGATGGAGTCTCACTGTCACCCAGGCTGGAGTACAGTGGCGCAATGTCAGCTCACTGCAACCTCCTCCCAGGTTGAAGCGATTCTCCTGCCTCAGCCTTCCGAGCAGCTTGGACTACAGGCACGCGCCTCCATGCCCAGCTAACTTTTGTATTTTTGATAGAGACAGGGTTTCACCATGTTGGCCAGGATGGTCTCGATCTCTTGACCTCGTTCTCTACCCACCTCAGCCTCCCAAAGTGCTGGGATTACAGGCATGAGCCACTGCACCCAGCCTATAGTTTTATAACTAGATGATAGTTTATTCCATAACTATAAACAACATTTTTAAAACTTCAGAAAAGTGGGAATAAATAATTTAGTTTTCCTTTTAAAATTAAAGCTTATTTTGAAAGTTATTTTGGTGCTTAAAAGAGAGAGAATATATATTTTGTAGCTCTATCCACTGGAAAAGATTAGAAACAATGATTATCTCAATAGCACTGACCAGCTCCAGTGCTCAGATTATATTCACCAAATCCCATTTCCCAGTTAAAATAAAACCAGGCTCCTGGGAGAAGGAGCTGATTCGATGTATGAAGTTAGCCTAGAATATATTGTTATACAAGAAAGCATGAAAGCTATTGAAGACCATTAGAGACCCAAGTCTATTGTTACGCACTCAGGTACTAGGGCTGCTAGGTCGGAAGGACTCAGCAGCCAAACTGAGTAAGACGGAAAAGATGAAATAATTAGATCATCAAGAATATATTATATTTATTAAAATCCTTAAGTTCACGCTGACACCAAGAAAACACAACAAAATAAACACAACACTGGTCTCCTTTGGAGGACAACAGGGAGCTGAGTCATTATTTTCAATATGTTAATAGAAAGAATCACGCATTTGTCCTGCCTGTGCTGTGTGCTGTTTGCCACTGGGCCACTAGTTGAGGAAAGTTTTTCTTTACAGAAGTATTTCAGCTAATAAATGAAGAAGAAATAGTCTTGTTTCCTGTCTTAGTTCATTTTGTGTTGCTGTAACAGCACACCACAAACTGGGTAATTTATAAAGGAAAGATATTTACTTGGCTCACAGTTAAGGAGGCTGGGAAGTCCAAGGGCATAGTGCCGACATCTGCTCAGCATCTGGTGCAGGCCTTCTTACTGCATCGTCCTATAGCAGAAAGGCAAGAGAGTACGCCTGTGTGTGCACAAGACGGCAGAATGGGGGATGGGGGGCAAACTCATACTTTAATCAGGAACCCACTCCCACAATAAGGGCATTAATACATTTATGAGGGCACAGCCCTCATAACCTAATCACCTCTTAAAGTTTCCACTTCTCAACACTGTTGCATTATGCATTAAGTTTGCAAAACATGAACTTTGGGGGACATATTCAAACCATGGCATTCCCTCTCCCCTAAATAAAATAAAGTAAAATAACATTGAACCTGAATTTGATCAAGCCTCTAGATCTAATTATTAATTTACCAGAAATACAATTCAGAAGAACATGTTAGATTGACACCATGAGGATATGATTAGCAAAATCCAGACTTAAAAAAAAAAAAAACTACAGGAACAATAACTTGGTTTCCTCCACGAATAATACAGGAGGCGTGGGCAGGGTGGAAATAGGGAAAGAGAAAGACTCCTAAAGATTAAAAGGCTATAAAAGACTAAAGGTGGCCAGATGCGGTGGCTCATGCCTATAATCCCAGCACTTCTGGAGGCCGAGGAGGGTGGATCACCTGAGGTCAGGAGTTCGAGACCAGCCTGACCAACATGGTGAAACCTCGTCTCTACTAAAAATACAAAATTAAGCGGGCGTGGTGGCGCACGCCTGTAATCCCAGCTACTTGGGAGGCTGAGGCAGGAGAATCGCTTGAAACCAGAAGGTGGAGGTTGCAGTGAGCCGAGATTGGCCATTGCACTCCAGCCTGGGCAGCAAGAGTGAGACTCCATCTCAAAAAAAAAAACAAACAAACAAACAAAAAAAAAAACACTAAAGGCTTGGCCAGGCGTGGTGGTTCACGCCTGTAATCCCAGCACTTTGGGAGGCCACGGTGTGGATTGCTTGAGCTCAGGAGTTCAAGGCCAGCCTGGGCAACATGGTGAAATCCCTGTCTCCACCAAAAATACAAAAAATTAGCCCGGCACAGGGGTATGCACCTGTCGTCCCAGCTACTTGGGAGGCTGAGTTGTGAGGATTGCTTGAGCCAGGGAGGCAGAGGCTGCAGTGAGCCTAGATTGCACTGCTGCACTCCAGCCTGGGTGACAGAGTGAGACCCCATCTCAAAAAAAAAAAAAAAAAAAAGATTAAAGGCTTTAAAAAAGAATAAAAGACATAAATTGACCAATAGCAAATGTATGGACCATGCATTGGATCCTGATTGGAATAAACTGTAGGGAAAAATTATTTGTAAGACATAATATTAGAAAATTATTGTTAACCCTTAAAAACATTTTTTAGGATTTTAAAAAATTTTCTGCTTTCTAGAGATAACACACAGAAATATTTACCAATGAAGTGATAGGCTATCTGGGCTCTGTTTCGAAATAGTCTTGGGCTTAGGGGTGGATGAGCAAGGAGTGGGTGGGGGATGGATGAATGGAGACGGGCCATGAGCTAGTAATTGCAGAACCTGGTGGTGGCTTAACCAGATTCATTATATTGTTCTCTCTACTTTTGTGTACATTGGAAATTTTCCAAAATGGTTTGTTTTTGAGATGGAATCTCACTCAGTCGCCTAGGCTAGAGTGCACTGGTGCAATCATAGCTCACTGTAGCTTCAAACTCCTGGGCCCAAGCAATCCCCCCACCTCAGCCTCCTGAGTAGCTGGGACTATAGGTGTGTGCCATCACGCCCTGCTAATTTTTCTAAATTTTTTGTAGAGACAAGGTTTCGAAATCCTGGCCTCAAGTGATCCTCTTGCCTTAGCCTCCCAAAGTGCCGGGATTACAGGCATGAGCCACCACACCTGGCCACAAAATAAAAGGTTTTAAATATTTCATTTTTATTCACCTGGCAGAATCCCAGGTAGAAGTTAGAGTGTTTGGTGGATGGTTGAGTGTCTGAGCAGGACCCCACAGCCAAGGGGGGTTAGAGGGAGGGGCCGGCAAGGGTAGGGAATAAGGCCTGATCAAGTGAGCTGCTGGAGGTGGATGTATGGGGTGTCTGCTTCCCCAGGTGGAGCTGGATAGATACTGGTGTGCTGAGAATGAGAAGGAGGATGAAGAAAGTTGCAAAACCCAGCAAAAAGTACCCAAAAGCAACCACTCACAGCAAAAATTGGGGGAATGAGTGATTTAACCCCGCAAGGCATACACTTTCTAGGACTTTACAAATAAGAACACCTTTAGTCCCTACAGCAACCCTCCCATGAGGTATGTGCTTGCTGTTCTTTGTCCCTATTTTACCTTTTTTTATTATACTTTAAGTTCTAGGATACATGTGCACAACGTGCAGGTTTGTTACATAGGTATACATGTGCCATATTGGTTTGCTGCACCCATCAACTTGTCATTTACATTAGGTATTTCTCCTAACACTATCCCTCCCCCAGCCCCCACTCCCCAACAGGCCCTGGTGTGTGATGTTCCTCTCCCTGTGTCCATGTGTTCTCATTGTTCAACTCCCACCTATGAGTGAGGACATGCAGTGTTTGGTTTCCTGTCCTTGTGATAGTTTGCTGAGAATGATGGTTTCCAGCTTCATCCATGTCCCTGCCAAAGGACATGAAATCATCGTTTTTTATAGCTGCATAGTATTCCATGGTGTATATGTGCCACATTTTCTTTATCCAGTCAATTATTGATGGACATTTGGGTCGGTTCCAAGTCTTTGCTATTGTGAATAGTGCCACAGTAAACATACATGTGCATATGTCTTTATAGTAGCATGATTTATAATCCTTTGAGTATATACCCAGTAATGGGATTGCTGGGTCAAATGGTATTTCTAGTTCTAGATCCTTGAGGAATTGCCATACTGTCTTCCACAATGGTTGAACTAATTTACACTCCCACCAACAATGTAAAAGTGTTCCTATTTCTCCACACCCTCTCCAGCACCTGTTGTTTCCTGACTTTAATGATCGCCATTCTAACTGGCATGAGAAATCTCATTGTGTTTTTGATTTGCATTTCTCTGATGACCAGTGATGATGAGTATTTTTTCATATGTCTGTTGGCTGCATAAATGTCTTCATTTGAGAAGTATCTGTTCATATCCTTTGCCCACTTTTTGATGGGGTCATTTGTTTTTTTCTTGTAAATTTGTTTAAGTTCTTTGTAGATTCTGGATATTAGTCCTTTGTCAGATGGATAGATTGCAAAAATTTTCTCCTATTCTGTAGGTTGCCTGTTCACTCTGATGATAGTATCTTTTGCTGTGCAGAAGCTCTTTAATTAGATCCCATTTGTCAATTTTGGCTTTTGTTGCCATTGCTTTTGGTGTTTTAGTCATGAAGTCTTTGCCCATGCCTATGTCCTGAATGGTATTGCCTAGGTTTTCTTCTAGGGTTTTTATGGTTTTAGGGCTTACATTTAAGTCTTTAATCCATCTTGAGTTAATTTTTGTGTAAGGTGTTAGGAAGGGATCCAGTTTTAGCTTTCTACATATGGCTAGCCAGTTTTCCCAGCACCATTTATTAAATAGGGAATCCTTTCCCCATTGCTTATTTTTGTCAGGTTTGTCAAAGATCAGATGGTTGTAGATGTGCAGTGTTATTTCTGAGGCCTCTATTCTGTTCCATTGGTCTATATCTCTGTTTTGGTACCAGTACCATGCTGTTTTGGTTACTGTAGCCTTGTAGTATATTTGAAGTCAGGTAGCATGATGCCTCCAGCTTTGTTCTTTTTGCTTAGGATTTTCTTGCCTATGCCGGCTCTTTTGGTTCCATATGAAATTTAAAGTAGTTTTTTCCAATTCTGTGAAGAAAGTCAGTGGTAGCTTGATGGGGATGGCATTGAATCTATAAATTACCTTGGGCAGTATGGCCATTTTCACGATATTGATTCTTCCTATCCATGAGCATGGAATGTTCTTCCATTTGTTTGTGTCTTCTTTTATTTCGTTGAGCAGTGGTTTGTAGTTCTCCTTGAAGAGGCCCTTCACATCCTTTGTAAATTGGATTCCTAGGTATTTTATTCTCTTTGTAGTAATTGTGAATGGGAGTTCACTCATGATTTGGCTCTCTGTTTGTCTGTTATTGGTGTATGGGAATGCTTGTGATTTTTGCACATTGATTTTGTATCCTGAGACTTTGCTGAAGTTGCTTATTAGCTTAAGGAGATTTTGGGCTGAGACGATGGGGTTTTCTAAATATACAGTCATGTCATCTGCAAACAGAGACAATTTGACTTCCTCTTTTCCTAATTGAATACCCTTTATTTCTTTCTCTTGACTGATTGCCCTGGCCAGAACTTCCAATACTGTGTTGATAGGAGTGGTGAGAGAGGGCATCCCTGTCTTGTGCCGGTTTTCAAAGGGAATGCTTCTAGTTTTTGCTCATTCAGTATGATATTGGCTGTGGGTTTGTCATAAATAGCTCTTATTATTTTGAGATACATTCCATCAATACCTAGTTTATTGAGAGTTTTTAGCATGAAATGCTGTTGAATTTTGTTGAAGGCCTTTTCTGCGTCTATTGAGATAATCACGTGGTTTTTGTCGTTGGTTCTGTTTATGTGAAGGATTACATTTACTGATTTGCATATGTTGAACCAGCCTTGCATCCAGGGATGAAGCCAACTTGATTGTGGTAGATAAGCTTTCTGATGTGCTGCTGGATTCGGTTTGCTAGTATTTTATTGAGGATCTTCGCATCGATGTTCATCAGGGATATTAGCCTAAAATTCTCTTTTTTTGCTGTGTCTCTGCCAGGCTTTGGTATCAGGATGATGCTGGCCTCATAAAATGAGTTAGGGAGGATTTCTTCTTTTTCTATTGATTGGAATAGTTTCAGAAGGAATGGTACCAGCTCCATTTTGTACCTATCCCTATTTTACCATTAAGGAAGCTGACACACAGATAAATTACTTGCCTAAGTCAGTGGCAAGTCCCTTAAGTCACTGGCAAAGCCAGGATTTGAATCTGGGCTAGCCTGGAACCTGGCTTCTTTGCTGCTGTGCCACACTGTGCTTCTCTATGTCAGTGCAACTTCCAAGTTTTGGTGGAAATCTACCACCATAAAGTAGCTTCCTCTCCCAACTTTATTCTCTTAGTTCCCATTCTCCTAATCACCCAAACTTGGTGACTTCAGCTCTTCTCTCCCTCCTGTCCCATAATAACCACTCACTCCTAGGTCCTATGTATTCTCTAAAACTGTCCTGTGATCCCAGAGCCATCTCTCAGAACACAGTTTGTGGTTTTCCAGCCTGGATCACTGCAGTAGTGCCCCTGACTCCAGCTCTTCCCTTTCTGTTTATCTCCCCCCGCCTTTTTTTTTTTTTTTTTTAACCTCCCAGTGCACCACTTTCTCCATGTCATTCTCGTGCTTGCAAACCTTCAAGGCATCCTCATTGATCATAAATTGAACACAAGGTCTTGCTTCTAAGACAGCGAGAACAGTCAGGGCTTGGGTTCAAATAGCACCGCTGCCGCCGTTTTACCCTGTGACCCTGCAGGATGGGGATGGGACTCACTCAGAGAGGCTTTAAGATCAGATGTGCAAAAGCGTACATAGAGTGGCTGAGAAAATACAAGCACTTGGTCTCCAGAGTGAGTTGGTGCTTAACAAATGTTCACTCCTATGCTGTTTTGCTGTTTTTCCGGCATCTACCTTGTAACAACTCTACCAAATCCCTTTATCTTTGGACTTCTCTTCCTGCCCTCACCCCTTTGCACTTAGCTCCGCTCACTGCATTGCTCTGCTCTGCTTACACTGTCAAACCCCCTCTGAACTCAACTAAAGGAGCCTCCCTCTCCCTCAGGCCTTGGCGACCTGTTCTTCCCATGAACTACTAGAGTGGTTGCCACTTGAACAACGCCTGGGTTTTTTGGACCATTCGAATTTCAGAAAACTTGGTGGGGAAAAGGGACTGTCAGAGTAATACCCCCTCTTTTTTTTTTTTTTAACCAAGTAAGAATATTAAGAGAAACAACGATCCTAATTTCATGTGAAAAAGAATATTTTAATAATAACAAAAAGGGTGGGTGGGGGGACAAGCTCACCCTAGAGCAAAGGACAGTCTTTTAAATTATATAAGCTTAGCTTTAGTTAAAAACTTGACTCTTCAGTCTTGTTTCTACCATTCTAATAGAAACCAGTGATGCCTGCCACTTATTTGAGTGTATATGGCTCATTTCCCATCCTCCTTATAAGCTCTGGATTCTGGGCTGGGCACAGTGGCTCACACCTATAATCCCAACACTTTGCGGCCCAAGGTGGGAGGATCTCTTGAGGCTAGGAGTTCAAGACCAGGCTGGGCAACAGAGTGAGACCCTGTCTCTACAAAAATAAAAATTAGCCAGGCGTGGTGCCGTGCACCTGTAGTCCCAGCTACTCGGGAGGCTGAGGTGGGAGGATTGCTTGAACCCAGGAGTTTAAGGCTACAGGGAACTATGATCTCCCTACTGCACTCCAGCCTGAGTGACAGAGCAAGACCCTGTCTCCAAAAAAAAAAAAAAAAAAAAAAAATTAGTCACAAACATTTTCATGTTGTTTGGGTATTTGTTTTTCCATTCAACATTTAATCCTTGAGTAGGTCCTAGCAGTCTGGGCAGTGTCTTAGGGACTAAGGTATTATAAAAAGATAGGAGACTGGGTGTGGTGGCTCATGCCTATAATCCCAACACTTTGAGAGGCCAAGGCAGGAGGATCACTTGAGCCCACGGGTTCAAGATCATCTTGGGCAACATAGCGAGACCCAGTCTCTACAAATAATTTTAAAAATCAGCCATGTGTGGTGGTGCACGCCTGTAGTCTCAGCTACTTGGGGAGTTGAGGCAGGAGGATCCCTTGAGACTAGGAGGTCAAGGCTGCAGTGAGCCGTGATTGCACCACTGTACTCCTGCCTGGGTAACAGAGTGACACAAAATTCTGTTTAATAAAAATTAAATGATAGGGTTCCAGCCTTAGAGGGACTGCGTTTCAAGTGAGAGAGAGGGATGAATGTCCAGTCACCAGTGGGGACGTTGTGCTGAGGAAGGGCAGCCTAGACCTTGAAAGGGAGCGAAGAGGTGGGTTGGGGCTCCCTGCAAAGTATGCCACCTGACTTGGGGTTCCCAAGGAGTTCAGAATGGTTGGAATTTAGTCACAGGAAGCAAGGAAGGAGATGTTGAGAGATGGGCTAGGGAGGTAACAGAGACCAGCCCTCAAAGTCCTTCTTTATCATTCTTAGAAATTTGAACCTTAGGCTGGGCTCGGTGGCTCACGCCTGTAATCCCAGCACTTTGGGAGGCCGAGGCGGGCAGATCATGAGGTCAGGAGATTGAGACCATCCCGGCTAACACGGTGAAACCCCATCTCTCCTAAAAAAAAAAATACAAAAAATTAGCCGGGGAGGGTGGTGGGCGCCTGCAGTCCCAGCTACTCGGGAGGCTGAGCCAGGAGATTGGCATGAACCCAGGAGGCGGAGCTTGCAGTGAGCCGAGATTGCGCCACTGCACTCCAGCCTGGGCGACAGAGAGAGACTCTGTCTCAAAAAAAAAAAAAAAAAAAGAAAGGAAAAGAAATTAGAACCTTGGGCCAGGCGCGGTGGCTCACGCCTGTAATCCCAGCACTTTGGGAGGCTGAGGCGTGCGGATCACAAGGTCAAGAGATTGAGACCATCCTGGCCAACATGGTGAAACCCTGTCTCTACTGAAAATACAAAAAATTAGCTGGGCGTGTTGGCACACACCTGTAGTCCCAGCTACTCCGGGAGGCTGAGGCAGGAAAATCACTTGAACCCGGGAGGCGGAGCTTGCAGTGAGCTGAGATCGTGCCAGTGCACTCCAGCTGGGAGACAGAGCGAGACTCCGTCTCAAAAAAAGAAAAGGAAGGAAGGAAGGAGATTGGAACCTTATTCTGAAGGAAACAGGAGCTATTGAAAAGGTGTCCTATAACCCCAATTCTGCTAAAGAGATGGAGAGAGAAAGAACTGGAATGATAGGAACATGTGTACAAGTGCAGCTCTATTCTGACAGGACACTAGGAAGAGGCACACCAGACTGAGTTACATACAGAGAAGGGGGGAGCACATTCAGAGGGGTCATCACCTCGTCTGTCTTGAGCTACTAGAGAGAGAGAGAAGGGAAGGTGAAAGTGTGTTGATTAAAGAAAATTTGGAGATTGGGGGAAGATTTTTTTAAATTTTACTTAATCATCCAGCCACCAATATATATCAGTTTTAAAATGTTGGTCCAGTTTGGGTGCAGTGGCTCACACCTGTGATCCCAGCACTTTGGAAGACTGAAGTAGGTGGATCACTTGAGCTCAGGAGTTTGAGACCAGCCTGGCCAACATGGGAAAACCTGTCTCTACTAAAAATACAAAAAAATAGCCGGACGTGGTGGCACAGGCCTAGAGTCCCAGCTACATGGGCTGCTGCGGCAGGAGGATCGCTTGAACCTGGGAGGTCAAGGCTGCAATGAGCTGAGATAGTGCCAGTAACACTCCAGCCTGGGTGGCAAAGTGAGACCCTGTCTCAAATAAATAAATTAAATGTTGGTCCACTTTCTGCCAGACCTTTCTTCTGGCATGTAAGTTTTCTGCTTCTTTCTCTTTTTCAAATATCGTTGTCTTCATACTGAGGTACAATTTGGTGTCCAGCTTTTTTCACTTCATACTTTATCCTAAGCACTTTCTTCAGTTGACTCCCCTGTTTCCTTGTTTTTAGAAACTCGGGTTTTTCTGGTGCTTTACTCTCATAAACAATAGTGCAGTGCATGATTCTTATGGATTAAGCTTTTTCTGAATTTAGGATTAGTACCCTGGAGTACAATCCTAGATTTGGGCTCATTGAGTAAAAGGCTAGAAACATCTTTTTTTGAGACAGAGTTTCACTCTTGTTGCCCAGGCTGGAGTGCAATGGTGTGATCTCGGCTCACTGCAACCTCCACCTCCTGGGTTCAAGTGATTTTCATGCCTCAGCCTCCCAAGTAGCTGTGATTACAGGCACCCATCACCACGCCCAGCTAATTTCTTGAATTTTTAGTAGAGATGGGGTTTCACCATGTTGGCCAGGGTGGTCTCGAACTCCTGACCTCAGGTTATCCACTCGTCTCAGCCTCTCAAAGTGCTGGGATTATAGGCATGAGCCACCACGCCCAACCTTAGAAACATCTTAAAGCTACATCATATCACCAGATTTCCTTGCAGGGGGCTGAATCAGCTTATACCGGGGGCAACCATAGAGTGCCCATTTCTCCTGCATCCCTACGTGACACTCTGCTTTCTGTGGGGCAGCCTTGTTATTGCGAAGAACCAGTACTACTAACGTGCTTTTTTAAAAAACAAAAATTGTAATAGCTTCAAGGCTGCATACACGTTGCCAGAGGAAAAGCCTGAGGGGATGGGTGGATATCGCCTTTTAATTTGCTGTTAGTTTTCCATAAAGGAACAAATGCCTAAAACTTTCCAAAACTTAGTCTAAGTTTGGACAGATCCCTGTGTCTTGAAATCTTGGTCCCCTCAGGAATAATGCTCTATTTAGAGAGGAAGAACATATAAATGTTCCCAGAAACATTATAGGGTACTTGAAAATCCTTTGGAACATCTGCAAGTATCTTGCAGATGAACGAGGTTACTAAGCTGGCCAGCAGGAACAGCCAGGTCTAATGTGCGCCCCCAGGAAGCCAGGCCTGTTGAGGTGGGTCTGTTAGAGAGCCCCAGGCTGTAGGGTTGCCCACCTGACTCAGCTGCCCAAGCATCTCTCCTCTGTCTGGCGCTTCCTCCTAGCATCCTGGTTTGTATTCCTACTTTGAGTTGAAACTGGGCTTTTCACTCCTGAGTAGCTCTAGAAGACCTAAGAACCACTTCACATCTGAGAATGATCAATTGTTGGCTGAGATGACAGAGTTATCTGGTCCAACTATTTGTTGCCTGGCCTCTGCCTGAACACCTGCAGTGATGGGGGCAGCCTAGAGCAAACTGAATTCCTCCTCGTCCACGTGACAGCCTTTCACTTTTCAGATCACCTTCCTCACACTGATGGTCTCATACAACATCATTTTGAATGTCCTCAGCTCTCTGCACCACCCACCCAACTCCACTCTGGGCCACCGCTGGTGTATCCAAGATCAGGACACCAGTCCCTGGGCACCAGGGAGTATGCTGGCCACTGAAGCAGCTTCGTTTTTCCGGCACCCATGTTGTAAAATCGACTCCCCCAAAAGTTATTGTCCACATGTGTAACTGTCCCTCCCACCATGTCCCCTTCCACACACTATTTCCCACCCCTGGCATGGGTATAGGACGTCATTTCTGTTAACCTTGTGTTGGTGGGTTTATCTCTTTTTTCTAGCGTAGTGTAGGGATTGAGGGTGCAGACCCTTTGGTCAGGGTAGGTTTAGATCCCACCCTGGGTGAGTCAGAGAGCTTCCCTGTGCCTCCGTTTCTTCATCTGTAAAATGAGACCCTCAACAGCCCCTACTTCAGATAGTGCTCAAGAGGATTGAGTTAATGTTAGCGAAGGACTTCGGATGGTGCCTGGTATGCTGTAAGATGGGTGTCATTTCTCATTGTCACACCGTTGAGAGTCCAGATCTTCATCATGTTTCCTCTGCATCTGACTGGTGAGCCTCCCAGATCAGCAGCCCACAAGGCGATCGGGTCAGGGCTGAGTAGCTGCCAGCAGAGGCTGGAGACTTGAGGCTGTCGTGCAATCCATTCTCGCCTTTGTCTGCTTTCTGTCTTTTGTTTTCTGCTCTGTGTGTGTTTGTTTTTGTGATTGTTATTTTAAGTCTCTCTCAGGAATGCTTCGTGATGCTCAGCCCGGTCAAGCGATCTGTATACATCCTCCATTATTTCTTCTCCATTTCTTTTTAATCATATTTCCTCCTCTGAACTTCTACCCTCAGATTTATTCATTATCTAACAAATACTGATGGTGCAGCTCCATGGCCCAAAGCTGTTCTGGGGGCCACAGCAGTGATATGAGTGTCCTGGGGAAGCTGACATTCCACGGACACAAGCAGCCATTCGTCTGTCTCATTCCGCCAAGACCTCTGTGAGGTCTTGTTGACCCCTTTGCATGATGATCTTAAGTTTGTTCACCACTGTTCAGCATATGGGCATTAAACCCTATTTTTGCATTCTCCTTCCCACTATTTTCTCCTACTGATTAAGCGGTATCTCCTCCACTGTTATTTTTCTTCCAGTGACATATTCAGGAAGAGCAAGATCTCAAAAAATATAAATGTTGATGTTCCCCATCCAATCCCGGTTGTCATTAGAATGTTTATACTTATCCACGCAGTGCTTCAGTTCTGGAATATATTCATCTTTACCTTACCCTGGTTAGCAATAACAGCAACAGGAATTAAAACCAGTGGGCTACTGTTACAGCTTGGCAGGTGTAACTTCAGAGAACAAAGGGGATTCTTTTTTGTTTTTTGTTTGTGATTTTGTTTATTCATTTATTTATTTTTTTGAGACAGGGTCTCCCTCTGTCACCCAGGCTAGAGTGCAGCGAAATCACAGCTCACTGCAGCCTCGACCTCCTGGGCTCAAGAGATCCTCCCACCTCAGCCTTCTCAGTAGCTGGGACTACAGGTATGTGCCACCATGCCTGGCTAACTTTTTGGGTTGTTTTGTAGAGAAGAGGTCTCCCTGTGTTGCCCAGGCAGGTTTTGAACTCCTGGGCTCAAGAGATCCACCCTCTTCAGCCTCCCAAAGTGCTGGGATTACAGGTGTGAGCCCCCACACCCATCCTGGAGATTCTTCTTCATTTTCTCCTGACCTGAAGAGTCAGCACACTTTCTTTTTGTGTTCTCTAAAAAGGTTAAATTCAGAGATTTTTTTTTTTTTTTTTTTAGATGGAGTCTCGCTCTGTTGCCAGGCTGGAATGCAATGGCGTGATTTCGGTTCACTGCAACCTCCGATTCTCTGGTTCAAGTGATTCTCCTGCCTCAGTCTCCTGAGTAGCTGGGATTACAGGCACACACCACCACGCCTGGCTAATTTTTGTATTTTTAGTAGAGATAGGGTTTCACCATGTTGGCCAGGATGGTCTCGATCTCCTGACCTCGTGATCTGCCCGCCTCAGCCTCCCAAAGTACTGGGATTACCAGCGTGAGCCACTGCACTCAGCCAGAGAATTATTTTTAACATGCTATAAAATTAACTTTTGGGGTTTTAACAAATTGTACCACCACAATCATGATATAGAACAATTCCACCCACCCCCAAATTTCCCTGGGCATCCCCTTTGTAGTGAGCCCCAAACCCTGGCAACTGCTGATCCACTCTCCATCCCTCTGGTTTTGCCTTTTCCAGGATATAAGTGGATTCGTATGGTGTGTAGCCTTTTGATTCTGGCTTCCTCTGCTCACTAATATGCACTTGAAATTCATCCACATTGCTGCAGGTATTAGTAGTTCTTTTTCATTACCGAGCGGTTTTCCGTTGTATGGATGAACCCGTGTTTGTTTATTCATTCATCTGCTGAAGAACATTTGGATTGTTTCTAGTGTGGGAAGATTATGTATATAACTGTTATAAATAGTCACGTAAAGTTTTTGTGTGAGAATATAATCTTCTAATAAGGCATTTCACTTTTCATCTCTCTTGTTCCACTCTGCTTTTTTCATTTCTTTTCTTTTTTCTTTTCTTTTTTTTTTTTTTTTTTTTTTCGAGATGGAGCCTCGCTCTTTCGCCAGGCTGGAGTGCAGTGGCATGATCTCAGCTCACTGCAACCTCTGCCTCCCAGGTTCAGGCGATTCTCCTGCCTCAGCCTCTCGAGTAGCTGGGAATACAGGCACCTGCCAACACGCTCAGCTAATTTTTGTATTTTTAGTAGAGATGGGTTTTCACCATGTTGGCCAGGATGGTCTCGATCTCTTGACCTTGTGGTCCACCCACCTCGGCCTCCCAAAGTGCTGGGATTACATGTGTGAGGCACCACACCTGGCCATTCCACTCTGATTTTAAAGGTTGTGGAAATTTTGGTAGAAACTCTGCCTGGTAAGTTACAGATGGTACTGCATCTTTTGAAGGAATGCCCCCATTCTTTCAAAAGATTGATTTCACGAATTCCCAAACATATGCCAAAGAATTTCTCACCTCTTGAGAAGTCTTGGACCACATTCCCCATCTGCTGGAATTTATGTTCTGCCCGAAGTGGATCGCCTACTTAACTTTTAATTTTTTGTCTGTGGGTTGATACCTTTCTAAATCACAAAATCACCATGATGCTAAGCAAAAGATGAAGACGCTAAAGGTGGTGAGGTCCAGGAAACTCAGAATAGGGCTTTGTCGTCTCATGGACACATGGGAAGAAAGGTGAGGTCAGCTTGAGTGTGCAGATGTTGGCATCATTGAAGGTGAAAGGGTGGCTTGGATTGCAGAGGCTCTGCAGGAGAGGGTTGCTGGGGATGGGCCGAGGTTTGGGGATTTAACTTGTTTCTGAAGGGTGTTCTCAAATCCTGCTCTGGATAATTCCCCAACTACCATTTAATCAGCTCCATTAAACCCTGCCCTGTCTAGCGCACTGTGCTCCAGACAGGGCTCTCCTGGGCTCCCAGTAATAGCTCAATTGTGTGTAAGTGGCTGTGAAGAGGCTCTGTGTGCTGGATGAATAGGCCTCATCTCCATGGAAACCAGAGCTTACTGAGGGGCTGACCTCTGACCCACTTGTTGCCACCATACTGTTAACCACTGGTACCTCTTGGGTGGAGAAAGAAAGCAAGGAAATGGCTGTCAGAATTGTTTTCATTTTCCCTTAGTTTAGGCCTGGGTCCCCACTAAGTACAAATAACACGCTCATATTAATCCAAAGCACTTGGATGTGAGTTTGGCTTCATTATGGACTTTGTCTGTCCCTACCCTGTCTCCCCGAAGCCATTTCTTTATCCTACAATCTAGGATGCAGTGGAGTGAGCAGGGTTGGTTTATCACCACCCTCTGGGGATGCTGGGAATGTGGTTCCTAAGGGGCAGTGTGGAAAAGAGGAAGGCCCCGTGCTGGGAGCCCCACCCCCTAGGCTCAGGGCTGGCTCCCTTGTGGTGTGACCATGGGCACATTTCCTCATCTGTACCATGGAGCTAATCCCTACCTGCAGCCCAGAAGCCTCGCGGAGCTCAACTAGGAAGAGGCAGCCAATGTGTTATACCTGTGACGCTCTCCACTAGCCAAGGCATTAGGATCTTAAGGGCAAGGGCAAAACAGGTACCTTTTTAGCAATGACATAAATAAAAACTTGGCTACACCTTATAAGGGGCCAGGTGCGGTGTGGCTCATGCCTGTAATCCCAACACTTTGGGAGGCCAAGGTGGGAGCACTGCTTGAGCCCAGGCATTCAAGATCAGCCTAGGTAACATAGGGAAAGTCTGTCTCTACCAGAAATAAAAACCCACCAGGCTGGGTACTGTGGCTCATGATTGTAATCCCAGCACTTTGAGAGGCGGAGGCAAGAGGATCGCTTGAGCCCAGGAGTTCAAGACCAGCTAAGCAATATAGTGAGACCTCGCCTCTACAAAAAAAATCAAAAAATTAGCCAGGCATGGTGGCATGCCCTCAGCTACTTGGGGAGCTGAGGTGAGAGGATTGCCTGAGCCCTGGAGGTCAAGGCTGCAGTGAGCTGTGATTGCACTGCTGCACCCCAGCCTGGGTGACAGAGCAAGACCTTGTCTCAAACCACGCCATCCCCCCCCCAAAAAAAACCCAACCTTGAGACTCATGCCAAGATGGCTTTAACAACCCTGAAGTGAGTTATTCACTCAAGCCCGGTCTGTATCAGTGAGTATTTCAGACCCTATGGCACTCTGTCCATACAGGCAGATTTTTCTGGACTCTGTTCTTTGCTTTGAGATGACCTGGGTCACCATGGTTGTCCTGGACTCCAGGAGACATCACAGGCAAAATCAGGTCCATACTTCCCCCGTTTGTCTGCAGAGAGGCCTCTGGTGTGGGTCAGATCCAGGGGCTTTCCTTCTATGTTTGCAGCTGGAGGCCTCTGGATGCAATTGTGTGAACCCCCTGGTGTGTCCCTGGAGCCCCAGAATGTAAGAATGAATTTTCAAGAGAAAGGTGAGAGACAGGTGCTGGGCTTGTCAGATTTCTGGCTGGGAGGCATCCCATAAGGTAAGTCAGGTAATTTCTTGGAAAGAGAGCCTTGCCGGGGATCAGTTATATGTATCTACCCATGTATCATGCTCTGGGGGCTGTGTTGGGGGCAGGGGCAACATAAGAGGTAAACAGAGTCCCAAGTCTGAGCTCCTGGGAGAAAGTCAGAATGCAAAGTAACAATTTCATTTTAGAGGAGCGTCAAAAGTCTCATGGCTTTCTAGGAATTGCCGAGTAATAGGAACCAGGAGGAGAGAAGGAGGGACTGCAGGGTCATTTGCAGTGACTGAGATTTCCAAATGCTTTGTTCCCTAAACCTGTCTACCACCACGGGGCGAGGGCATCAGCTCTTTGCATCCCTCAGACCCCAGGTCACTGTCGTAAGCTCTTTTCTTGGAACTCTGATCTCAGATAACCTGCATTAGTCTGAAATAGGATGCTGAGATACCACCATAGGCTCAGGAGAGGTGCTTTTTAGACCTTTCTGGTTGGGTTTTCCCATCTGCCCTGAAGTATGGTCCAGGAGGTGGTGATCATTTGGAGCACGTCTTAGGACTGGAGAGGCCCAAAATACCTTCAAGCCTTTTGTTATAGTTCTAAGGTATTTGTTAGAACTCCTGGACAGTTTGTCTAGTGGTTTGTTGTGTTTTTTAAAATTTCCAGCAACTTGCCCACACACTTGGCCAAGCTTTGGACTGAGAAGGATGCAGTGGTGCAATCACAGCTCACAGTTATAACAAGGATCCTTCACTGGATCCTTGTTATAACTGTGGCCCCTGATTGGAGCCCTGGTGACTCCGAGGTCTGCAGTGCAGCCCCCTCTCAGCCTGTCGCTTGCTGTCTGGGGCTTCCACAGTGTGGAGCAGCTGCTCCTTTCCTGGGCTACAGGAAGGCTATGTACAACCTGCACAGGCATCCACAGGATCACTCACTCTAAGTGGTTCAACATGCTTTTCCATCCTCAGAAAATGTCACTATCCATGTACCAACTATTTACAGGAGATTGGGTTGGGGGCAGTGTTCCCTCTGCCCCAAGTTGTGGGGAGCCAGAAATACACATATATTAACCCTGGGCTTGGAGAGTGGAGAAGAGAGCATCTCTTCATTCTGCAGCTGTGTAAACAGTGGGGTTGGGGGGTGGGTTGCAAAGCTAAGGATAATGGGGGAGGGAGGAGGGGCATGAAGAAGGAGGGAGGGGGCTGGTGGGGGGCTGCCAAATCAGGCAGGGTCAGGGAGGAGAGGGTAAGAACAGGAGGCCTAAAGCGGGGTTCGCGGGCTCCCTGGCTCTTCACATATGGAGGACATGCCTCCGCAGAAGCGGGAGGCATGCAAGCAAAGTGTGAGCGGACAAAGAGGAAAGTGACGCAGGGGGAAGGTGATGCGGGCAGGACCCAACAGGTGGTGGCATTCCAGGCGAAGGAGGCTTCCGCCCTGGGCCGCCAGGGTCAGTGGGAGGAAAGGCTCTCCCTGCCTGGCTCAGTTGAAGCAGATGATTATTAGGTTCCTGCTGTATACCCAGAGCAGCCCTGGCGCAGTGGCAGCGAGCGAGGGAGGTGGAGATTCAGTTGTGTAAGACATAGGCACTATTCACTAACAGTCCATAAGTGCATGGGGAAGAAAGGCCAGCACACAGACGACTCCAGGCTTCGGCACTTTGTGTCCTGTGAAGGGTTTTGGAGGAAGGGGAGGAGCCCCGAAGTCAGGGCAGGCAGCGGGAGGCGGGCTTAGGAGCTTCAGCTGGGGCAGGGAAGGCCGTTCTCCAGGTACTGGGGGAAGGGCACAAGCAAACAGAGACACGGAGCCTTCAGCTGCCTTATCTGCAAGGAAGATGACTACTCTTTTGGGGGGATTCAGAGCAGCATCTTATCCGGCACATGGCACCCGTGGTAGGAACTGAGTCATCCCGCACAGCCGGGGCCGTGATTCCTTCATTGATTCTTCCTTCAACGCTTCCTTATGGATTGCCTTCTGCCTCCAGTCACTGTCCTAGGAGCTGAGGATGGGGCAGAAAACCACACAGGCAAAGTCTATGCCCTCATGGATATCACATTCTGCTGGGGGGAAACAGAGAGTGAACAGATGGAAACACCCAGACAGTAATGATACACCATACAGAGGACTGCGCAGCACAGTGGGGTAGTATCTGAGGGGCTACTTTAGGTTGGATGGACAGGGAACAATCTTTTGGAGCATTTTATTTATTTATTTATTTATTTATTTATTTATTTATTTATTTATTTATTTATTTTTCTTGAGACAGGGTCTTACTCTGTCGCCCAGACTGGAGTGTCGTGGCGCAATTTCCACTCACTGCTGACTCCGCCTCCCGAGGTCAAGCAGTTCTTCTGCCTGAGCCTTCCAAGTAGCTGGGACTACAGGCGTGATCCACCACCACACCGACTAATTTTTGTATTTTTAGTAGAGATGGAGTTTCATCATGTTGGCCAAACTGGTATTGGAGCATTTTAAACAGGGGTCCAGGGGTATGACTAAATCTGATATAAAATTTAACGTAATTCCTTAACTGTGTAGAATTTAACTGTGTAGAAAAGAGATGGAAGGAAGGGTTAAGAGTTGGGTCCCTGTTTTGGAGATGTATATACCCCACTTCCCTCACTGGACCAGCCCGCCAGGCTGAGGCTCCCCCTGCAGTCCCTGTATGCTCCTTCCTATGCAGTCGGAGGCCTTCCCTGTGGTCCTTTGCCCTGCTTCTCTGCTGCTGTGAGGGTTGCTCCCTGCCCTCCAGACCCCTCCCTGCCCTGCCACGGACACAGACCCCAGGCAGCATCCCTCCCCCTCATGCTGGGCACAGTGTGGACTGTTTCTCCTCTATGTGCAAACTCATCACAGTGTGGACTGTTTCTCCTCTATGTGCAAACTCTTCCCAACCCATCATGCCCTGGAAGATGCCATGCCCCCAAACGCAGTGGGAGCAGTGGATTTGGCCCAGGTCTGTCCCTGGCCTGCTGGATGACTTTGCACCAATCTCTCCAGGGTGGTACTGTCCAATAAAAATGAAATATAAGCTGAAGCAGTAATTTTAAATTTTCATGTAGCCACATTAAAAGAGAATGAAGATCGGGCGCAGTGGCTCATGCCTGTAATCCAGGCACCTTGGGAGGCTGAGACAGGCAGATCACTTGAGGTCAGGAGTTCGAGACCAGCTTGACCAACATGATGAAACCCCATCTCTACTAAAAATACAAAAAATTTAGCCGGGCATGGTGGCACGCACCTGTTAATCCCACCCACTGGGGAGGATGAGGCAGGAGAATCACTTGAACCTGGGAGGCAGAGGTTGCAATGAGCCAAGATCGCGCCACTGCACTCCAGCCTGGGCAACAGAGCGAGACTCCATCTAAAAAAAAAAAAAAAAACAAAAAAAAAACAAGAATGAAAAGGAAGCAAGTAAATTAATTTTAATAGTATATCTTATGTAACCCAATTCATCAACAGTATTAGCATTTCAACATGTAATCAATTTAAAGACTGATTACTGAGACGTTGGATGTTCTTTTCTCGTACTGAGTGTTCCGTGTGTGTTTCCTGTGGCCTGCATGCCATTTCCAGGGCTCCATAGCCACATGTGGCAAGTGGCCACTGCACTGCATGGACCACGTTGCACAGAGCAGCTCTGGGAGCCTCCCTTTCCTCCTCTGCACAATGGAGATGATTATGTCCCTGCACCTCCCTCTCTCACAAGGCTGTTGTGAACACAGAGGAAGCCGGGGGACTGCTGTGGAGATGAAGGATGTTTTAAACCTCAGGCTGTCATCGCAGAGGGTGTGGATGGCAAACCGGAGAGGAGTCAAAGGGCTGATATGGGAACTTCCCTCCTGTTTCTAACAGTTCCCGTGTTAGAGGTGAAGGAGATAACTGAGAAACACACAGATGATAAAACCATTGGCTGGGCATGGTGGCTCACACCTGTAATCCCAGCACTTTGGGAGGCCAAGGTGGGTGGATCGCCTGAGGTCAGGAGTTTAAGACCAGGCTGGCCAACATGGCCAAACCCCATCTCTACTAAAAATACAAAAAAAAAAAAAAAATTAGCTGGACATGGTGGCGAGTGCCTGTAATCCCAGCTACTCTGAGGCAGGAGAATCGCTTGAACCCAGGCGGCAGAGGTTGCAGTGAGCCAAGATCACACCAGTGCACTCCAGCCTGGGCAACAGAGCAAGACTCTTGCCTCAAAAAAAAAAAAAAAAAAATCAGTTGCCTGAAATAGTGCTTGTACTTACAGATTAAGTCACCAAGGGGCAGAATTTTGTGCCTGCTGAAATTTGAAAAAATAGTCTTGCAGCCAAAAGAGAGAAAAATGTGTTTCTTTCCTAAACTATGGTAATAGTAAAAGTATGTGATGCTTTTTGTTAAGTTTTATTTTAATGGAAATATTAAATCTGTGCCTTTTGTTTTTGTTTTTAAGGAAATGGAGAAAGGAAGGAAGCTGGAGGGTTTAAATTCATTATGCTAGCTTTAGATTCTGCAAAATCAGGAAATCAGAAAGTACAAGTTCTCAGAGTTAGTGACATTTAACTCAATTGGGAAGGGCCCGCCCAAGGTCACCCTTTTAAAGGGTTTGTCTTCCTTTTCAACATTTTTTACACAGCATGTCTTTTGGAGCTCAGCAGTTTTTGCTCTCTTTCTTTCTCAGTGTGGGAACAGAAGTTGGCACACGAGTATTTTCCTCATTTGACTCTTGAAATGCCCTGTCCTCAGTGCCTTCTACATGGTGGTGCACAGTAGAAGTTTGTTGACTGACTCATTGAGTCTAGAGGATGGGAGCAGGGGAACAGCAGGGAAGAGCCTCTTTGCACTCTTTGATCCAGAGGACTGGATGCACTTTGTTTTTGTTTTTTTTTTTTTTTTTTTTTTTTTTTTGAGATGGAGTTTCACTCTTGTTGCTTAGGTGAATGCAATGGCACCATCTTGGCTCACTGCAACCTCTGCCTCCCGGGTTCAAGCGATTCTCCTGCCTTAGCCTCCTGACAGCTAGGATTACAGGTGCCCGCCACCATGCCCAGCTAATTTTATATTTTTAGTAGAGACAGGGTTTCACCATGTTGGTCAGGTTGGTCTCGAACTCCTGACCTCAGGTGATCTGCCCACCTTGGCCTCCTAAAGTGCTGGGATTATAGGCATGAGCCATCGGGCCCAACCTGGGTACACTTTCAAGCAGTCCTTGTTCATGCATGATAATTCAGGCCCCAGATATATTTTTATTTTATTGACTTCCTTAGAAACTTAAAAAAAGAAATTAAATACAGCCACTGTTTATTTTTAGTATTTTAACTAAACTGTCTGTTGGACTCTATTTGTATTTCCTTAGGACCTGGATAACTCCGTGAGTCCAGGAATAGTTTGCTTTTTGGTAAATATTCCTTTCAGGTTTCTCTTTGCTTGCTTGCTTTTTTTTTGGGCGGAGGGGGGCGGTGGTGCGGGGGGGCAAGAATAGATTTTTGAATCATGAGAACCTAAAAACATCTGTAAGTCTAAGGGACCATCTTAAAGAAGCCAGTGAGAACTTCTTCTATTATCTGGATCACTTAAAATCAAACCAAGCATTTACCTACAAGGCCCCAGGGGCTCTGACATTTGTGATCTCATAATTCTTCCATTGATACCATGAGGCTGGAAACCCTATGGTTGCTGGCTTCCCTGGGTCACTTGGCTGCCTCTGGGCTGCCAACATAGAACCCACGTCACATAAAGCCCCGGCCCAAGTAAAATGCCAACATCCAGGCCAAATCCACACTTTTCCATTTGTGAACATGTCGCGCTTAAGAATTACCTCCCTTCTTTCTGGGATGGCTCAAATAATGGAAGGAATGGTCCTCCATCACCTTGAGGTTTTGTCAGCTTGACGTCCTCATCCAAGCCTGACCACAGCCGTTATGACAGCATGAATGCAAACACCACCTCTCCTGACCTAGACGCTGCACCCGGCTGTGCCCGCTTCTGCTGTAGGGAGAGTCAGTGAGGTCCATCTGCAGCCTTCCTCCTTTTCCTTGAATGGGGCTTGGCATTGAGGTTTGTGCACACCCTGTATAGAAGGCAAATGTTGAGGCCAGCCTTGTCCCCAGGCTCAGTCTTCCTGAAGACTTTGTCACTCCTGCTCACAGCACCCACTTTCTCCCCTTCCACACGGGATGTGTTGCTTCCTCCTGTTTCTTCTCTTTGCAGATCTCCAGTTTTCTGTCTCCTTCAAGAAATCTCCCCAGGGCCTCTATATCCCCTTTTCTCTGCCTCCCTATTGAAGCAGATGTTTTACCTCAGCCTTTCCTAGTACACTGTACTGTTTTAAAAACTATTGAATGAAAGGGCATGTTTTCCTTTCCTTTCCCCATTTAGATTACACACCTCTGGCAGTGGGGCCTCCAGCAAGTCTTAAAGATCTCGACGCACCGACATCTTGGCACATAGTAGTTAACAATAAGTAACTGTTCAATTGGCTTCTAGTTGAACCTCATATGTCTTGGTTAACATGTGCAGGATTGGTAGGCATTCAGCCCCAATTATTCCGCCCTTAACTCATTTTTGCAGTTTATTAATAATCAGTTGGCACGCAGTTTCGAAAGAACTAATTCTGTAATAACATGTTATGGCTACTCCTCGGCGCCATTACATGCCTGAGGTCCCTTGCTGTCCCTTTGTGTTTTTGATGAAAGGTAACAGCCTGGTGTTCCCAGCCGTCACCCAGAGGTGGGAGCAGATCCGGCTGCTGCAGCTTATTGCTAGGAATGGGTGAGGCTGAGTGGAAGCTTTAGTAACTCAGGTGCGGCTCTTAAGCTTTGTTTTGAGTTTCAAAAGGGCTGTTTTGTCCCTTACTCGTGAAGTGGCCTTGTGTGACATAATGGCCCCCTCTGTGCAGGGTTCGAGGGGAAGGGAAGGGGAACATGCCCAGCGACTCCACGTGGGGAAGTTGCATTTCCACACCATTCACAGGGGATCCAGTGTTTTCGGAATTGTCTGGGTGTGAACAGCATAAGAGGTGCTAGAAACTCAGCAAGGGAAGGGGGAGCTGGGCCAGGAGGAGAAGGCTGGGGATGGGCTGAGGAGAGAGAGCTTCCTGGCCAGAGGCAGCCCCAGGCATGGGTCTTGGGTTCTGAGTGGGCAGGATTCTGGCTCAGGGTGAGAGGTGAAACTTCGTTCAGGAGATATACGCTGAGCCATCCACTACGTGCCAGGCACCTTAGAAAGGGCCGGGTATTCATATTGTGACTTCACACGGCTCCCTGCAGAGTTGACGTTGGGAGCTGCCCTGCTAGCCACGGACCACATTGTGAACAGCACCCCCTGGGGGTGGGAGATGTGGTGGGCGGAGTTCAGGATCCAGCCACAGGGAAAGAACGAACAGGCAAACTGTGGGATCCCGGCCTGCCAGGGAGGGTTCAGGGTAAAGCCTTCAGTTTGCTTGTTCATTCATTTATTCAATATTTATTGAAGGCCTCACAGGGAGGTGACAAACTCTATAGACACATACACGGGGGAAGAGCACGCCAGGCAGAGGGAACAGCAGGTGCAAAGGGGATGGCGCTTGGTAGGTTCCAGGAGCGGGCAGAACAGAGTGGCTGGAGCAGAGTGGGCAAGGCTGGGGGGCAGCACTGAAGGAGGCACAGTCAGAAAGGGGACAGGGGGCTGGTCACAGGGGCATGCAGCCCATGATGAAGCCTTTTGACTGAGATGGGGAGTAGAGAGGGGTCTTGAGCAGAAAGGTGACGTGATCCAACCTTTGTTTTAACGTAGCGCCATGGCTGCCATGATATAATCATAGACCGAAGGGGTCAAGGGTAGAAAATCAGAGACAAGTTGTTGGGCCAGTGGGGCCTGGATGGTGGCAGTAGAAATGGGGAAAGTTCTCAGATTCTGGACCCATTTTGAAGGAGGAGTGACAGGATTTGCTGATGGAACAAATGTGGGGAGCAAGAGGAAGAAGAGTTAGGAATGTCTCCTGGGCAGTGGGAAAGAAGAAAGTGTCATTGACAGAAATGGAGAAGACTGTGGGAGGGGCAGGTTTGGGAGGAAATAATTAGGAGCTCTGTTTGGGACATGTTGTATTGGAGATACTTTTTGGACATCCAGTGGGGAGAGTGATAGGTGGGGTAATTGGGTCTAGAAGTCAGGGATGAGGTCTAGGTTAGAGACAGAGACTTTAGTCATCAGCATGTTGATGGTACTTCAAGCCATGAGACTGGAGGAGATCCCTGAGACTGAAGCTGAGAAAAAAAGAGGTCAAGGGCTGAGCCGTGGGCACTACAGCTTTTGCACACTGGAGAGAAGAGCAAGAACTGGCAAAGGAGACTGAGAAGGAGCAGCCAGAGAGGTAGGAGGAGACCTGGTGGGCGCCGCATTCCTGCAGCCAAGGAGGGGAGTGTACGAAGGAAGAGGGGCTGCTGCTGAAGGTCGAGTGAGATGAGGGCTGAGAAACAACCATTAGGTTTAGCAAATGCAGGTCTTTGCTGTCCTCAAAATATAGACTTGGCACTCTGCCCGCTAGCAGGACAGATTCCAGAATAGAATCTGGTATCAAGACAGATACCAGGGAGAGGAGGCTCTTCAAAATCCCAGGCACGTCTGGCCCCCTAGGAGACTCAGGAAAAAGTCTCCAGACTTGGAACCTAAGCTGGACTGCCTTATCTGAGAAGATTGGTGTAATCAATGGTTTGGTGTCAGGCTCCCATAGAGAATGGGGTGAAGCTGACTATGGCTCAGCACTTGCTTAGGATAGTGGGCCATAGGGGGTTCCCTTCTTGGATGGAGGGCCGAAGGCAAGCCTCTTCACTGGGCATCAGTCACCAGTCCCTCTTCCCTCTAAGATGGGGTAGGTTGGCTGACAAGGCTTCCCACTGGCACAGTGCAACCAGAAGTCCCAGATGGGGACCTGGAACCATGTGGCTCATCTTTGAGCTACAAGGTCAGAGCCAGGGGCCTCTTTAAAACAGACCGGGCCAGGCACGGTGGCTCACATCTGTAATCCCAGCACTTTGGGAGGCCGAGGCGGGCAGATCACGAGGTCAGGAGATCGAGACCATCCTGGCTAACACGGTGAAACCCCGTCTCTACTAAAAAAAATACAAAAAATGAGCTGGGCATGGTGGTGGGCGCTTGTAGTCCCAGCTACTCGGGAGGCTGAGGCAGGAGAATGGCATGAACCTGGGAGGAGGAGCTGGCAGTGAGCCGAGATCGCACCACTGCATTCCGGCCTGGGCAACAGAGCGAGACTCCATCTCAAAAAAAAATTAATTAATTAAAAAAAAAAAAAAACAGACCAACAGTTGCCCATAGACCAACAGCAGTTTGTCAGATGGAAACAGTTAAAGGATGGCCATGTCCTTCTTGGGCAGTGCAGTGCCGGTTTTGGTCACCCGGTGACTGACCAGCTCTCCTTTGCCCAGAAAGATCTCCAAGTGAATGGCAGTCAGGTGTCCCCCATGAATGTGGTTTAGGACAGGACTGTCCACAGTGCTGACTCAATGCAATGGTGTTATTTATTGCTTCTGCTAGTGGTGGTGGTTGGCTTGGTTCTGATCTCCAGATGTAACAGTGCCATCCCGGCAAGTGAAATCATGCATTGGGAAAAAATCGAGGATGGACATCTCAACACAGTTGGGTGTAGTTTCCACTTGCAATTACTCATAAGCTTCACAGGCTTAGTGGAATCTTAAACTGCCCTCAAAGGAAAACTCAATTAGATCAAAATGGATTTAATTACTTAATGAATTCTAAATGTGTCAAAATTGACAGGCAAGCTTATTTGGGGGCCTGGGAGAGGGAAGTACTATGAAGAGTGTCACATGCCTTTCATGACAGAGCAGAAGGGAGCTCACCTCCCACACAGCTCCACCCACATATTCCCAGATTGACATACTTAACGACTCACATCCATTATCTCATTTCATCCTCAAAATAGTTCTAAGAATTAAGTGCAGCTGGTATAATCACTCCTATTTAATAGACAGTGAGTTGAGGCTTATTGAGGTGATGGATTTGCCCCTGGCAAGGCGAGGCTCTCCACGCAGGTCTCCTGACTTCTCCATCTGGCCGTTGCTCGGTGGGGGAGGAAGCAGCCCCTCTGACAAGTGTACTCATGGATATTGCCACCAGCATTTATTAATAACAGATGAGCCAAGTGCTCAGCAGAATTGCAATCCTAAGGACTCTCAAGCATTTCTCTCAAGATATTTTTTTCTTATCTCATGAAATCATGCAGTCTAGTCATTATCTGATACATGTACCCCCATGATGGTTTTGACCACCACCCTCCTTCCCTCTTGTCCACTTGTAGGACAGGAGAATTGCTCTGTGCCTGATGTCACCATAGGTCCTGGCTACCCACCATTCTCTGTAAAGAGTGAGTGCCAAGAGCTTTCAGTGAGGTACATTCCACTGGAGTGGGAGGTTTTAGCAGCTCTTTCCTTCATAACTGAAACAGTTGATTGATTGTGCTGTTACCAGGCTCTGTTTGTTTGCCCCACTGGGTTTGCATCCCTACAAGAAGCCCCCTCTGTCTTTTTGCAGGTGCTTGAGCAAGTACACCATGCTAGTGAGCAGTTCAACAGAATCCATTTTCTTAGAGAAACTGGTGAAGTGAACACAGCTTACCAGGATACAATATCCAAATTAGCACACTACCTTTTATTGTTATTAATATCACCATGACCGCTATTATTAACCTCTCCCTCTTATACAAACACATTCACTCATATGCATCCTATTTCAGAAGGTTTATCTTCTTAAAGACTGATATAATTTTCACATTTTACTTTAAACAGTAAATACAAGTGTAGGAGGCCAGAAAGCAACAGCTAAGTTAGACCCTAGTCCGTAAATTCCAATCCCTTATAAGAAGGAATCTCTTCCAATGAGACCTTTTGTTTTTCCTGCCCCAAGGTGAATGTTTTGAGAACCTTTGCATCAAATCAATTCAGATACTTGTCTTTAACTTGCAAAACTTAAACAAATGGACTTTTTTCTGCTAGCACTATTTTAGGATTCACAGAAAATCCAGTCTCCTTAAGCAGTTGAATTGAGGTTTTTGCCAAAATTGTGAGGGTTTGAAAATCGGCTTTAAATTTAGAGCATGCCCATGGTAAGGTTGCGCGGGTGTCCTATGGCTCTGTAGAATTAAGCATTAACGTTGCAGCTGGATTCCATTTCTTTGTGAACATGCAAATTAACATCTTCAGTGGCTTCCTCTGCCTGCATACTTATATACCAGCCTCCAAATGTGTTATTTGTTATTAAAATCACCGTATTTATGTGTGGGGGTTTGCGGTGACTTTCCCAGATGCAGTGATCCTAATTGTAACCATACAGGTTATTCAAACATAGCTTGGATATTTAAAACAGAAGCGAATCTAGGCCAGCATGCAGTTAGTTGAGTGTAATGTAGATGTGAAAAGACTCCTTGTGGCCGGTAGTGTTCGGTTCTGTTAGCTCCAAGAATATATCTTCCTATGGTGATTGAATAATGTGCAACTGACCTGGGTCCTTCCAGGTACCTACTTTTAAACCAGGAGTTATAATAGATTTATAAATCTTTAGGCTTTACTGGTATTTGCTTTCTGTGAACAGGAAATCTAGGGAGCTAACTGCCCCCCTGCAATATGAAAGGCACATGTTCCCCAAATGTGACTTTGGGGGCTCTCTGGGGTTTAATAACAAACACTTGCTTGGTTTTTGGGACTGGCGTTTCTTCAACTCACCCATGCATGGGAACCGTCTGAAGAGATTGTGTAAACGCAGATTCTACTTCAGTAGGGCTGTCGTGGGGCCTGGAACTCTGCATTTCTAACACAATTCCACATAGTGCTGATGGTACTGGTCCAGGGAACACACTTGGAGTAGCAGGATCTGCAGCCAAATAAATACAACCCAGTCTCCAAACTAGAGCGGACAGGCCCCCAGGAGGCTGTTTCCATGGGCCCTGGGTTTTGCTAGCCTTCCCGTCCCACTTATACACACTTACATTTGCAGAGGAGAAATGGTGAACACCTGACAACATTTGTTTAATTTTTATCGTTGTGGGGCCTTTTGGGAGGGAGGAAGAAGAGTATCTCAGCCAACCACCAACTCCCACCCCCTAAACCATCAAGATTGCTAGCGTTGTGCTTGTAGTTTTCCAAAAATGTACATGAACATAGCTGATCCACCCACTTTGGTGGATAACCTTGCCAATAACAGAGGCAGCTCAGCCAGGAGTGAGTGATTGGTCCAGAATAAACCCACCCAGGTGGCAGTCAGTTCTTCACTGCCCTGTTTAGACCTGGCCTGAGGATTGACATTTCCTTTAACTGTCTCAAATGAGAGCTATCCTGGGCTTCTTCCAGCAACCCGTGCCTCCTCCCAGACTCTGCAATCCTGTGGGTGCTCCATAAATACTTGTTGACTGACTTGACTCATTCCCTTGGGGAGGGAAAAAAAAAACAGGAGGAAGTAGGGAAAGGGGGAGTGAACTTGGTTTTCCGTCTCTTGTAAGTATCATAAGGAAATACCTAGCCTAATGTCTGTTGGCAGACTATGACTGTTTGCATTCTACAAAGTAGCATTTGAAATTTTAGTTTTTGCTTTTCACTAGTTGCAGTTTTTCTCTGTGTGCTGAATGCAGAAAGTAGTTCCCTTTGGAATTTCCATCTGGGAACCCAGCAGGAGAACCAGCTGCTGCCACTGCCGCTACTGCTAAGGAAAAAGTGGTCCCTCGCTGGCCTGTGCTGGTGTGGGCCCCGATTCTCGTGCAGTTACCCTTGCATGGGTGAGCAGAGTCCTGGGTATTTGCTCTGGCGACACCAGTTTTTGATTGTTTACAGGCTGGGTTTTCCCTAGTTGTTCAGCTGTGAGAATCTGAGGATATGTTTGTTCTTTCCTAATTGCATCCTGTGCCTCTTTCCTTTTTTTCCCTCCAGAAGTGGAAGGCATTTTTCTGCCTTGATAAAGTGTACCAGGCCAAGGGGCCTGTTGTACTCCAAAACCCCTCTTCTCAAGGTGACCCCAGTTGCCACTCACCTGCTTTTCTGGGGGTCTGCGGAACCTTCCTCACAGCCTGCACAACTGTCTCCCTTAAGAACCCTTCCTGGTACAAAGCCTCCATAAAACTCATTTGCTCTTGAGTCTTAGTTCTGGTGGAACATATCCCTGAGTTTTTGCACACTGGGCCTCCATCCAGGCCTTTTCCTGGGAGAGTAGAAAACCCATGGGCTCTGTGGGGTGGGGAAAAGCCCTCAGTTCTGGGTCTGGAAGCATCATCAGTTGCAGCCATGAGCAAGGTTTTGCCATTCTGTGCCTCAGTTTCCTCATCTGTGAAAAGGTGATAACATTATTTCTTTATCCCACTATGTTGTTCTGAGGATTAAGTGAGTTTGCAGTGTAAAGACATAGACAAAGACATAGGGACAGAGAAAGGTAACATTTGTTATTGTTGTTTTTCTGTAGCATTTGTGTCTAATGCAGTGGACTGTGTGCCCAATAAATGAGTCCTTTAAATTAATGATAGAAAGAGAAGTGGGGAAATGGGTTATAAGCAGTGATGTACTGGTAAATATTTAACAGTCAGCTCCTGGTGGGGAGGATTGTGCTCTGATTAGTGTTTGCCAATTTCCATGATGTAAATACTCTCCCTGTGGCTGATTTCAAGCTACCAACGTGACATCACTGAACACTGAGTTTGAAGGAGATGCCAGTACACCAGTGCCAGCTGCTCTGGTCCACTACTGGAAGGCATCTGCAATAGACCAAAGCCATAAGGCACCCATCACCCCTGGCCTTCTCACCTTGCCACACACAGGAATTGGTAACTGGGCCTTTTAAAAAAGCACTCGGTAATATATTAAATATTAAACATAGACTAGCTCAAAAGTGAGAATTTTTTTTTTTTGAGACAGAGTCTCGCTCTGTCGCCCAGGCTGGAGTGCAGTGGTGCTATCTCGGCTCACTGCAACCTCCACCTCCCGGGTTCAAGCGATTCTCGTGCCTCAGCCTCCTGAGTAGCTGGGATTACAGGCGCCGGCCACCACGCCTGGCTGATTTTTGTATTTTTAGTAGAGACAGGGTTTCGCCATGTTGGCCAGGCTGGTCTCGAACTCCTGGCCTCAAATGATCACCCACCTCAGCCTCCCAAAGTGGTAGGATTACAGGCGTGATCCACCATGCCCAGCCGAAAAATGAGATTTTTAATAAGCCTGGCTAGCTTTGTATTACACTATTTTGTGTTTCGTGTATGTTAAAAGCTCCCAAGTTGTGCCGTCCCCTGCAAAGAAAGCCCTGAATGCACAGAATTAGGCACATCTTGAGGACAGATAACCTTTGAGAGACCTTTCAGAGCCACTAAAGAAAGGCAAAGGAGAAACTGTAGTCTCGGAGAATGCTTAGTGTTCAGACTGAGCAGCAAAAAGGTGTTAAATAAGTAATTAACAGCTGGATTCTAAATAGCAGCTAAGAGTTAGAGGCCTGAGAACATGGCCTGAGGCCACCAGAAGGTGGGAGAGAGATAAACCAGCCTATATTTAGGAGTTAAACAGATGGCAGGATCAGGGCCCTACTTTGTATTTAGGAGGTTTGTGTGGTTTGTTTACTTGGGTTTTGTTTTTTGCTGTAACTAATTTAACAATTTAGGAGTGGAAAGAAAAATTAACCAATTTATCTTGCTGTCTGAATAATGTTTTGCAATAACCAAGAATAGGTCAGTGGACCAAGTGGGTAGGTCACTGCCCTGCTTAATGACCCATATCCGGATATTATTATGTCTAAATGATAATCAGCACTCATTTCTATGCACACAAAGAGAAGCTTGTGAGGAAGAAATAAAAAGCCTTTGCCTTTATTGTGTACAGTATATAGTGTAAACAGTAGGGGTCTAATACATGTTTGTTTCCATAAAGGCTTTTTCTAGCAGCTGTGATCAGCAAGGGGAAAGGACCTGCCTAAAGTCATCACACTGCTAATTGGGGTCGAGTTAGAACCCAAGTCTCTGGGCCCCGCTTGAGGCTGTTTACCTCTTCAGGACAGAAGGGACCAGCTGGATATAAGAGCTGAAGGAGAGAGACCAGACCAGAGCATCTATTCAGGTCACTCTTGTAAATCGCCGCTTTTTGATAGTTCCCTGTGACTGGCATCTGATTGAGAAAATGTGACAAGAAGCTACCTACTGCTTGCCCCTTAAACTAGCTGACAGTTTCCCATTCAAATTCCGATTGCAATTCAGAGACACTCTAGGCTAGGTGCAGTGGCTCACGCCTGTAATCCCAGTATTTTGGGAGGCGGAAGCAGGCAGATCATTTGAGTCTCAGGAGTCTGAGACCAGCCTGGGTAACACAGCAAAACCCCATCACTACAAACGATACAAAAAATTAGCCAGGCGTGGTGGCACGTACCTGTAATCCTAGCCACTTGGGAGGCTGAGGTGGGAGGATCACTTGAACCCAGGAGGTCGAGACTTCAGTGAGCTGTGATTGCGCCACTGCACTCCAGCCTGGGTAACAGAGTAAGATCCTCTCTCAAAACACACACACTCACACTCCAGATGCTTCTCTGCTGCTGTGTGTGCATTGGGTGGTACAGTGACAAGAGGGCTGGGGGAGGCAGGTATCACAGAAAGGACTCTGAGGGAAGTGAGTGGTGCACCCAGGGAAACTGAGGCTATGGGTGGTCCTCCCACATCCTCCCCACAGGCTAGCTGATGCCTCTGGCCTCTCAGTTGTTTTCATCTAAGGAAACTTATTTTGAAGCCATATTCATGGCAGCTGTAGTCCTGAGCATTCGCAGGACTTGTAGATAATTCACCTACGTGGTCTCGGGCAGTTATACCCTGTGATAATTTATAGCCACCCGTTCAGGCAGACAATTCCACATGAGCATTTGCTATCACTCTACTACCCTGACCCAAGCCTCGGTGTGACCCAAGCCTCGGTGTGACCCCTCTGCATGGCCTCTCCAAAAGAGATCCCTTCCCTGGGAGTTTGGGGAGCCTCTGACTCCCAGGAGAGTAGCAAAGCCAAGAAGGGGGAAATAAAAGACCACAAAAGAGCGGTGTGTTTTGAAGGAATGAATGTTTTCTACAGCCCATTTCCAAAGAACAGTCTAGAAATGCTTGCACACAAACAGTGTCATCAGAGTAGAGTAAGTGTGTGGTTTCCAAGCAGCCCCTACCACAAGCTCCCCGAGGCCTGTGCCTGCCAGGGAGCCCAACCTCAGCACCTAGTATCCAGCTCCCCAGGGAAACTGTTCTGAGCATTAGTCCTCCCTTCTCTGAGCCCAGAACGGCAGGCTGCAACTTCTAGGGTTGAATGGATGGCAGCTCAAGGAAACAGAATGGCTTTCTGGTTTTAAAACCTCAGAAAACCTAAAAACTTGATCTCTATTGCTTTACTTTAGGAAATTTTAGGCCCTTTCTCAGACGGCCTAAAATTAGACCTTCGCCACTCCCAACCAAAGCATGTCATGACATGGAAGAAGGTGGTCCCTGGCCTAATGACCCATTTCTGTAAAAATGAGGTAGGATGTGTAAACAGTGCAATAAGACTATGGAACAACAGACCGTGAGCCAGTGTCACCTTAAATGTAAACGTTAGAGATCTAGGCTTCTGAAGAAATGTTGGAAAGCCTATTAAACCACATAGGTTTGGGATTTTTCATTGTGTAGCAGACATATGGCTTAGTGTTTGATTTAAAAAATAGGAAGTTGGTGGCCATTTTCATGAATAGTTTGACAGCCAGTCAGAAGTGTGATTGTCGTTTTACCTAAACGCAACTGCTGTTGTTCGTAAGGTCAGAAACCTGCTCACAGGGGCGGGGGCGGGGAGGTCTGGTCTGTTGGCTGTTTGACCCATTTGGTTACGACCTCCATGCTTTGTCCTGAGTAGGCTGGTTCATGCTGGCAAGTCAATGCAGAAATATTGATCAGGTTCCTACTAATTGCAAGGATTGGGTTGAACGTTGCAGTAGGTAAGTAAAAGATGAGTGGGGCCATGACCTTATATAGGAACTGTCTGTTTCCTGGTCCACCAGAGCAACAACACAAGTAGTGGAACTGATCTCAAGGCAGGGAAAGGTTAGTGTCACAACAGAAGAACAGTGAGCTTTGGAGCCTCAAAGAAAGAGGGGCCATCTCCCTGTCCTTAAAAGAAATCTTCCTCCTTTTTACTACCATCGTAAGAGTTTACCTACTCCAGGCCCTGTGCATGCTAAGCGTTCACTCAGTTAAACCACCACACAATCTTAGGAACTGGATTATACTAATACCTTTTCAACATGTGGGAGCTGAGGCTCAGAAAGATTAACTTTAGATCAAGGTAACAACTGGTAAGGGGTACAGTCAGGATTCAGTCCTAGCTCAGCCAGACCCCACTGTCATGTGTGACCTTGCAGTGGGGCAGGGAGTGGCAGCAGGAGACTGAGTGGGAGCCCTTGGGTCTTTGGGATGGTTTCACCTTTGGAAGATCCAGGCCCCTCTTGCCATGAGAGCCCCATGAAGGGCTCATGGCCTGGAGCGGGTGGGAGGGCAGGAAGCCCAGCTGGGCACGGGGCAGCTGGAGGAGTGCCTTATTTGAGGCTGCTCTCGCATCATCTCATTAGGGATAATCATTTGTAGACTTGCTGCCACTGCAAACCATCGGCCCCGCTCAAATTTTCCCTGCAGCAGTGATGATGAAGTGATTCCTTAGCAGAACTGCTGGGTAACACAATTAATTCAGACTTGGGGTGGATGTTAGTGTGAATTAGGGGGTCTTCTGAATTATAAAACCTTTCAAAAGGAGCACAGGTTTATTGCTTCTGAACTTCACCAGGAATTGAAGCCAGACTGGCAAGGGGGCTCCCTGGACGAAGTCCTCTGTGTGTCCCTTGTAGGTCAGTGGTGCTTTTTCCTGCATTGGGGGGGCTTGAAGGTTGTTTCATAGCCATTTAGATATTCCCCTTGGAGTCTTGCTTGCAATTAATCTGTACTGTCTGTAAAAAGGGTTTGCCTAGCAAAGGTAAACTCCAGCACCCCGATCCACATTAATGAGTTTTGCCTGTGTAAACCACGTTAATTGTGGTTGTTGCTTTTTAATTGTCCTTAAGTTTCTTGTATGTTAACTGCTCCAGGCTAGAACTCTGGTTTCTGTTTCCGTTGGGGGCTCTATTCTCACTCCTACCCAAATAGCCTCGCCAATCTGCACTGAGATCTGCTCCCCTGCCCCCACCCTGTCTGGCATTAGTACTAAGAAGAGAATGAAGCTCAGAAAAACAGCCTCACTGGCCTAGATGAGGAGGCACAGGTATGTGGGGAAAACACGAGTGGAAGCCACAAGGTCTTCTGAGGGTCTGGAACTACCAGGTCAAGAGAAGAAAGACTTCAGATTGTCACTGTTGGATGTCTTAATATGAGGAAGGACTCAAACAGAGCTGTCCGCAGCTGCAACTGGCTGTCTTGAGAGGTGGTGACCTTTCTCGAGAAGGGTGGAAACTGTAGCCAGACAACTACTTGGTGAAGCAGCATACAGAGAGATCGCCCTTCTGATGATGCGCCCAGTCTGAGGCCTCACTGAGATGGCCTCAAGAGTGTGTCTTGAGCTGGTTAGAAACTTACCATCCTGGGCCCCACGACACACCTCTTGACCCAGACTGCATCTTAACAGGATCCTCAGCTAATGCATGCGATTGTTCACTTCCAGGGCCTCTGGTTCAGGACCAGGGTGCATGAGCATCACCTGGAGGAGATTTTTAATACAAATGCAGGGGCTGAGCTGCTGGCCTAGGACATAGAAGGACCATTCCCATACCTCACAGTCCAGCTGTCTCCCCATTCCCTCCCCCCTACATGCTGTTGTGTTTCCAAGTTCATGCCTGTGTGCACACCTGCACACAAGGGAATAGGAAAATGGCTTTGATGTATGGAATCATGTCTACAAGCTGCTTCAGTCAGGGGCCCTTCTTGCTGAGAGACCAGGCAGCTTTCCCAGGGAGCCCCAGGGCAGGGGCCTGAGGCACCTGCTTCCTGTTCTGTCCCCTGAGAGCTCCGCTTTGCCGGGAGAAAGGAGAAGCCTAAACAGGGTGGGCTGGGTCTGCGAGGCCTGCCTAAGGCTGCCCTCTGCCTTCCCAGCCCTTCAGTCCCTGATCCTTTCGGGCCCCTCCTAGGCCAGAATGTCCCAGATTAGATGGGGTGGGGAGGATGTCTTCTGGTTGCTGTAGGCCTGCATTAGGGGAGTATCCTCTCTGGTCCCACGTGGGGCAGGTGCCCAGAGCCAGGAATGAGCCGCCTGTGGTGATTCCTGTGTGTCTGGAGTCCAGGAGTCCCTTGCACTGTTGGCCAGTGGTCACTGTGCGGTGATTGACTGGGCTCAGTGTCTGTAGCTTTTGTCTGAGCCCCTTGCACCCCTCCCCGGGGATGATTGTCTGAGTTGGTGGATGTTAATCTGCAGCCCCTGAGAAGCTGCCTGGCAAATGGGAGGTTAATGTGCAAACAGCGGGGAGCATTGTCCATGTGTGAGGCTGGACAGCAAGTGGGAGGGAAATAGTTAAAAATCCTATTCATGGCTCAGGAGGGGAGGAGGGGTGGGCGCAGGAGCAGGCCCGGCCTTGTGCTAATCTTGCTGGAATGTAACTAGTTCGGGCAGTTTCTGGCTTCGATGTGCTTTGGGGCCGGTTGGCGTCCCCCCCGCCCCAACCCAGTACATCGATGGTGCGTCCGCGCGCCGAAGGCTGCTCTTTGTGTTCTCTGCAGCCACAGCTTAGAAGCGTCCGAGTCAGACCGCTTTCAGTTGTAAGGATGGGGAGGGAGGAAGCTCAGCGAGGCAGTTGTGTTATCCAAATCCACAGGCTCTTTCTCTGTTGGAGGATTTGGGTGGGGGAAGGGAATGGGCAGAAGAGAATGTTCAAGGAGAAAGACCCTAAACCTGTTGGGTCAGGCTGCTCAGCTGCCTAGAGGCCTGGGAATGCCTAGGGGGAAGCCCCTGCTTCCGGACACACAATCAATTACATATAACAGTGGGGCCTTGTGTGTGTAGGCGGGACACTGGGAGGGGTCGGCTCACAGCTCATGTTTTAATGCTTTACAAGGAGAGTGTGTTCATGCATTGCTTCTGCAACTTATAATCAATTTAAAACATTCTACATCTTGATCTAGGCTGGTGGTTACATTGATATTTACATATTGGGCCAGGTTTGGTGGCTCATGCCTGTAATTTGGGAGGCCGAGGTGGGTGGATCACCTGAGGTGTCAGGAGTTCGAGACCAGCCTGGCCAACATGGCGAAACCATCTCTAATAAAAATACAAAAATTAGCCGGGTGTGGTGGCGGGCATCTGTAATCCCAGCCACTCGGGAAGCTGAGGCAGGAGAATCACTTGAACCTGGGAAGCAGAGTTTGCACTGAGCTGAGATCGCACCATTGCACTCCAGCCTGGGTGACAGAGTGAGACTCTGTCTTAAAAAAAAAAAATTACATATTAAAAATTCACTAGAGCCTGGGCAACGTAGTGAGACCCCCATCTCTACAAAAGTTTTAAGAATTAGCTGGCTGTAGTGGCACATGCCTGTGGTCTCAGCTACTCGAGAGGCTGAATCAGGAAGATTGCTTGAGCCCAGGAGTTCGAGGCTACAGTGAGCTCTGATTGAGCCATTGCACCCCAGCCTGGGCAACAGAACAAAATCCTGTCTTAAAGATTCATTGAGCCGCACACGAGATTTGTGTACTTGCTTATGTATACATATTACACCTTAGTTTTAAATATTTTAAATTAATTTAAAAAAAGAAAAATCCCTCCTTCCTGACCTACCAAGGCCTTGGCTGTCCAGCACAGCTGCAGGGAGGAAGAACAGGTTCCCCGGCTTAGCTCCAGGGCATCCTCGGACTGCCCACTGGAGTGGGCGCTGAGCTCCCACACCGCTGTTTGGAAACAGAATGAAGTTGCACAGCAGCCAGATTCTGGGGCTTCCCCACCCAAGTTTGCCACTTTGCTCATGGGATTTGAAGAAAGCATCAAAGGCAGCAGCTTTAGAAAATAGCTCCAAGGGCCCCCCTTGGAGTGAGGTCACCTTCTCAGCTCACAGAGGGCTGTGGTGCCAGCTGCTGGCCACACATGCCCACGGGGCTGCTCTGGCCCTGCCTGACCCTGACTGGCTTCCCCTTGCATCCCCTGGGGAGCCCACGCCCACTGCACAGCATACCCACCAGGTGCTGCTGCCCTCCTGAACTCTGTGGGACACACTGCTGCCCACGTGGGGACTGCCCCGGAATCAGGACCCTGGATTTCTCCTCTGCTACCTGCCCCCTCCCGCCACGTAGTGAGGGTTCCACATTATGAATGTCATGGTTCCTTCCGGCTCTTGATTTTCCATGATTCGGGATCAGGAAATGATTTTCCTCTGAGTATTTTTAGGCCATGAGACTCAGTATAACAGTCAAATCCTGGCTCCACAACCCCTAGCTGTGTGGCCTTGGATAAATTAAAATCTCTCTAATCTTAGTTTCCTCATATGTGAAATGGGAATAACAACAATACTAAACTCAGTAGGGCTGATGAGGATTAAGTGGAAACCAGACTAATGTTGTATTCATTATCTGGGATAAAGGTTAGCCTGTATCATCATAATCAAAACCACACGACACAGTGTGCCTCACAGTCCAGTGAGCCAAATCCTTGCCTGTGCACACTGTACCCTTAGACCTGAGCAGGGGGGGCCTGCATTGGACCCTACTTTGGAGGGCCCTGCTCTGACCACCCTGACCACTTCCTTCCTGACCAGGCCAGGAATCCACGGAGCTGAGGATCCAAAGAATGGGATCCTGAGGCTTGAGAGCCTGCCTGACTCTTCCCTGGACGTGCACCAAGCCACTGGTGTGCACACCTATAGGTTGAGATAGGGGGCTCGCGTTTGCCTGGGGCTGAGCTTTGATGGGGGTGCTGAGATGTCTGGGATGTTTCCATGTGTGGTCCCAAGACCTCATAGGACAAGATGGAACTGGGAATGGTGGGGGTGCCAGATCAGGCTCTCTTACCACCACCGCATTCTGGTACAGAACCCAGGAGTCTGGGAATTCTAAATTCGAGCCTGGCCTTTTCGTAGCATTCATATTTGTCAAGGGAGGAGGAGAGAATGTATTTAACAGTTTGTCAGCTTGAGTTATAACTTTTACATGTGTAAGCGTATGGGCTTGCATCTATGTTCTTGTCCCAAACCCTGCAGATATTGGGGTTGGGGGGGCTGTCTGCATGCCCTTCCTTCCCCAGTGGGTGACCATCACTGACCCCTGAGACTTAAGACAAATTGTAGCCATGCCCGCCTCCGAAGGCGTCTTTAGGAAAACAGTGTCGTAGGTCCTTTCAGTTCAAAACCCTTGCTTATTTATTAACATGAATACGTTGGTTCTAGAATAGAGCCTTGCCCTGTGGAAATTGCCATCTGTACTCTTCGAGGTCTACCTCAGATCCCACCTCTTGGCCTAACTCTGTAATACCCCCACACTCGGTGACACCCCCACTCTATGACATTTACCATTTGGGACAGAAGCCCTGTCCTCCCTACCTATAGCTGAGGCCACCTCCCAAGACACATTGTCATTCTGTCCCCCACAGCACCACACACAGTGGCTGCGCATGGTGGATGCACAGTGAGTATTTGTGGAATGAGCGGCCGAGCCGCTGCAGACTGATGAGTGTTCTGGGGCCTGTGTTTGTTTTCTAAAACTGCTCTGTCAGTAAGCGCCCCGCCAATCCCCGTGTAAACATATTCAGATCCTAAAGAAGATCAGGCAGCCACCCTTTAAAAAGCCCGATAAACCCAACCTTCATTTGTATTATCTTTGGGCAGGGTTTGCTTGGGAATTCGTATCTGTAGGAAATCTTAGTGCTCGCTGCTGGGAGGCAAATTGTTCGCATTCATTTGTTCTTTCAGTGGTTTGGCCCTATAAAGCAGAGGGCTGGCCTGAGGGAAAATTGTGAAAGAATCTGAGTTTGTCTTTGGGGTAGAAATTAAACAGCTTCTCTAGGCCTTGCCCTCAAACTTCAGCCCTGTTTACTATTGAAGATTGTGTGTCTCAAGGGGTAAAGAGAGCCGTGGGATAATGGAGACTGAAAAAATGTTGCGATTTAGCCATTTTGTTTTCTTTTTTCCTTGGAGAATAATCTTTTGGGAAAAACTTGGATAGAGACCCTTTGAGCCATACAATTTTTTAAAGTTGAATTCAAGCCTCTAGTCATGGCTTGATTCATTTTTTTCTGAACAATGAACAAAGAAATGCTGGTAGAGAGCCTTGAAATGCGGGGATGTTGAATGAGGAAAGGAAAAAGGAGGGCCGTGAGTGTTCCTGAGCACTGGCTGGACCCTGCAGAAGCTTCCGATCATTCTGGAGGTCTCCAGAACTTGGTGGCTGGGACACCAGATACTGTGCATATGTGAGGGGAGGGCCTCTGAGAACTCCCAAGAGGCCCCCAGCAGCCTCCCCCACAACTGACCTTTCACAGTTGGCACTAAACTGCAGGCTTATCTCCTTTCTCCATTTCCAGGACTGCAAATTGCAGCACCTGGAACTAAGACATCCCTGGAGGGCAGGCCTTCCAAACTCGCCCCCATTGATTAAGGCAAACACTGCTTCATCCACAATGTTACAGTAACATCAGCAAGAAGAAATGATGATCATAGCTGATAGCTGTCAAGTGCTTACAGCGAACCAGATGCTTCTGGGTGCCCTTCTCTATTTAATCTTGGTATGGCAGTGTACGTTGGCAGGGGACTGGAATTTAAGCAAAAGAAGAAATACTGATGTTTCCAATTCATCATTTAAAGAGACCTTGTACGTGGCCGGACGCAGTGGCTCATGTCTGTAATCCCAACATTTTGGGAGGTTGAGGCGGGCAGATTGCTTGAGCCCAGGAGTTCGAGACCAGCCTGGGCAACATAGTGAGACCTCGTCTCTACAATACAGGAAAAAAAAAATTAGCAGGGCATGGTGGTGCGTGCATGTAGTCCCAGCTACCCGGTGGGGACTGAGGTAGGAGGATTACTTGAGCCCTGGGAGGTCAAGGCTGCAGTGAGCCAAGATCGTGCCACTGCACTCCAACCCCGGTGACAGAGTGAGACCCTATCTCAAAAAAAAAAAACAGACAAATAGACCTTGTACGTGAGGCCTGGCCATTTGTTAACCCGTGTGAAAGATGTTTCGGTGGCCATTTAATGAACATATGTTGAATAATGTGCTGTACTGTGTACCACAGATACAAAGGGGAAAAAGATACAGAAGGAAAAAAGAAAACTCAGTATCACATACTCAGCCCCTTCTGATAGAACAGGTGTGTCCAAGCAGCAACATCCTAAAATAGTTGTCCTCCACTCTGGGATGTAAAAGAAGTTCTTCTGGGATTTGGTTTTATTACAATGACTGAGAATTTGCTCTCCCTCAGTTATCATATCTACTGTGACAGGCCTTGCACACGTCCTGTGAGATCCTACCTGCCAAGAACCTGTCTGCCATTTCTCATTAGTATCTTTGTGGTTTGCAGTCACCTGTGTAGAATTTGCACATATACTCAAGTGTTATTTGTTTTCAATTACTTCCTCAATTATTGCTGGTGTGTGTGTGTGTGTGTGTGTGTGTGTGTGTGTGTGTGTGTGTGTGTGGTATTTCATAGCCAAAGCTATAAAATGTATTTCCAATAATATTAGTAGAATTTTTTCAGCCCCTAAAACCCACCATAAAAGTTAACTATAATAACAAGGCCCGTAGGCCTGTACACAAGGGCATGGTTTCTATCGAAGTGTATTACACAGGCCAGACCTCTGGATTCTCCACCTCCAGTGGCTGCTGTTTAAAGCAGGCATTAAAAGGAAGATCATTTTCATGTTTGTGATTTGAAGCATGTGTGTGCTCACGAAGGATACCTCCCTGGACAATGCCTGGAAGAGGACTTTGTGAAGTGGAGACTGTACATGATTCCACCAGCAAGCATGTGTCTTGACAAAGGTTGTTAAGGACAAGAAGTTGTGCCTTAGCTGTAACCAAAACCCAGCCTAAGCAATCAGGTGAGTTGAAGTAGATGTTGTCAAAGCTAAAAAGAAGCCAAGCGTGGTGGCTCACACCTGTAATCCCAGCACTTTGGGAGGCTGAGGCAGTGGGATTCTTGAAGCCAGGAGTTTGAGACCAGCCTGGGCAACATAGCAAGATCCCATCTGTTAAAAAAAAAAATTAGCTGGGTGTGGTGATGTGTGCCTATAGTCCCAGCTACTCAAGAGGTTGAGGTGGGAGGATCGCATGAGCCCAGGAGGCCACAGTGAGCCATGTTCGTGCCACTGCACTCCAGCCTGGGCAACAGAGCAAGACAGCATCTCTTTTTTTGTTGTAAGACAAACAATCCCATAGCATTTATTGCCATCTTGTAATAACATAAGGGTAATCAAAACAATATGAATAAATGTTCATATTGGACAAAGGACAGCTAAAAACAAACTGTATCCTTCTCAACAATTTCTCACTTCATTGATCATTTCTAGCTGGAGACACTTTGTAGCAGAGGAATACCTCCTTTTAGCATGATCCGACCCAGTTGTTTTCTTGACTTTGTTTTAGAATGAATCTCTTCCGCATCATCTAATAACAAGGTTCGTATACTCATTAAAACCAATGATACAGCCTTCTGTCCGCATATTCACTTGCTCATAGAGCCACACCTGAATCTGCGATCTATTTTGTAAGTATCTGAAGATGAGGTTGATGGGCGCATCTTCACCTTCTGCACTTTCTGGCCCTGGCCATGGTATGCCATGGTGGAATTTCACAAAGAGCACACCCGCACGCTGCCTCTGAGAGCAACTTCCAGAATCAAGACACCGTCTCTTAAAAGAAAAAAAAAAAAACTAAAAAGAATAAGATGTAGGCTTAGGGCTTCCTCCCCTGAGGAATTCTTTTGGATCCCTCTGGCCTCTGACAAGCCAAGCAGAATATGGAGAAAGGAGTCTGTAGAGGCTGCTGTCAAGTCCAGGGTAAAAACACGAGCATTTCCAAGCATTTCATCAAGGACTTGTTAAAGATCCAGGTTTGAAGTCTCCAAGGAAGACTTTTTTTAAAGATGTTGCCCAAAGGAAAAGAGATCAAACCAGCAGAATGAATTCCCCATCATATACATGGGGGATACCCAGGAACTCACAGGGTCTCTCCGGAACTCTGAAAGCAATTAGAGAACAAGCATATGGGTTGTGGTCCCTAGAGTTGGAGCCTGATGCCATCCTCCAATAAGTTCTCCAGCAGATTCCCTTTGGAAGGCTACTCATGGACCCGGGAAGAAATGACACCCAAGAGCGGGGAACTAGAGGCTAACACAGGGTACTTGCTACTGCAGTGGCTTCAGATACCCTACCCCTACCCCAAACTTGGGCCAGGCCAGTGGCTATGGAACTCCAGAAAGAAGGGCCTCAGAGAGAGAGAGGGAGAAGGAGAGAGTGTCATCTACATCATGACAGTTGCACCTTTTCCATGTGCAACTGGGGAAAGCTGCGGTCCCTCAGCAGCCCTTTGCCTTCACTTGGGCCAATGACCAAAGGTACCCAGGGTGGTAGTCCAGTCACTGGCAAAAGCATGGCAGCCTTTTGGCAAAAGACTTGGGGGCATAAATAGTGAAACACTCAGAGAATGGAATGATTGGCTGGCTAGAAAATGGATGGAGGGTGTTGTTGGGAATAGGCAGTTGGAGATGGGAAGGGTAGGCCAGGGCTTTAATGCCCACTGAGCAGGCATCGGGAACCGCTGGAGCTTTTGTTGGGGGTAGGGTGGAGGGGGGGAAGTAATGCAATCACAGGAAGGGTGGGCTGGCCTGGGGAGGGGCTGCCGGCAGGAGGGCAGCTCAGAGTCTTTACAGAGGTCCAGGGCAGTGAGCAGCAGAGATGAAGGGGAACAATTGGAGAGACAGTCCAAGTTAGAATGACAAGACTTGGTCCCCTGTCAGTTGTAGAGAGTGAGGGAAAGAGAAGAGGCCAGAATGATCCCCAAGGTTTGTACAATACTCAGGGTGACCGCATGTCCTGGTTTACATCATCCATCATAATTGTTAAAGGTGTTCCCTTTCACTTTCAAAGGAGCCTTGGTTGATAGGATGTAGGAAACAGGATCAGGGCTGGATTTTGATGAGTCTGTGTGGGATTGAGCTGCCTGTAGCACGGTGTCAAGGAAGCACTTGGAGATGAGGAGGAAGGCTGGAGCCAGCTGCAGAGATGAGCGTGATCACCGCGTGGGTGCCAACCTGCAGGGGGAGGAGGAGACTACCCAGAGAACACCAGCTTTCGAGGCATAGGCCAAGGTTCTGAGGAGCGGCTGGAGGAGTAAGTGGAAAACCAGCCGAAAGGGTGCCCCAGAAGCTGAGGGGCCTCTTAGGAAAAAGACCTGGAAGATGACATTGGGTTTGGTAGTTAGGAGGTCAGCAGTGGCCTTAGCGAAAACAGGGCCAGTGACGTGGAAGGCAGGTGGCAGTGGGCCGAATGATTGGAGGGAGTGGAGGCATTGACAGTGGGGGTTTGACGGTTTTGTAAAGAGCTTGTAAGGGAGAGACGGCCTCAGCACAGGGCCCATCCAACTGTGGGTCTCCAGCCAATTGCACTGATTTTTCCTGCCCATTCTTCCTTCTTTGAAGGGAAAAATGGAAATTGAAGAGGAAGAAATCAATGACCCATTTGAACCATGACTTGGAGTTTAATTCAGCGTGTATCTGAGTGACTACGTGAGTACTCCTGACCTCCAGGAATGGATAGAATGGAATATGGAAAATCAAGGTGGATCAAATGAGAATTTGGCCAGTGGACTTACAAAAAAGTATTCAAATGGGCCACACCTACCCAGTCTGGTGCTGTGCATGCATCACAAATCCTCGGACATGAGATGGAGTTGTCACCTGGTCAGTGATTGGGTTTCAGAGTCTGGATAGGAACTGGGGGCTCAGGAAGGAAGTGGCAAAGATGTGGAATTTTCAGGTCATCATCAGGCCTGAACAAGACCTGATCACCACCCAGTCTCGGTCCTCAAACAGCTGCTTGTGAAAGTTAAGTTCTGTAACCAACTTCATGCACAGGCTATGCCTAGAATTGGTGTTCTACTAGGTCAGTCAGGAAGTGACAGGGGATTTGAGAAATGTTTTTAGAGCCTTTGTGCTCTGAAATGTACCCTCCTCCCTAACCCAACTAGCCTAGCCTGGATGCTTGAAATTCCATAAAGACCAAGCCCTGGATTTGATTGGAGAGTTGGGGGAATGTGTTGCAGCCCCTCTCCCAACCCAGAAAGAAGGCATGTAATGTGCTAACGCCGTTAGGAGTGTTTATGGCATATGGGTTATGATATTGAATTTGTCCAATAAACCATCAGGAAACTTGTGTGGGCATTTCCTGTCTCACTTTGTGATGGCTAATTTATGAGGGCTGCTGTCAGGTTATAGATTCTCCATTTTTACCAGAAACTTCCACCTTGAGCCTTATAATGGATCCACCGGAATGAAGATATGTATTCTAGGCAAGGATTTAGGTAGGGGAGAACCATGAACCTGGCACACAGTAGCACTAAACAGTGTTTAATGGGTAAGTGGGTGGATGCTTGCTCTGGGCTGTGAAAGAAGAGTGTAAAAGAGACAGGACCATAGATCCAGGAAGGTCATCTTTGAAAGAGAAGCCCAAACAATGGGTAGAAACTACAGAAAGTTATGGAGGGGTAGGTGTGAGCATTTGGGGACCACTCTGATCGCACATTAATATTACCTGGGAGCTTAAAAAAAAAAAAAGTAGATGCTTAAGCCCCACCCTGGAAGAGTTAAATCATAATGGGGAACGCAGACAGGAATCAGTGTTTTTAAAGCTCCTCCCAGCAGCCCTGGTGCCAGTGAGATCTGAGAACTAGCAGACTGGGTTGTCTCCTCTGGTTGAATTGGCGCCCAGACCTTCCCCCAGAGGGGAATCCCTCTGGAAGGGAAAGAGTGGAGGAGAGTGTCCAGGGCGGGGCTGTAGAGTGGACCCTTCCTCAGCCAAGGAAGGACTCGTGCAGCTGGCAGTCACAGCACTTACTGGCCCCAGCGTATGTTGCCCAGGAACCATTGAAGGCTTCCAAACGGCTGAGGTCACATTTTTCCAGGCCCTAATGGGAACGGTTGGGAAGGTTGTCAGGGGCAAGACCCCATTCAAAATAAAACAGCACTCAGAAGTTCAGAAATGAGAGGCTGAAGATTTGAATATAGACTTTACTGGGTTTTTTTTTTTTGAGTGTTTTTATATATTTAATTTTTTTAATTAAAAAGTGATTCCCATTGCATATATTTGCATTTACCTTTTAAAATCAATGTATGTTTAGCCAAAAGAATAAAATAAAAACACCCATAATCTTGTCTCCCAGAGAGATTAAGTTCAACTCACCTCTTAGTGTATATTCTTCCAGATTTCTCAACACATACATAAAGATACCTGTTTTACAAAATTACAAGTAAAAGTAGGATTCAATACATGTTTTTTCTTTTTTTAAGCACTCCCCATTACACAGGTGGAAATACATGTTTCGTATCTTGCTTTTTCACTTAACAGTGTAAACACCTTTCTGTTTCTGTAAATAACCACCTACTACATAAATTCAGATATCATAATTGCAGCATAAGGCATTTAATATCTTTCAGCTATTATAAACAGCTCTTCAGTGAACATCCTTGCAGCTATATTTTGCTTGCATCCTTAATTATTTCCTTAGGATGCATTCCTAGAGACAGTAAGCCTTCAGAAGACTTGATACATACTTCCAAATTGCACAAGACAGGATTTACTAATTTACTTTCCCACCACCAGGGTATTAAAAAGTGCCTGTGGTAATTAAAGGGGGAAAAGGCCACTGCCAACATGAGAGACTAAAAGTAGTTAACTCATTACTGAGTTCATAACTTCTTTATCTCAAATTCTGCAAACAAATGGGAGTGGAACCCAGAGATTTTCCTTGACGGCTTGATGCCCAGCCCAGGAGGATCTTTGTTGTCTGGCCCACCAGGTCACCGGCTCCTGGGGTTTTCAGTGCAGCAGGTATCCTTGTCCAGGGCCTTTGTTTCCCGCTGGTCATTGGTCCAGCATGCTTCCGGTGGGGACTTGGGAACCACCAGGGGGCAGTGTGGAGCTGTTGAGCATGCTCTGCATGCCTTACGGCTTATCCATATTGAAACTTTCAATAATACAAGTATTCTTTTGTTGTGTTTTATGACTTCTCAGATTGGTATTTATAATATTGATTTGCTTACATTAGTATTTCATCCCCTTCCAATTATTTTTATGTTTATGTGTTGTAAAAAAAATAACCTGATCCATCATAGCTGTTCTGTAGCTGGCGGCCAGGACACCTGGGTTGTTCTGATCCCAGCTCTGCCAGTGTCCTCCGTGACCTTGGTGGGACAGCTCACCCCATGGGCCTGACTGCCCTTATCTGAGGAGTGCCAGGATGGGCTGCAGGAGTGGTATGTTTTCTTCTCTTCCAGCACTAGCATAATGAAAGGATTGAGAGTTGGCCTTGGCCAGGTGTGGTGGCTCATGCCTGTAATCCCACCACTTTGGGAGGCCGAGGCGGGCGGATCACTTGAGGTCAGGAGTTCAAGACCAGCCTGGCTAACGTGGTGAAACCCTGTCTCTACAAAAATACAAAAATTAGCTGGGTGTGCACCTGTATTCCAGCTACTTGGGAGGCTGAGGTGGAAGAATCACTTGAACCCGGGAGGCGGAGGTTGCAGTGAACCAAGATTGTGCCACTGCACTCCAGCCTGGGCAACAGAGCGAGGCTCTGTCTCAAAAAAAAAAAAAAAAAAAAAAAGAGTTGGCCTTTGGGGCTGGGCATGGTGGCTCACACCTGTAATCTCAGCACTTTGGGAGGCCGAGGCAGGTGGATCACTTGAGGTCAGGAGTTCAAGACCAACCTGGCCAACATGGTGAACCCCTGTCTTTACTAAAAATACAAAAATTAGCTGGTGTGGTGGCGCACACCTGTAATCCTAGTTACTCAGGAGGCTGAGGCAGGAAAATCACTTGAGCCCAGGAGGCGGAGGTTGCAGTGAGCCAAGATCGCACCATTGCACTCCAACCTGGGCGACAGAGGAAAGACTCTGTCTCAAAAAAAAAAAAAAAAAAGAGTTGGCTTTTGGGTTTGGGATAGACTGGGGCAAGTTAGTTAACCTCTTTGTACCTTAATCCCTCCATCTGTTAAATGAGGATAATAATAGCATCAACTTATAAGGCTGTGGGGGTTAAACGAAATAACACATGGAGTATCTGGCACAAGGTAACGCATCACTAAATGTTTTCTTTAAAGAAATCTGTTTATCCAAGATTTATGCAGACAGTTTCCTGTCCCTGGCTTTGGCACATACTTATTTGCTTATCTGAAATGATATTAATATCAAACAGAGTATGAATTTCAGAAGTGCTGTATTCCACAGTGGGGCTGAACAGAAGAATCCCAGCATCAAGGCCCCCAGCTACAAAAGATTAGAATGTTTTTGTTTGTTTTTTAATAATGTATTAACTGTAGGGGAAAATATAAAAATAGAAGCAGATATGATATTGGTAAATGTTTTTTATTTGATCACTTTAGGTAAATGGAGTCTTACTCACCTGATAGGGTCCCCAGTGGCAGCGGACTTTCCCATTCCCTCTATCCATCATTCTCCCAAAAGGTGATGGTTTCTCTGTTCTCACCCTAGGTCAGCTAAATTAGGGTCTGTGGCAACAACCCCAGGAGTGTGACCGCTAATTGCCTTTGCAGACAACATTTCCACTAGAGCTGCCTGGGAGGCAGCACCTCCAGAGAGAAGGACTTGCACCTCTAATTTGGTTAATCCTAGAACACCCTGCAATAGTCATCAAGCACCTCTCACAAATGATATGCTGTGCTTAAGGCCGTGGGGACCCAAAGGGCGAATAAGATTGGATGCCTTTTTTTTTTTTTTTTTTTGAGACGGAGTCTCGCTCACGTCACCCAGGCTGGAGTGCAGTGGCACGATTTCGGTTCACTGCAACCTCTGCCTCGTGAGTAGCTGGGATTACAGGCGCCCGCCACCATGCCCGGCTAGTTTTTGTACTTTTCATAGAGACGGGGTTTCACCATGTTGGCCAGGCTGGTGTCGAACTCCTGACCTCAGGTGACCCACCCTCCTCGGTTTCCCAAAGTGCTGGGATTACAGGCGTCAGCCACCGTGCCCAGCCTGGATGCCTTTCTGAAGCGGCAGGTTAAAAAAAAAAAAAAAAAGATTGGATGCCTATCCCCAAAGAGCTTAGGGGAAGCTAAGCGAGGAAATGAGCCTGGCTGTGAGCTGGAAAGTCAGCGGGCAGCAGGGTGTGTGACCGACCTGGAGGAACGAGTGTGGGGCAAGGTGAATGTTAGGGAGCCATTGCAAGACAGTGGTAGTTGAGATTGAAAAAACACAGGACTTGATGGGCTAGATGACAAAGTGAGGAAGAAGGTGGAGGAAAAGATGTCTGAGGTTTTGACCCTGCAGGTACATGAGAAGAGAGAGATGGTAGATCTCGGTGAGAAGCAATTTGGGAAGACAATAGTGGTGTGTCCTGGGATGCTCTGACCTTTGAGTCTGTGTGCAGAACCTCTTTCTCCAATTCCTAGGGGTGCCCTCATCCACAACTGGCAGTAGCCCCTGGATGGCCACAAACATGCAGTCCTACAACCATATTCCCTGGATGTCACTTCCTCACATAATCTTTGCCACATACCACCTATACTATTTACATAATTATTTTTCTTTGAATTGATTCACTTTTTTCCACTTTTTAAAAATGGAGCTTCACTGTAAGCAACAGTATCCAAGATATCAAACTTTGCCTGTAACATGCATGTGTAATTGTGTATACGTATATACATGTGTATACACATACATAAAAAATACACATACATATGTATTTATAATTTTGTTTGTTTGGCTATATATACATTTTTGTTTTGTTGTGTTTTGTAGAGACAGGGTTTCACCATGTTGCCCAGGCTACTGTTGAACTCCTGGGCTCAGGTGAGCCTCCCAAAGTGCTGGGCTTACAGGCGTGAGCCACCACACCCAGCCAAAAATACTGGCTTAAATACTTAAATATTTTAAATACTTAAATATTTTAAGGCCGATTAATGTAAATATTTTAGGTACTAAAAAATAGGAGGTGTTGTTTAATAGTATTGAGATGGGAACTTCTCAGCCCTTCCACTGTCCGTCATAACTTCCTGCACCCTCCCTTCAATATGGACATAAAATCGTGTTGTTCCCTGAGATATGTAAGCCACATGTGCACCCACATTTGCATACACACTAGTGTAGGGTGCAGGACCCCTTCTTCAGGCTCCTTTATCAGGAGCAATGGCCCTGTATAGAGGTGGCTGGTGTGACCCTTATTCTCCTGTGTTCTTGTTCACCTGTGGGGTCGGAGAGCTCTCCTGGAACTGCCCGTCTATGGAGAGGCCTCCTCAGACATTTCCCATCTCCCGGTGCCCAGGAGTTGTTGACTTTGGCCAGCTGCTGGGCCTGCAGGAGCCGCGGGGAAGGGTTCTAAGAGACCCTTGAAGCTCTGTGGCTGGAAGGCAGCTCCAGGCTGCCTGGCTGTTCTTTTGTGTTGAGTATTTCACTGGCCCCAGATAAGCGCTTCCTGTTCCTCACTGATTATACACAGATCCTGCTTCCTTTCTCCTCAATACCTGGGATGCTTTCCAGCTTCTCCTCCCATAGGGGAAAGTCCGTAAACTTTAGAATTCTCAGGCCTGCTTTTGGTCAATGGACTTTCTGCAAATTATGACTGTTTTTGCCATCTAGTCACATTCTTGGTGAAGCCTTCACCTCTGTCTAGGAGCTGAGTTCCGCTTTGTGCCAGCCAGGAGAGATGCTTCTATGACCTGGTTTCTGCCCCTCCTTCTCACCAGACAGAACATCTGTATCTACCTCCTGGCGTAAATCAGAGAGAATAAATAGATTGCACCTTACAGGTCAGTTTTAATCAACTGTTAGTAGCTGCCTCAGTGTTGAGGATTCTGAGGTCTTACCCACCTTTAGCAAGAAAGAGTGCCATGGTCTACTAGCAGTGTCTGCCACAAGCACGGAGGGATGGGACTGCTCCTGTGCCCCATATTTGCTATCCCAAGATTCCGAGATCAGTTGGAAGTTTCTTTATTTTTTATTTAGAGACAGAGTCTCACTCTGTCACCCAGGCTGGAGTGCAGTGGCGCAATCACAGCTCACTGCAGCCTCGAGCTCGAGGGCTGAGTCGATCCTCCCAGCTCAGCCTCTCGGGTAGCTGGGACTACAAGCGTGCGCCACCACACCTGGCTAATTTTTTTTGTATTTTTGTAGAGACGGGGTCTCATCTAACTTTGTTTCCCAGGCTGGTCTTGAACTCCTGGGCTCAAGTGATCCACCTGCCTCAGCCTCCCAAAATGCTGCGATTACAAGTGTGAGTCCCATTCCCAACCACAAGTTTCTAGAAGGCAGAAATCATGTCCTTGTACCCTTAGAGTTACAACATAAACGCCCAAAGTCCTATATTCTAGTGCCAGTGTCGAGGAAATCCAACAGCCTCCAGCAGGCTCAATTTCCTTTGTTTTTTTGATTCAGAGTCTCCCTCTGTCACCCAGGCTGGAGTTCAATGGTGCGATCTCAGCTCACTGCAACTTCTGCCTCCCAGATTCAAGCAGTTCTCCTGCCTCAGCCTCCCAAGTAGCTAGGATTACAGGCACCCGCCACCACACCCGGCTAATTTTTGTGTTTTTAGTAGAGACGTGGTTTTGCCATATTGGCCATGCTGGTCTTGAGCTCCTGACCTCGTGATCCTCCTGCCTCGGCCTCCGAAAGTGCTGGGATTACAGGCATAAGCTACCGCGCCCGGCCCAGTTTCCCATTTTTTAAATGAACATAATAATATCTGCTTTACCTATATCCAGGAGTCAGTAATATCAAATCAGATAATTCATATGGAATGCTTTAAAAAGTAAAACAACTGTAGAAGTATATCCTGCCTGCAGGACCCAGCACAGATGCCACCTCCTCTATGAAGTTTTCAGTTGTAACACGATAATTCTTGCCCATTGCCATCCCTGTCTTATCTGAACCTGTCATTTATAGGCTTATAGTCTAGTTATTTATGTACTTTAAAAATCTCTCCTGTGGTATATCATGCATATAAACAGCCACCTTTTATATGAGATACTCACTAAACTTTGATGGAGGGCTCTGTACAGAGCTGTCACTGCATCTTGATCATCTGGTAGGCAGTCCTGTAAGAATGAGTAGCCTCCTGCTAGCTTTAAACAGCACAGTTTTATGTTTTAGAAAGATATTTCTAGAGGTAAGTGAAGGGTAGACTGGAAGAGATGAACTGAGAACAGGAGCACTGATGACTCAATGGAGAGAGGATTTGGGATCCCTTCATTTCTGTCAACTACCCTATTCTTGGACAACAGACATTTTGTCAATGTGAGGCAAAGCAACCTGCCGATGTGGTTTGCAGCCCACTACCACCCCTTTCAAACCGGGTTGCCCCCCACCCCCGCTGCCTTCCTCCTGGGTGAGAACCTGCAGGAGCTCAAGCAAACCCAGAAGGCTGCTGCAGGGGCTCCTCCTCGGAATAGGGTTCAAAAAATGTCCAGAAGCCATATAATTGGGTGGCCCAGAGCAGGTTAGGGAGGTAACTAAAGTCATTAAAGTGGATTTTGAGGTTTCTGGTTAGGTACACTGAAGGCACAGGATTGAAAATAATTCATCTGGGGTTACTTTTAATAGCTTTGCTTACTGTTGCTATGATATAAGACATACTGATTGTAAAAATTTCAAGTGAAGAAGAAAAATATGAAAAAGGAACTAATAAAATTGCCTGAAATGTTAAAAATCCAGCGATAACATTTGGGTGACTATGCTTCCAGATTATTTAATTGGCTTTTCTCACTGAACAGTTTGTCCAGCACACTTTATTCAGGTCAATAAATGTGGATGACCGGGCGTGGTAGCTCAAAGCTATAATCCCAAGCACTTTGGGAGGCTAAGGCGAAAGGATCACTTAAGGCCAAGAGTTTCAGACCAGCCTGGGCAACATAGTGAGACCCTGTCTCTACCAAAAAAAAAAAAAATTAGCCGGGTGGTGTGGTGCTTGCCTGTAGTCCCAGCTATGCAGGAGGCTGATGTGGGAGGATTGCTTGATTCCATGAAGTCAAGGCTGCAGTGAGCTACAGTCGTGCCACTGCACTCCAGCCTGGCTGACAGGGCAAGACCCTATCAATCAATCCATTAACCAGTATATCAATCAATCAATCAATAAAAAAATCACCCAAAAGGCATGCAGAACCTGCAGCCACAGGGCAGGAGCGGGGAGAGGCTTCCCCAGAGCTGCCCATGTCATGTGGCAGTTCAAAAGCCAGTTGCCTTTATTTTCTTCCTAAAGTCATCCATGGCCTTGCAAAGACAGGAGAGTGTCTACAGAGACAGTGGAGGGAGTGGAACAGAAGCCAGCCTTCTGGGGGCTGAGAAGTACCTGGGAGGCGGGGAGGGCATGTAAGCAGCCTGTGTACATGCGGGGAAGGGAAAGGGGGAGAACCAGAAGGGGCAGCTGCCCACCAGCAGCTTCCTGGGCTCTCCTCCCACCTCCTCCTCACTCACAACAGCGCACAGACTCAGCCTCAGCTCCTTCTCTCTGGCCTCTTCCACCTGAGTGAAGATCAAGTGCAGGAGAGGTTGCACAGGCTGTGCCAGCTGCAAGGAACCCACAGACCCCTCCTGTGTTTCACCTGCAGTGACTCCATATTCGTCCTCCCCCATCCCCGCCATCCAGCAGATTATGTGCCCCACTTCCTCTGTGCCACACACATCTTTTTTCCCTCCTTCAAATCATCACCCATACAGAGGACAATTCGCAGCCTCACTCATTATAAGAGTAATGGAAACTCCAGTGAGGGACTTTTTTACCTGTCAGTTTGGCAAAGTTTAAACAGTTTGATAACCTTGTATGGGCAAGGGTGTGGGGAAATAAGCCCTCTCCCAGGTTGCTGTTAGCAGTGTCAACTGGGAGAAATTTAATAACACTCCTCAGAACTTAAGTGTGCATATCTTTGACCTAGTGATTCCCCTCACAGCTGGAAATGTGTCCTCCCACTATAGACATACATGGGCGACACGGTGAGTGTTCAAGGGTGTTCACTGCAGCAGAAGCCTGGGAAACACCTCCATGTCTGTGAGCATGGGCCCCTTGAGTCGGTTATGGCACCTCCTGTAACCCAGGAGGAGGCAGCTCTGTGGGGATGGCTATGGGACCAGCCCTACTATGCCGGCGAATGGAGTGGGGGCAGAGTGGCGTGGGTGGGTATGGGCAGGCCAGAGAACAGGCTGCAGGCTGTGAAGGAGAAAGGCATTTGCTCTTTCAGCCCAGTCTGAGCTCCTGGTCAGAGGCCAGCAGGTGGACTCTGCATCCTGTGGGGGCCAGGGCAGATGTTCTCACCTGAGGGCCTGAGGGGAGGGAAGCGTGTCAGTAGATTCCCAGGCACACAGCGACAGGGGAGAGACAGAGGGAGGGGCCCAGCAGGGTTCACCTCAGGGAAAGGAGGACTGGGCCTCCAAAGCCAGTTTCCACGAAGACACTTCCTGCAGCACATTGGTGGCTGGGCAGTGAGCATAGACACTGCACAGACACTGCCCAGGCCCAGCAAACCCAAGGTCACAGCCGATGGGAGAGGCAGCTTGCGACTCAGCAGGCCCAGCGCTCCAGGCTGCAGAAATGCGGACTCGAAAGCAAGTTGAACTTTGACATTGTTTGAAAGCCTAGGGCTCTGTCCCGGGGTCCCCCTGGTCAGGGCCACCACAGAATGGCTGTGCCTAGTGCTCTGGGAGCAGAGTTTTCCCTCCTCCAGAGCATGCAGCTGTCGGGGGACATACCTAGCCAAGTGTCCGGCTCTCCATCAAGACCTCAAGCAGGCCCACGTCAGCTGAGAACCATGTGTGTCTCAGCTTTCCAGCCATCCCAGCAAGTCAGGACACATCTGAGACCACCCCTCCAACCCAGCTCTTGCCCACGGTCATTGGTGTGCCTGAGCCAGCTGGCACCCAGCCAATTGGTAGCATCTCTTCCGCGCTGAGCCTTCAGTGACTCATCGTGGTACCTTGAAATCAGCGGGAGTGTTTACACCATGAATACCAGCAAATGCTTTGGTTTTTCACTTTGTTTTTTGCTTAGAGAGCCAGTTGTTAGGCATTTACCAACACACCACCGAACCAGACCTGTCTCCCCAGGTAAAGCGCAGGTCACAGGCTCCTAGAATACCAATAACTTACACATTTAGTGACTGAACACAGATTTCTTACAAGCTCCCCGCATGCCCCACACTCTGCCTGGTCCTCTCCAGTGTGAGAGGACACTCACACTTGAGTGTGACAGCCACACGTGAGATAATCACTCTGCCAGGCAGTAGGTGTTCTTATTCCTATTTTACATGTGGAAACCAGAGGTTCTGAAAGGTGATGTACACAGGCACACAGCTTGTAAGTGGGGTTCAGCTAGGACCCCTGATTCCGTATTTGTTGAACACCTCAACACGGTCGGCACTCCCAGTGCCCTCTGTGTTTAGACAAACAGCTGAATTTGATTTTTCCTTCCAAAGGAGACCATCTAGTCCAGGCCCCTGCTTCAGGCTGATGAAGTAAAATATTCCCATTTTAAAGATGAGACGATGGAGTCCAGAAAGGTTAGAAAGAGCCTGGAACCCTGATCTCTTGCCTCCTGTGCTCTAAAACGAAAGCTTGGCTTCTGCGGGGGAGCCAGTTTTTAAAAACAAACCTTAGGTCAAATCTAGGAGGCAAAATTGCCAGGTTCTTTGGAATGCGAGGGGAAGAGAATAGTTTTGAGATCATCCACAAAAGAAAGAATCATTTGGGGAAAGCAGAGGAAAGAGGTGTTTATGGTGAAACTGACACCTAATTGACACACTCTTACTTTTGAGTTTACTATTCAGTTATGAAATGCTTTTGGAGCCCCTCTGCTACCAGTGCATGGGCTTTAAAGCCATTTGTTGACTAAATGCTGTGACAGGTGCTAGAGAGAGCAAAGTCACTTCATTGGTTTAAGACCAGTGTAGGCCAGGTGCGGTGGCTCACCCCTGTAATGCCAGCAGAATTGGGAGGTGAAGGCGGGCAGATCACTTGAGCTCAGGAGTTCGAGACCAGCCAGGGCAACATGGTGAAATCCTGTCTCTACCAAAACTACAATAAATTAGCCAGGCATGGTGGCACATGCCTGTGGTCCCAGCTACTTGAGAGGCTGAGATGGGAGGATTGCCTGAGCCCAGGAGGTGGAGGTTGCAGTGATCTATGATTGCGCCACTGCACTCCAGCCTGGACGACAGAGTGAGACTCCATCTCAAAAAAAAAAAAAAAAAATACCTCAAGAAAGAATCTAACCTACCCTCAGGTAAAACAAAAAATGTGTTTGGGATTTAGTGCCATCCACAAAGTTAAGCAAAGGCATAAATGACTCATTCTTAAGAAAGAAGGGATAAGAGTGTAAAACTTCTTTTATACTTTTGCCCCTGGAACTCTTTGTCTAATCCATCTTGTTTGGGAACAAGTTCTTTACACTTTCGTTTTCTCTTACCGACTGCTGAAAACTAAAAATGTTTTCCCAATTGGGAAAGCTTTTCTGTCTCCCTATTCCTGAGTTCATTGCTCAGTGTCAGTGTATTTTCAAACTTAGATCCATTTGTGAACTTTAGTACAGAAGATAGAAACAGGTCTCCAAGAACTGGCCAAGTTGGGCATCCCAGCCTCCATGCTACATTTACGTATTCTCGGCAGACTAAGCCAGTTACTGTGAGAAGCAGGCGTTGCCCATGAGTGAAATGGGCTCCTGTGTGGCGGCTTCCCACCACAGTGACAATGACATTATTCAAAATGCTCTCCTTGTCCTCTTAGAAGCTCTATGTAACAGGAACCTATACTATAACCGTATTATAAATGAAAAATGTGAAGAAGCGATCCGTGTCTCCCCGTCTCCATTCTGCCACAGTTGCAGTCGTTTCTTTCCTGGACTACGGCAAATCCTACCAGAGTCAGCCTTCTAAACACCAGTCACATCTCTCCCCTGCTCTAAAGGCTTCAGGCAGAGGCTGTTCAACCCCTCGTTACAGATGTGGAAACTGGGCCTAAGCTCACGGCATTAATACAGCATGGGACAGGGTTTCAACACATCATGATTGCCGGGTTCTGGGTGAGGAATTGAGGTGCAGCATGACCCTTGAGGAGCTTACCGTCCCAAGGGCAGACAGAGTGTGCAAATGGGGAGGAGTAGCCTGGTGAGTGCTATGGAAACACCGTGTACCGCTTCTCGAGAGCGACAGACTCATGGAGGCTTCATGCCAGGGAGGGTGACCTTGGGAGGAAATGGGTTTTGAAGAAGAGGGGTTAAAGTTTCCCACGAGTGAAGGATGCAGTAAAGGCCGTAGCAGGCCGGGGAGCAGCAGGGCAGCATGGTGCGTTCAGAGTGCAGTGAGGACTCTGTGCAGCTGGGGTGGGGGGCGGTGAGGGTGGAAGCCAGAAGGATAGGGTGGTGTGGGATTGCTGGTGAGTTTGGGGGCTTTATCTCTTGACCCCAGAAACCAACCAGGGAAGTGTTCTGAGCAGGGGAGAGATGTGACTGGTGTTTAGAAGGCTGACTCTGGTAGGATTTGCAGTAGTCCAGGCAAGAAACGACTGCAACTGTGGCAGAATGGAGACGGGGAGACACGGATCGCTTCTTCACATTTTTCATTTATAGTACGGTTATAGTATAGGTTCCTGTTACATAGAGTTTCTAAGAGGACAAGGAGAGCATTTTGAATAATGTTATTGTCACTGTGGTGGGAAGCCACCTGCACCCGGAGTTTGGGTGTAGCCTTGGGTTCTGGGTGGCACTGGGACTTTACATCTCCCGAAAAGCCTGGGCAACCCTTGCTTCTCTATCAAAGGGGATCCTGGCTCTAGGTCCCCAAAGTCACTGTTTACCATAGGGGTCCAGAGAGGCAGGAAGGACCGGTCACCAAAACTGGGACCCTTTGTGTCTGCTGATGGGCAAGTGGCCAAAAATGGGCGAGACCATGGGGCTGGAGCAAGGGGCGCTTTCTCTGCCTACTGGGCCTTTCCTCTAGAAGCAGCGGAAGGCGTTCTCTGGGCTGGAGTTTTCTCACCTGTGCAGTTTTTGGAGCTGACTTGTTTTCCTTGCATGCAACTGTGGGGAGCTGTGGATTCTGTAACATGAAGCTTTGTTTCCTCTGTTGCCCAGGCCCTGCTTAAAGGCTTTTCTGTGAGAACGTGCGAACAGGGAGAATGTGGGCATTCCCCCGAGCCCTGTAGAGTCCTGTCCACACTAAGCAAGTGTGGGACAGGGTGAGGACGGCTGGGGCGGGGCCCTCCCTACCTTCTGGGAGCCGGAGGGTTAATCTCCGTAGCTCATTGGCAGTCCTGCCTCTGTACAGGGCATGCTGGGATTTCCTCCCAGCTGTTTTACATCACGAAGATTTGTGTGTTGGGGAAATTCCAGGGCACAGCTGCAATTAATCTGCTCCATGGCTCCAATCAAAGCAAGGATTCTGTAGGATGGATTCTCCGCCTTCCTGCAGGAAAGGGGGCTCTAGCTCTCTAGTGACAGCATCCTTCAGAGGGACCCTTCCCGAGATCCACGTTGAGCAGAAACAGCCCGCCTGGCCAAGTGCTCGCCCCAAGGAGGGCTCTAAGGAGGGGCCCAAAACATTGAGAAAGAGAGGAGCAGAGCCCCTCTGAATAATAAAGCCACAAGGACACTGATGGCAACACTCGATAAAGATGTCACCCAAAGAAAAGAAAACTTTGTTCACCTTTACTTAGGAATGTAAAAGTCAAAAATTTAAAACATGACTAGCATTCCACAATACAGCGTAAGAAGGAACAAACCACCATGACCAAATAGGGCTTACCTGGGAAATGCAAAAATGCCTTCATGTAAGAAAATCTATTGCTATATATACATCTCATAAATGAGTCAAATAAGAGAAACCACATGACCATTTTGGTAAATGCCGAGAGAAAAATGCAACAACTGCTCCAATGAAAACAATGTAAAAATAGGATTAGAATCATCCTTCCTTAATGAGGTAAAGACATGTTTTAAACCACAGCCTCAGTCTACTTAACTGTGAACCACAGTAGCAGAACCCCAGTCCCCAGAAAAGTGTTTCTCAGATTCAGTGAGATTGGAAAACTGTGTATCTGTCCTGTCTTAGATAGTCACAACATATGTAAATCGAAGACAGTAGTACCTGCCGTTTGGGTTTGGTGTTTTCCTTTCTATTTTTGAGCATCCAAAAGCGGGTATTTAACCCATAGAAAGCACCCCAGAAGTGGGAGCGATCGCTATTGCCAGGCCATCAGTTGCATTGATGCCATTCATCACCATTTCAATGTGTTACATTCCGGTGGGCATCCCCCAGGAGGGAGGTGGCTGGACCAGCCCGTGTACACATCTTCGCTGTGGGCTGAAGCCCAGCCACGACACACTGGTCAGGAGCTGGGCCTTGCAGAGCCAGTTAAATGTAGCCTAGACTGGGCATGGAGAAACCAGCAGTTTTAACCTGCCCACATACCATTACCATGCAAAGAATCTAAGCACAGTCAGCCATCACTTACTTCCCCAAGGACATGCTCCCACCCATGAGTGATTGCCCTCAGGGTGATCGTGGGGTTGGCCTTACAGCTAAGAAGAGCTTTATTGGCTGGGCATGGTGGCTCACACCTGTAATCCCAGCACTTTGCGAGAGCAAGGCGGGAGGATTGCTTGAGCCCAGGCGTTGAAGACGAGCCTGGGCAACGTAGCAAGACCCCCATCTCTAAAAATAAAAAATAAAAATAAATAAATAAACAGAAGCACTTTATTTCCACTCTAGTTGGGCTAGGCCTGATGCTAGGAATTCAGAACTACCTGGCCATCTTCAAATGTCTAGTACTGCAGTGGAAGAGGATTACAAGGGTTGTCACTGGCTCCTGCTGCCCCAATTCACGGTTCTGGGAAGTTCAACTGTCCTTTCCTCAGAGTTGTGATGCAGAGGCCGTCCATGGCCAAGCTGTAGGGGCTCCAAAGTCTTAGAGCTCTTCCTCCTCCCCCCGTCACTCATCTCCAAAACTTAAAAAGACAAATAGAAAAGGGAAAGTCACGATCCTCCACACTCCTGCCTCCCAGAGTGAGTCCCTCCCTACACACCGCCCCTGCACCACCCCAGGCATGGCTGGAGCAGGGTCAGTCCCGGTGAGATGCTCACTGTTCCCAGGACCACCTCTCCCTTCTGGTCTTTTCCCTCACACTGCCTGACTTGTCTGTAAGGGGCCAGGTATCAGTGGTAGGCACGACCAGTGTGGTCTCCTCCCAGCAGAAGCCAAGACTTCTTGTTACATAGATAAAACAAGTACATGGTCAGACACCCAAAAGAGTGGCTGTTACTGAAAACCCTTACTATGAATGTGTGTACAAAATACAAGCATACATAAATGTACCTGTACCTTGATATCCCCAGCACCAAGGCAGACAAACCCTCATGGAGCTTGCAGTCTATTGGGTGCCAGCTCCTTGGCCACTAGAGCAGTGATTCTCAGTTGCGGGAGGGAAGATTCTCTCCCTCAGCCCCAGGAGACATTTGGCAAAATCTGGAGATATTTCTGATGATCTATATGGGAGTGCATCGGCATTTAGTATTATAGTTAGAGGCCAAAGATGTTGTTAAACTTTCCAGGACAGCCCACCACCCCCAATAAAAAAAGTATCCAGCCCAAAATGTCATAGTGCTGAGCCTGAGAAACCCTGCACTACAGTCCTACAAGCCGACTCTGCCAGACAATCTATAAGGTCACTTGAGAGGATTATTTAAGACCCAAAACTCTAGCACCATCCCAGACTAGGGTTTACATTTCTTTGGACCACCCCCATATGATCTAAGGACATCCCTGGTAAGCCAACAAGAATGAATGTGTGTCTTTGTGGCCCTAAATAGGGGGCAGATGCTGGTAGAGTTGATGGATTTTTAGGTACCCATCTATCCTGTTTAATATTAGGGGGTATAGATTTGGGATACTTCTCTTTAGCACCTGGTAGTTGTTATTGTAGTTTAATTTTTAAAACCAGAAATGTTCAAGTTGTTGCTTCTAGAAAAACGAGTGTGGTGTTTAGGCTTCAAGTGCAAGCTCTGGGCACCTTCAGCATCCCTCCAGGAGAACACTGACATGCATGGACCCATTCTGTTTCTGGGTGGCCAGCCCCGTGCAAGACAGAGAAGGAGAGAGAAAACACATCCGAGCAAAGAGAAGGCTGCGGGTGGAGAGTTGAGGAAGACAGTCTTAGGAAAAGCTTCGTGACTTGGTCTTGTGCAAGGTGTGGGATTTGAAGTCCAGAGACCTAGGCTCCAGCTCCAGCTGTCTTGTATGAAGTTGGGGAAGCGTTTAGCCTTTGTTTATGTCCATTAGCTCCTTTTTTTTTTTTTTTTTTTTTGAGACAAGGTCTCACTCTGTCACCCAGGCTGGAGTGCAGTGGTGTGATCTCGGTTCACTGCAACCTCCGCCTCCTGGGTTCAAGTGATTCTTCTGCCTCAGCCTCCCAAGAAGGTGGGACTACAGGCACACGCCACCATGCCCAGCTAATTTTTGTATTTTTAGTAAGAGACGGGGTTTCACCATGTTGGCCAGGCTGGTCTTGAACTCTTGACCTCGAATGATTTGCCCACCTTGGCCTCCCAAAGTGCTGGGATTACAGGCATAGCCACTGCGCCCGGCCTAGCTCCTTTTAAAATTTGGGATAGTCACCCCTACTTGTCATTGCAGGGTTGATGTGCAGATTACACTGGGTTTTGTGTGTGAAAATGCTTTGACAAGTGCAAATGTAGCACAAATGTTATTCACAGTGAAAATGAGTTTTAACTATTGATACCAATATTTGCCCAGTGCTTTTAACTTGCCACAGGCATTGAAATCCCAGTTAATTCATGTCGGGTGTGTGGGCTCTGGGTAGGGCAAGGGATGGGTGGTGGTGGGAAGGGAGGAAGAAGATAGGGTCAGCAGAGGACAGGGACAGAGGTGACACCCCATTTGAGGGCTGAGGGGTGGGGGTACAGAGGTCGCAAAGTGAAAAGACTGTCCTAATTCATAGGGCTTCGTTCCCACTTCCCACCAGGTCTCCCGCGCCAGGCCTGCTTGGCCCATCCCATGTGCTAGTCTGGCCTGTGGCACGTGTGACCTTAAGTTGTTGTTCCTGCCCATGGACACCTTTTTGAAAGCCCAGTCAGTCCCTGCCATCTTGGTCAAGACTTATGGTGAATGAAGAGCAAAGGGGCCTTCTGGGGCTCTTCCCATCGCCCTCCTGCTCCTGTACACAGCAGAGCCAGATTGTGATTGATTTTTCCTGATATTACATGACCAGAGTGAGGGATGATTCAAAGGCTTCTTTTTTTTTCTTTTTTGAGATAAAGTCTCACTCTGTCGTCCAGGCTGTAGTGCCATGGCACGATCTTGGCTCACTGCAACCTCCACCTCCCAGACTCAAGCGATTCTCCTGCCTCAGCCTCCCGAGTAGCTGGGACTATAGTCCTGCGCCACCACACCCAGCTATTTTTTGTTTTTTTAGTAGAGACGAAGTTTCACCATGTTGGCCAGGCTGGTCTTGAACTCCTGACCTCAAGTGATCCATCCACCTTGGCCTCCCAAAGTGCTGGGATTACAGGCATGAGCCACTGCACCCAGCCAAAGACTTCTTTCTGTGAAACTTCCTGGGGCCACCACTTTCCGTTACAGCTTTCATTCTCAAAGGAGTCTCAAGAATTCTGCAAAGAGGCTGCTTGCGGGTCTGTTGCCCAGAAGCAACCTGTCAGCGTTGACACTAAGACAACATGTGTGCTTTTGCTCCTGGCAAAGACTAATGGTTTGCTTATGGAAATAATAGGCGTCATTTATCAAATGTCTCCCATGTGCGAGGCACTGTGTTCAATATGTGACACCGTCCCTAGTCCGAACAACCTGTACCGTGAGTGATAATAACCTTGCCTTACAGATGCTGAAACTGGGACTCAGAGTTGTTAATCACTCATTCAGGGTCACACAGCCTATGTTGGCAGAGTAAGAGCCTGAACCCATGAATGCAGGGCTCCGGAGCCCAGAAGGGCCCTTCCCAGTGCTCCTGACTGCTGCTCCACTCAACTCATTCTTTCTAGGCTCTTGGCAAGGACTGTGCCATGCCAGAGAGAGAGAGAGATTGTGTGTGTGTGTGTGTGTGTGTGTGTGTGTGTGTGTGTGTGTGTGTGTTGGGGAAGTACTGTTTGGTTTGGGTTTTTTGCACTGACATGAGAAAGAATGGGGTGCTGGGTAATCTTTTTCAGGGTTGAGAGACGCTATAATGAAGGAAAGCTCAGCATCCTTGAGTTGGGGTAGATGTTGCCCATGACTCTGTGTCAGGCAGATGGCTTTTATTCATTCATTCCCAGATACTTCTGGATGGCTGTTTCGTAGGGAGCATTGTGTGTGGATGTCGTAAGTGATGGAAATGGATGGGGCAGGATGGCCATCTGGGAGCCTCTGCCTCCTTGGTCAGCCCTGCGTGTCCATGACTACAGCATAGGGAGGGGACTTGAGCCTCACTAGTAGGTTCTTTGAATATGTTGATTGGTTGTGCTGGAATGGATCGGTTCTCTCCACCACTTAAAGTTCAGCTTAGTTGTCATTCGTGTCCCCCCCCCCAAAATGACATAGGGCGTGGTGAGGCTGGTAGTGATTGTAAATATATGCTCGCTCCTGTTATAATCGTTTGGAAATTGACCCAGTACAGGGCATGTGGCATGAAAATGCAGGCCACCCCAATGGCCTGCCCCGGTGCCCTAACAGCAGAGCCCAGCAAACTTTGAGTACTTGTGAGGCCTCATCTCACCAACAGCTTTTTCTTTTCTGTTCCCTGTGCAGTACCTGCAGATGAAATGGCCCCTCCTCGATGTCCCCTCCAGCGCCACAGTCAAGGACACGAGGTCACCATCTCCAGCACACTTGGTAAGTCTGTTTCACCTTAAAGCACCAAAGGGCCACTATTAGTGGCCTCATCCCATGCCACTGCCTTCTGCCATCACGCTGAAGCAGATGGGGTCCAACAGTGTTTCCTCAAATGTGTGAGTACAGTGAGGAAGAGCTGAGTGCTTGGGGCTAACAATTGGGTTGTGACCTCAACACACACACCACACCGCCTCAGATGTTTTGTAATTGGAATAGCCGTCCCCCAACCCCCATGGCCCTGGCTGCTCACCCTGGTTCATCACAGAAGCCTGCCTGCGATCCTTCCCGGCTGCCATCTGAACCCGCTGCCCACTTCACGTGGGCAAGGGTGGCTTCTCTGTCCTGTTGAGGCTTACCCAGAATTGCCTCCTCTTCTCCCTCATAGCTGCCAGGCAATAGTTGAAGAGGCTCTTCTGTTTTTGTTTTTGTTTTTGTTTTTGTTTGTTTTTTGAGACGGAGTCTCGCTCTTTTGCCCAGGCTGGAGTGCAGTGGCACAATCTTGGCTCACTGCAACCTCTGCCTCCCAGGTTCAAGCGATTCTCCTGCCTCAGCCTCCCAAGTAGCTGGGACTACAGGCATGTGCCACCACGCCTGGCTAATTTTTGGTATTTTTAGTAGAGACGGTGTTTCACTGTGTTAGCCAGGATGGTCTCGATCTCCTGACCTCGTGATCCGCCAGCCTTGGCCTCCCAAAGTGCTGAGATTACAGGCATGAGCCACCGCGCCCGGCCGAAGAGGCTCTTCTGTACAGGATGTTATAGGAAAGAATTCAATAGGACGTATGCAAACAAATGCTCCTCAGGGCAGCCGAGCCTCTTCTGCCAGGCCCTGTGGCAATACCAGCTGGAAAGGAGGGTCTGGACAATCCTGGGAGACAGGAGCAGTGGATCCAAGCAGTACCTCTGGCCTCCTCAGGACATGCAAAGGACTGAAACCCAAAGCTGATAAGAGATGCTCCTGGAACAGAACCAGATATCCTACTTTCCTGGGCTTTTCCTGGGTGCTTGGGTCAACACTTGCCTTAAGATGCACTCACCCCACAAGCTAACTGGTGCTCGCCGACTGTACAGTGAGCCTCAGAATCAGGGAATGCGGTTAGAAGGGACCCTCATCCTGCATGACCTATGCATTTTACAGACGAGCAGACATAGGACTTCACTGTTACTGCCCTGTACTAGGTATTAGGCGTTGGGCTTCTATGATGTTTATTAAAGTTTAATTACAGAAAATTTTAAAGATGTATCAAAGTAGAGAGAATTACATAATGAATCCCCATGTTCCCTTCACCCAGAATTTCCCTCCTGCTACATAGGGGATTTAAAGTGAATCCCAGACATTACTTCATCTCATAGGACATTTTAAGAGATACTGATAGCTGGGCGCAGTGGCTCACGCCTGTAATCCCAGCACTTTGGGAGGCCGAGGTGGGCGGATCACGAGGTCAGGAGATCGATACCATCCTGGCTAACACGGTGAAACACCGTCTCTACTAAAAATACAAAAAATTAGCCAGGCGTGGTGGCGGGCGCCTGTAGTCCCAGCTACTAGGGAGGCTGAGGCAGGAGAATGGTGTGAACCCCGGAGGCGGAGCTGATAGTGAGCCGAGATCGCGCCACTGCACTCCAGCCTGGGTGACAGAGCGAGACTCTGTCTCAAAAAAAAAAAACTGATAATTCTTATTCATTAAAAGCTTAGAGTCTAGCAGAAGAGAAAGAAGATATGTGCAGAAAGCTAAATAAATAAGGGTGCAGGGAGCCTGTATGATTTCCAGTAATCAGGAGACCTGCTCCTGTGGAGCCCTTGGGAGTTTACAGTGGGATCTACAGTGGGATGCCACATGCAGCTCTCAGGTGATTGTCACAGCCATCACCAGGGAGTCAGGCAAGGATGACAGTGGAAGGAACCGTGAGTGCGGGACCAGCCATCCGGGAAAGGCAGCAGGTTCTGCAGCCAGTCGCCAAGGCACAAGCTGCTGTTGAACAAGCACTCCACACCTCAGGCATAAGCCAGGGTAGTGGCTTTGGCCCAGAGTCCCACTTGGGATAGCCAAGCACGAGGCGCGGGTGCCCTCTAGTGGTGCCAGTCAGCCCTGGTGGAGGATGTGCGGACCACATCTGCCCACCCTAGACCTGGCTCGTGCCCTGCACCTCCCCCCAGTGCAGCCATCTCTGTTTCAGATCTGTGCCTTCCTCTACCTCTCCTGTGCCGTCTGCCAGCCCACTCCTGAAGACCTGAGATGGCTGGGTCCTCTGTCTTAGTTTCTCTCTGCATATTGTCGCATCTCCATCTACTTTTCAAGAATGTTATTTCCCTTTAAAAACTAACACATGAGGCCGGGCGTGGTGGCTCACGCCTGTAATCCCAGCACTTTGGGAAGCTGAGGCAGGCAGATAACCTCAGGTCGAGAGTTCGAGACCAGCCTGACCAATGTGGAGAAATCCTGTCTCTACTAAAAATACAAAATTAGCCAGGCATGGTGGCGCATACCTGTAATCTCAACTACTCAGGAGGCTGAGGCAGGAGAATCGCCTGAACCCGGGAGGCAGAGGTTGCAGTGAGCCGAGATTGTGCCATTGAACCCCAGCCTGGGCAGCAAGAGCAAAACTCCATCTCAAAAAAAAAAAAAAAAAAATCGGCGTGGTGGTACGCGCCTGTAATCCCAGCTATTTGTGAGGCTGAGGCAGGAGAATTGCTTGAACCCAGGAGGTGGAAGTTGCAGTGAGCTGAGATTGCACCACTGCACTCCAGCCTGGGCAACAGAGCAAGACTCTGTGACTCAAAAAACAAACAAACAAAAAAAAAAACTAACATATAGTGGCCAGGTATGGTGGCTCATGCCTTTAATCTCAACACTTTGGGAGGCCAAGGAGGGAGGATTGCTTGAGGCCAGGAGTTTGAGACCAGTCTGGGCAACATGGTGAGATCTCTACAAAAAAGACGGAGTTTTGCTCTTGTTGCTCAGGCTGGAGTGCAATGGCGCGATCTTGGCTCACCACAACCTCTGCCTCCTGGGTTCAAGCGATTCTCCTGCCTCAGCCTTCCAAGTAGCTGGGATTACAGGCATGTGCCACTATGCCCGGCTACCTTTGTATTTTTAATAGAGACAGGGTTTCTCCACGTTGGTCAGACTGGTCTCAAACTCCCAACCTCAGGTGATCCACCCTCCTCGGCCTCCCAAAGTGCTGGGATTACAGGCGTGAGCCACTGCGCCTGGCCAAAATTTTTAAAATTAGCCAGATGCAGTCATTCACACCTATAGTCCCATTTACTCAGGAGGCTGAGCTGGGAGTTCGGAGCTGCAGTGAGCCATGATTGTGCCACTGCACTCTAGCCTGGGTGACAGAGTGAGACCCTGTCGTGAACAAAAAAACAAAACTAACACGTGTACTCTGAGTTTCCCATTCTTCCTTTTGCACAGAGCAATCCTCTGAGAAATGAAAGAAAAACCCTGTGTTCAGCCTTCCTGTTCCTGTGAGCACCGTCCTGTTTCTTTTTTATTGTTTACCGCCTGACTTCCCACACCTCTGTCACCTCCTTTATTCTGCCACTCCACTGCAGCCCGGCTTAGCGCTTCAGTCACCATCGAATAACTAACTCCACTCATTTTCCTGCTTTTTTGCAACACAGCCGACAGCCAAGGCCTGACTACTCTCTGCTTCCTGTAAATCTTATCATTGACTCCAAGATACTGTATTAATACACATAATCAGTTGTTTGTCTTTTTGAAGCTTCCATTTTCTTTCTAGACTTTTATTCAAATAAATCAACTCTTCATCATCACTTATTCCTCTCAATGTTTGTGACAGAAAAAATATATAAAATCCCATCAAGAGAGCTGTAGAACTCTCAAGAAAGTTCTACACCCGTAGTTCCAACTGCCAAACAAACATCTAACCATTGCAGATGTGTGCTCTGCAAATAATAACTCAGCATTGTGGTGGAGCAGGGGTCCCTTATTTTGTCTAAGGGCAGAGAAGCATGAACCGTTGCCACACATGGCATTATAGATAGCAACATGGATAGTTTTCTAGTAAATTTTATATTACCGTAGTCTATATTATAATATAGCAAAGCAGACACAGGCCTCAAAAACTTAAGGAACATTTATGGGAGAAAATCTTAACTGGGAATTCAACAGATGGGGAGAAGACCATCATTCTCAGTTTTTGAGGCAGAGCATCTCATTCCAACGAGAGGTGTGTACGTGCAGGAGCAAAACCTGAGACACCCGGGGAGGAGGGTATATGAGTGGGAGGCTGTATAATACACTTGGTTGCAATCCCAGATCCACCTCTTTCTATTTATGCAGCTCCAAGCAAATTACCTCATCTCTCTTTGCCTTGGTTTCCTCATCTATTAAATGGGGATTAGAAGAGACTGACTTCATAGAGTCGTTGTGCGAAAATGAGCCAGTGTATTGTAATGAGTCTAGAATTGTGCCTCTACCACAAAATAAGTCCTCAATAACTATTAGCTTACTACTCCCAGCGTCACCACCACCACTACCGCTACCTCTACTATTATTAAATGAGAGGGAAAGAACAACGAAAATACTGTTTAATTAGCAAAACTAAGAGGTAATGAGGGCCTGAATTAGGTGCCAGAACAAATGGACAGATTGCAGAGGTAACAGAGATAATGAGCCTATAGAATTTAGCATCTAATCCCCCAAGGATATGATTTAATTGGTCTGGGGTGCGGCTGGTATCTTAGTTTTTAAGCTCCCCAGGAGATTCCAAGGGGCAGCCAGAGTCGAGGATCATTGTTGTAATTGCAAATCACAAACCAGAGGCGGAGTGGAAGGAGGACCTAGAGACATCCCAGTTTACTCCATGCGGCTCTCCAGGCTAGACGTGTGAGCAGAACTTGAAGGTTTTTCGGAGGGAGTCACAGAGGTTTGGACACCGGCTTTTTTGTTAAAATACTTGAGATTATGAAATGTATTTTAGAGTCAGGAGTAAAATATTTAAGGTGAGGTTTGCCCTGGGAGTAGAGCAAGCGAAGGAAACAGCCTGCATACTTGCAGAGATTTAGTGAGTCATGTAGAAGCTGCCTAACAAGGAAGTATGTCTAAGCAAGTCACAACTGGGCCCGGGTGCGGGATGAAGTTAAGTGCTTAATAATTTGGACTTTACACCTTCAAAACAAGCTCTAAAGACTAACAGTAACATTGTATAAGCAACTATTTGTAAGATCCGATCAGTGTAATTTCATCACTTGCAGATTATTATCCAGACCCCTCACCATGGCCCCACATGCCAGGTGCCTGTCTTCCCTCCAGTGTCCCCCAGGAGCACTGTGTCCAGCCACGCAAAACACATATATGCCCCTCTAGAATATAAGCAACACGAAGACAGGAATCGCATCTGAGCGCCTGTTGTAATGCTCGGGAGCATTTGTTGAATGAATGGAAGAATGAATGGTCTGGTAAAAAGTTAATACCCCTTCTCTACCCACATTTACCCAAGATCCAACCCCTTTTTTCATTCAGAACTGTTTTTTAATTTTAAAAAATCTTTTTTTGAAACCGTAAAAGTAATGCATGCACTGTGTAGAACTCTTGGGAAAATGCCAGAAAGCACAGAAAAAGATCTATAATCCCACAACCCACAAACATTTTGTTAAATAGTATTTCAGTCTGGAGTGTGTGTGTGTGTGTGTGTGTGTGTGTGTGTATACTTATAACTTGCTCTCTGATGACCAAAATGCTTCCTGTCCAGGTAGATGCCTAATAAATTCTGCTGAGTTACAGGCAAATGGGGCCAGAGACCCAGAGACCAGGAGACAAATAATCCAGATAACTTGGAAATGGTTGCAGTTCTCCAAAACTTTAGAGTGACTTAATCCAGCTTTTTGGAAAATGGTCAGATATTCAGGGGTTTTTTAATGCAAATTTTAGCTGTTAGGCTGAGCATCCAGAATCAGAAAAGGGACCTAGAGAGTAAGGAGTTGAGGGATAGAGGAAGGTGTAGAGAAAAATCTAGATGAGGTTAGTGCAAAGGCAGAAATATCTACCACCTTTGAAACTTTGCCACCTCTCTCTTCCTGGTTGCCTTTTATTTAAACATTTTAAAAATAGATAGACATAGATGGTTTCCAGTTGTTTGTTTGTTTTGAGACAGTCTCACTGTTGCCCAGGCTGGAGTGCAGTGGCACAAACTCAGCTCACTGCAACCTCCACCTCCTGGGTTCAAGAGATTCTCCTGCCTCAGCCTCCCGAGTACCTGGGATTACAGGTATTCACCACCACGCCCAGCTAATTTTTTTGTATTTTTAGTAGAGACGGGGTTTCATCATGTTGGCTAGGCTGGTCTGGCACTCCTGGCCTCACGGGATCCGCGCACCTCAGCCTCCCAAAGTGCTGGGATTACAGGCACGAGCCACCACGCCTAGCCCAGTTTTTTTTTTTTTTTCTCCGAGACAGAGTCTCACTATGTCGCCCAGGCTGGAGTGCAGTGGTGCGATCTCAGCTCACTGCAACTTTCACACTCCGGGTTCAAGCAATTCTCCCTGCCTCAGCCTCCCAAGTAGCTGGGATTACAGGCGCCTGCCACCACACATGGCTAATTTTTGTATTTTTTTAGTAGAGACGGGGTTTCACCATGATAGCCAGGCTGGTCTTGAACTCCTGACCTCAGGTGATCTGCCCGCCTTGGCCTCCCAAAGTGCTGGAATTACAGGCGTGAGCCACCTCACCCGGCCCCAGTTTTTAAGCTAAAGTTAGCATCCTGTGCATATATTTGTATACGTGTGCGCTTTTCCCCCCATTTAAAAAAAATTAGAGTTAGGGTCTCGCTATGTTGCTCAGGCTGGCCTTGCACTCCTGGCCTCAAGTGATCCGCCTGCCTCAGTCTCCAAAAGTGCTAGGATTACAGGCATGAGCCATCATGCCCAACCTCCCCATTTTTAAGATATAATTTACATATAGTGAAATTCACATGAGTATATAGTTCTGTGAGTTTTGACAAACTTTTGCAGTCATACATGAGTTCACCACAATCAAGATATAGAACAGTTCTCCTAGTCAGCTTAGCTTGGTATGAAAAGTAAAAATAAAAAAGATATAGGACAGTTCTGTGTTAGGGTTCTCCAGGGAAACAGAACCAAGGTGATGTATGTATATATAGCGAGTGAGTGAGTGAGTGTGAATGTGTAGAGGGAGAAAGATTTAAGAGGGTAAGCTGGCAGGCTGGAGACTGGCAGGGAAGAGTTACAGTCTAAGTCTAAAGGCAGTCTGCTAGCAGAGTTCTATTCAATTTAATGCTCAAGAATAATCCTCTTTGGCACCATTCATTCTCTGTCCTTCCAGCCCACCAGGATGGGAGCTGGGAGCTGTGCCCCTGAGGCCCTGGGCGGCAGCCACACCTTGTGAATCCCCTCTTGGGGTCATTCTTCCCTCTTCTTGAAAGATAACAAATGTTTGCAGCCACATCACTGTAGCCCATTCTGTAGAAGTCTGACAGCCTTCCTTCCCTTTGTCCTGTCTTTGTCCATTTTAATCCAAAAGGGCAGTATTTCTGCTGAGGTGGTTGGTTGAATCCATGCTTCACAGCCCCAGTCTCATTATCTGATCGTCCAGCCACACCATTGGTGTTCTCTTAGGAACACACCTTCTCATTTTTTTGCAATGAGGCTAGGCTGAGAATTTTCTAAATTTTCAAGTTCTGGTTCCTTTTTGCTTAACAATAATTTACTTCTCACATTTTACTACAAGCAGTAAGGAGAAACCAAGCCACACCTTCAGCACTTTGCTTAGAAATAACTTGTGCTGAATATCTAAATTCATCACTCACAAGTTCTACCTTTCACAAAACACTACAAAATAACTCAGCCATGTTTCTTCCCACTTTGTAACAAGAATCGCCTTTCCACTAGTTCCAATAACATGTTCCCCATTTCCATCTGAAGCCTCACCGGAAGCACCTTTAACATCCATATTTTTGGGGTTTTGTTTTTGTGTGTATGTGTTTGTTTTGGTTTTAGTTTTGGTTTTGGTTTTGGTTTTGGTTTTGGTTTTAGGACGGAGTTTCACTCTTGTCACCCAAGCAGGAGTGCAATGGCACATGATCTCAGCTCACTGCAACCTCCACCTCCTGGGTTCAAGAGATTCTCCTGTCTCAGCCTCCCGGATTTTGGTTTTTTGTGCTTTGTTGAGAGACAGGATCTCACTCTGTCACCTAGGCTGTAGTGCAGTGGCATGATCATAGCTCACTGCAGCCTAAACTCAAGCATTCCTCCCTCCTCAGCCTCCCAAGTAGCTAGGACTACAGGTGTGCACCACCACATCCAGCTATTTTTATTATTTGTTGTAGAGATGGGGTTCCACTATATGGCCCAAGCTGGTCTTGACCTCCCAGGCTCAAGTGATCCTTCTGTCTCAGCCTCCCAAAGTGCTGAGTTTACTGGTCATATGTATTTTTTTTTTTTTTTTTTTTTTTTTTTTTTTTTTTTTTTTTTTTTGAGACGGAGTCTCGCTCTGTCGCCCAGGCTGGAGTGCAGTGGCACGATCTCGGCTCACTGCAAGCTCCGCCTCCCGGGTTCACGCCATTCTCCCGCCTCAGCCTCCCAAGTAGCTGGGACTACAGGCGCCCGCCACTACGCCCGGCTAATTTTTTGTATTTTTAGTAGAGACGGGGTTTCACCGTTTTAGCCGGGATGGTCTCGATCTCCTGACCTCGTGATCCGCCCGCCTCGGCCTCCCAAAGTGCTGGGATTACAGGCGTGAGCCACCGCGCCCGGCCGGTCATATGTATTTTTAAGGGAGAATGGGAACATTTCAATGGTAGCTGCCTTTGGGAAGTGGGGAGGAGCATAAGACTGGTGGAGTGTTTAAGAGGATTTAACTTTCTGTGATGTTTTATTTAAGAAAAAAAGAACAAAATTTAAAAGCTATAAAAACAATCCCACATGGCAGGTTTTGGGTGTGGTATCATTCTTTATACTTTTCTGTATTTCTCAAAAAATATTTTTGTAGACTTTATGTCTTAAGTTAGCTATTTCTCTCTTTTTGTTTTTTAAGACAGGGTCTTGCTCTGTCACCCAGGCTGGAGTGCAGTGGCACAATCTTGGCTCACTTCAACCTCCACCTCCTGGGCTCAAGTGATCCTCCCACCTCAGCCTCCCAAGTAGCTGGAACCACAGGTGTGCACCATCATGCCCAGCTAATTTTTTGTATTTCTTATAGAGACGGGGTTTCGGCATGTTTGCCAGGCTGGTCTCAAACTCCTGGGCTCACCCAATCTGGCTGCCTTAGCCTCCCAAAGTGCTGGGAATACAGGCATGAGCCACCACACCCAGCCCAAGTCAACTATTTCTTTCATAATGCTGTGTAACAAACAATTCAGTGGCTTACATTAGTAAACATTTCTTTTTCCACTGATGGACCTGTGGGTCACTTGGAGTGGCTGTTTTAGCTTGTTAAGGGGGAGGTTCAGGTCTTCTCCACATGGCTCTTATCCCAGGACCAGTGGCTATCCAGGTCATGTCCTTCTCATGGCATGTGGCAGATACAAAAGAAGGGAAGCAGATTGAAAGCTTCCTTTCACTTCATTTCATGTCCACTAATATTCCATTGGTCAGAGCAAGTCATAAGGTGATATGGTGTGGATCTGTATCCCCACCCAAATCTTGTGTCTAACTGTAATCCCCAATGTTAGAGGTAGGGCCTGGTGGAAGGTGACTGAATCACGGGAGTGGTCCTTCATGAATGGTTTAGCACCATCTCCTGGTGCCATTCTTGTGATGGCGAGCAAGTTTTTATAAGATCTGGTCATTTAAAAGTGTGCAGGACCTCCCCCCACTCTTTCTGTCTTGTTCCTCCTCCACCAAGTAAGATGCGCCTGCTTCCCTTCACCTTTCTCCATGATTAAAAGTTTCCTGAGGCCTCCCCAGGAGCCGAGCAGGTGCCAGCATCATGCTTTCTGTACAGCCTGCTTAACTGTGAGCCAATTAAACCTCTTTTCTTTATAAATTACCCAGTCTCAGGTATTTCTTTATAGCAATGCAAGAACAGACTAATACGTAGGGGCAAGTCTAATACTGATGGGGCAAGGGAAGGAAAGAGAATTATAAATAAATAGTAAAAGCAAACACATGGCTACATCCTGACCTATTGATCTTGTTTAGCATTTGAGATTCAAGAATGTAGAACATACTCTAAACAGAAATAAATTATTGCAAGTGTTAACAGTCTCGTGTCCAAGTACTTCCTGTCAGAGTTTAGCATCTTCAGTAGGATCAAAATTAGAATTTCTCTTGGTTGTCGTCTTCTCAGTATTAGAAGGACCCTACCAATACTGTTTAGACACTGGCAGCATCTTCCTTATCATCCGGTTGGTGGGTCTCTTGAGCAGGCATCGGAGTCATCTGGGGAACTTGTTAAAACAAAGATTGCTGAACCCCACCCCTAGAGTTTCTGATGGAATTTAGGTGTGGCCTGAACACTGGGATTTTTTTTTTTTTTTTTTTTTTTTTTTTGAGATGGGGTCTCCCTCTGTCGCCCAGGCTGGAGTGCAGTGGCACGATCTTGGCTCACTGCAAGCTCCACTTCCCGGATTCACGCCATTCGCCTGCCTCAGCCTCCTGAGTAGCTGGGACTACAGGCACCCGCCACCACGCCCGGCTAATTTTTTGTGTTTTTAGTAAAGACGGGGTTTCACCATGTTAGCCAGGACAGTCTCGATCTCCTGACCTTGTGACGTGCCCGCCTCGGCCTCCCAAAGTGCTGGGATTACAGGCGTGAGCCACCACGCCTGGCCGAGCATTGGGAATTTTAAAAGCTCTCTGGATGATTTCAACTCTGGGTGAATCACACTTTGCAGAGTTTGATTCAGTGGGTCGCGGTAGGTCGAGCCTGAGAATTTGCATTCTAACAAGTTTCCAGGTGATGCTTATGCTGCTGGTCTGGGGACTGAGCTTTGAGAACCACTGGCATAGGGACATTGTCTGCACTAGTAATGGTAAACACCCAGTTTTAGCATTGCAAATTGGGTCACTCTCAGAAGCAAACTGGAGAGTTTCATGTCAAATTATTGATTGCTGAGCCAGTGCTGGATGCTCTCTGAAAGAACATCAATAGCTCTGCCCCAGCTTTGAGCTGAGAAACCTGACGCTGCTTAACATGCCAATTCTCAAAAATATTCATTGGAATTTCCCTTTTACAACTGTACATACAGCCAGGCACGGTGACTCACACCTGTAATCCCAGCACTTTGGGAATCTGAGGTGGGAGGATCACTTGAGCTCAGGAGTTCGGGACCAGCCTGGGCAACATAGTGCGACCTCACCTTTACTAAAAATAAAAAAAATTAGCCGGGCATGGTGGCACATACCTGCAGTCCCAGCTACTCGGGAGGCTGAGGTAGGAGGATTGCTTGAGCCCAGGAAGTTGAAGCTGCAGTGAGCCATGATCAGGCCACTGCACTCCAGCCTGGGTGACTGAGACCCTGTCTGAAAAAAAAAATTTTTTTAAATAAAATTCTACATAACTTCTCCATCTTCTTACCAGTATACCTGTGTAGATGCAGAAAACTCCAAAACCCATAGCATATCCTGTTGGTGCTCTGTACTACCCTCAATACTGATTGTAATTCTTAATACACAGTAATAACTTTTGTTTTGTTTTGCTTTGTTTTGTTTTTTGAGACGGAGTATTGCTCTTGTCACCCAGGCTGGAGTGCAATGACGCGATCTTGGCTCACCGCAACCTTTGCCTCCCAGGTTCAAGCGATTCTCCTGTCTCAGCCTCCCTAGTAGCTGGGATTACAGGCATGTGCCCGCATGCCCGGCTAATTTTGTATTTTTAGTAGAAACAGGGTTTCTCCATGTTGGTCAGGCTGGTCTCGAACTCCCGACCTCAGGTGATCTGCCCGCCTCGGCCTCCCAAAGTGCTGGGATTACAGGCATGAGCCACCGTGCCTGGCCACTTTTGGGTATTATTTTAACTCCCAGAAAAGTTTCAAGAATAATACAAGGAACTCCCATATAACCTTTATCCAGATTCACACATTTTTCCCCTGGGCTTTGTGCTTCTCTTTCTCTCTCTCTCTCTCTGTTTTTTCTTTTCTGAAAAGTTTGAGAGTAACTTGGAAACATTGTGACCCTTTACCCTTAAATATTTTAGCTATATTATCTAAGAACAAAGGCATTCTCTTAAATAATCACAGTACAGTCCTCAAAATGAAGAAAGTAACATTTACTTTTTTTTTTTTTTTTTTTTTTGAGACCGTCTCGTTCTGTCGCCCAGGCTGGAGTGCAGCGGCACGATCTCGGCTCACTGCAGCCTCCGCCTCCTGGGTTCAAGTGATTCTCCTGCCTCAGCCTCCTGAGTAGCTGGGATTACAGGTGCCCACCACCACGCCCAGCTAATTTTTGTATTTTTAGTTGACACAGGATTTCGCCATGTTGGCCAGGCTGGTCTCAAACTCCTGACCTCAAATGATCCACCTGCCTCGGCCTCCCAAAATGCTGGGACCATAGGCTTGAGCCATCATACCCAGCCAGTAACATTAACTTTTCATGTCATTATCTTACTCACAATATAGATTGAACTTTTGGCCGTGTCCCAATAATGTCCATGATAGCCCATGTGTTTCTCCTGGTCCCAGGTTCCACCTGGCATCATGGATTACATGTAGCCCTCATGTCTCTTTAGTTCCCTCGAATCCAGCAGAGGTCCTTAGCCTGTCTTTGTCTTTCTTGACCTTCACATTTTTTGAGAAGTACAGGCCAGCTGTTTTGTAGAATGTCCCTTAGTTTGGGTTTGTCTGATGTTTCGTCATGGTTAGATTCAGATTGTGCATTTTTGGCCAGAATGTCACTGCACTAAAGTTGCATCCTCGTTACCTCATTTCAGGAGGTAGCCCTACAGTCTGCCTTTGTCCCAGTATTAGTGATGTTAGCATCAACTGTTTGGATTAGGTGGTATCTGACAAACGTTTCCACCCTAGGGTAACAATTTTTCCCTTTGTAATTAATAAGTGTTTTGTAGGGAGAGGCTCCAAGGCTATGCCAATGCCCTATTTCTCATCAATTTTTCACCCACTAGTTTTAGCAGGCAGTGATGGTTTTCCACCTGCATCGTTCCTTCTGTTCATTTCTGCTGTTGAGCTTCAGCGTCTTTGAAATTCTTACTCATGTCTCCCAGCCCATTCGTCTTTGTATAGACTGGAGTTGACATTGTGGCAAGTCACATTTGTGCCATTTGTAACTGTGATGAGAAAGTCGCTGATAGATACAGAGAAAAAAAATTAAAAACCATTCTACAAATAGTGTTTCTAAAGAAGAGACCAAACTGAAGGAAAAGAGGCAATTAAGAAAGTTAAAATGGGCTCTAAAAACAAAAACTTGAATTTATGGATTGAAAGAGCTCCTTTGAATTCTATAAAACTCAATGAAAATTGACATTCACCTAGACATATCCTAAAAACAGTTCAAATTGCAAGGGTTTAGAAATGTTTTCCTTCAAGCACCCATGCAGAAGAGAAAAAAAGGCAAATGCCAAAGGAACAAAAATAAAGGTAACCTTAGGGCTGTCTTTTGCCACCCTTAATGCCAGCAAACAGTGGGAAAAGAAGAGTTTGGGTAAGGAAAGGCTTATCCCAAGAATGACAAATCCTGTCCTACTTGCAAAGACCTCAGAAACATACCATTGCTCAGAAGGACCTGAAAGCACATTCCAGGTCCCAGAGTCTTTTCTCTCTCCTATTGCCCTGCAGAGACTCTTGACTTACCTTCACATTTTTCGTAGCCTGCAGCACACCACTTTCAGGAGCTCAGAAAGTATTTGTTGACCCATCCGTACAGACCCTCATTCTCCTCTCTGCTGCAGCCCACTGGCCTGCCGTGGGTCCTCACACGTGCTATGCCAGGCATACTACACTAGTGTTTCTTTGGCCAAAATGTCCTTCCCCACAATCAACGTGTCCAGCTCCCCACTTCTTTCAAAATGTGAAAGTCATGCTCTCAGGCCAGGCGCAGTGCCTCACACCTGTAATCCCAGCATTTTGTGGGGCCCAGACAGGCAGATTGCTTAGTCCAGGAGCTCAAGACCAGCCTGGGTAACATGGCAAACCCCCATCTCTACAAAAAATACAAAAGTTAGCCCGGCATGGTGGGAAGATCCCGTGAGCCCAGGAGGCAGAAGCTGCAGTGAGCTGAGGTCACACCACTACACTCCAGCCTGGGGGGACACAGTGAGACTGTGTCTCCAAAAAAAAGTCATTTTCTCATTGACACCTTCCCTGGTCATCCTGGGAAACATCCTGTTTAACCTGCTCACCCCCTCTATATTTCTTTTCTACTTTCTCTTAGTTTTTCTTCTTAGCATTTTAACACTGTATTAAAATATTTTAATAAACTTATTTATCTAATATTTTTTATTTTATTTTATTTTTGTTTGAGACAGAGTCTCCCTCTGTCGCTCAGGATGGAGTGCAGTGGTGCGATCTCGGCTCACTGAAACCTCCACCTCCCAGGTTCAAGCGATTCTCCTGCCTCAGCCTCCCGAGTAGCTGGGATTATAGGCATGTGCCACCACGCCTGGCTAATTTTTATATTTTTACCGAGATCATGCCACTGCACTCCAGCCTGGGTGACAGAGTGAGACTCCATCTCAAAAAAAAAAAAAAAGTGCAGGCCGGGCGCGGTGGCTCACGCCTGTATCCCAGCACTTTGGGAGGTTGAGGTGGGCAGATCACGAGGTCGAGAGATCGAGACCATCCTGGCCAACATGGTGAAACCCCGTCTCTACTAAAAATACAAAAATTAGCTGGGCATGGTGGCGGGTGCACGTAGTCCCAGCTACTCGGGAGGCTGAGGCCAGAGAATTGCTTGAACCTGGGAGGCGGAGGTTGCAGTGAGTCGAGACTGCACTCCAGCCTGGTGACAGAGCAAGACTCTGTCTCAAAAAAAAAAAAAAAAAAAAAGCATGTGAGAGAGGACACATGGCTTCCTAGGGAGACCAGAGTTTAAAGACCTTTGTCTTGTACCAACTCTAGAAACAGACTGAAATAGACGGGAAACACCTGAGCTAGAAAGAGCTGGCTTGCAGCGCTTGCCTGAAGGATTTAGGTCTGAGGTGGCTCTCAGGGGCTCTTTGGATGCATCTGGATTCAGCTTCCTGGCCATGCACACCCATGCCCACGCTTGTGTGTTTTGTCCCTGTTGGGGTTATCCACAGAGGGGTGTGCGGTGGTTCCCTACATTCCTAGTCCTCGGTTTGGGTATATGCTGTGAACATCCTGCCCCTGGGGGCAGCTGAGGAGAGTAATGAGCAGGAACTTTTATTGGGACAGAAGCCTGCAAGGAGAACCTTCCTTCTAGGAGGCCACTATCTACTTACCGCCTTCCCTCCCGGTTCATTTTCTGGACAATGATGCCACCTAGTGGGAAACGGTAAGAACTCACACAGCATTTCGACAACTATACATAGATCTTCAAATAAAAATTTCCCTACTTTGTATTAGGTTGGTGCAAAAGTAATTGTGGTTTTGCCATTAAAAGTATGGCCAAAACCACAATTACTTTTGCACCAACCTAATACTTAATTCTGTTACCCATTGAGTCCTGTTTGCTGGTTTCTCCCCAGGCCAAATACAGCACATGAGCAATCAGGATTTGCTAATACTATCACCAGTTTTTAAGACAGCTATAAATGATGTAAATAAATGTAAATTTAAAACTGATGCAGAGGCTGGGCGTGGTGGCTCACACCTGTAATCCCAGCACTTTGGGAGGCTGAGGCAGGGGGATCGCCTGATGTCAGGAGTTCAAAACCAGCCTGGCCAACATGGTGAAACCCCATCTCTACTAAAAATACAAAAAAATTAGCCGGACATGGTGGTGGGTGCCTGTAATCCCAGCTACTTGGGAGGTTGAGGCAGGAGAATCGCTTGAACCCAGGAGGCAGAGGTTGCAGTGAACCGAGATCACACCACTTGCACTCCAGCCTGGGTGACAGAGCAAGACTCTGTCTCAAAATAGAATAAAATTTTATTTTGAGCCACTGAGCCCGGCACAGTGGCTCACACCTGTAATCCCAGCATTTTAGGAGACCAAGGTGGATGGATTGCTTGAGCGCAGGAGTTCGAGAACAGCCTGGGCAACATGGTGAAACCGCGTCTCTACAAAATATTAGCGAGGTGTGGCAGTGCGCATCTGTAGTCCCAGCTACTTGGGAGGCTGAGGTGGGAGGATTGCTTGAGCCTGGGAGGTAGAGGCTGCAGTGAACCGAGATTGCACCACTGCACTCCAGCCTGGGCAACAGAGCGAGACCTTGTCTCAAACACACACACACACACACACACACACACACACACACACACACACTGATGCCCAGAAAGGCTTAATGAAAGGAGATATGCCAAAATGACCATAGCGACAGGGTTAGGATGGTGCAGTTATGTTGTCTAAATGCTTTGTGATACAATTATGATATAGTTTGCATTTCTTTCTTAGAAAGTTTGTGTTATTCATAGTATATTTTTTTAAGTAGTAGATCATGGTGAAAGTAAAGTTGGAAAATATGGAAAGAGAGACAATAAAGACAAAGTTACCCATAGTTTCACCACTCAAATATAACTTGTTTACATTTTTGGTGTGCTTCTATTTAGCCTTTTTTTAAATTACAGAGTTTATGTATTTTTTAATTGTGATTATGTATTTTCACGCTGGTAATAATTCTATTGGATTTATTTTACTAAAAGTCACCCTTTAGACAAAGCTGTTTCCAGAAACTATCATTAAGATGCATTGGCTTCCTGGAAATCTGATCTTACAATAATTTTTAATATTTTTGTGTTGTATGTTCATGTATATGGAGATATCTTCAAAAACGAGTAATTGGACAGGTGAAAACAGTAAGAAGACAGTACTTTTTAAATTCATGATGCAACATCCAGTGAGCCCACCAGCCACCAGCAGGGCCCAGCTGTGTGCTGGCGCCACCTGGTGGTCATGGTTATAAACGGTTTAATTCTCCGCCTCTCCTCTCTGCTTGGCACACTGAAAAGGAACAAGGCTGTGGTGAGCTCAAGGATACCCAGGAAATCTATGGATTGGAGTTTGCATTATGAGTACCAAATAGGCACCACATGAAAGGAAAGAAAGGTCTCATGGAATCTACGAAATGAAAAATTCAAAGAGGAATATAGCCATTTGGAGTTGTAGCCCTTGGGTTACCTCCAAATCATCTTTTTTACAAATCTCTTTTTTTTTTTTTTGAAATGGAATCTTGCTCTGTCACCCAGGCTGGAGTGCAGTGGCACGATCTCGGCTCACTGCAGCCTCTGCCTCCTGGGTTCCAGCAATTCTCCTGCCTCAGCCTCCTGGGTAGCTGGGACTATAGGCACACGCCACCATGCCCGGCTAATTTTTGTATTTTTAGTAGAGACAGGGTTTCACCATGTCGGCCAGGCTAGTCTCGAACTCCTGACTTCAGGTGTTCTGCCCGCCTTGGCCTCCCAAAATGCTGGGATTACAGGCATGAGTCATCGTGCCCGGCCACAAATCTCTTTTAAAAAGAAATCTCTTCTCCACTTGTAACTCACTTATCTTATTATCAAAAAACATAATTTCTGTCCTTTCTCTGTGACAGATAAGTTTTACGTTTTGAGAAGGTTCTGGGAGAGACAGGTTGTACAAGAGAAAACATTCTTGTTTATTAGAGCCATAAACAGCTGATATGAATCCCAGCTCTGCCACTTACTAACCGTGTCCCAGGCTAAGTCATGTAATCTTTCTGGGCTGTTCCCTCATCTCTGGAATGGGGGTAATCACAGCTTCTTTTCTAGGTTATAAGGAGTAGAAATTATGCCTGGTGCTGTGTTTGTAATGCAGGGTTCAGTGACCTGTAGATGTTTTTAAAATAAAAAGCCTTATGGATAAGTCAGATTAGGTTTAAACAATTAAAAAGTTAATTCTGTTTACCAATTGTAGAACGCACAGGTTTTTCCCATGTTAACATCTCTGAAGATGTGTCTGTGGCGTGCCAGCGTTTTTCTCAATAGCTTTATAAAATAATGGTGCTCCTTCCATTTGGTGGTGTTTTACACAGAATGTGGTAGTGAGGTCAGCAGAGTAAAGTGTTACAGAGAGAAGTGTTTCAAGTGCTTTAGGGTTGTGTCTGTAAAGCCTGAATATGAGACTTGGTAGTATGAGGTCTAATGGGGGCAACTCTCCCCCTGCCCTGTTCCCAGTCCCAGACTTGAACCTGAGAGCAACTGTTTCTATGAAGTTTATTTGAAAAATGTGTGTTAAACCTTTTCAGGGCCGGGCGCAGTGGTTCACACCTGTAATCCCAGCACCTTGGGAGGCCGAGGCGGGTGGATCACCTGAGGTCAGGAGTTCAAGACCAGCCTGGCCCACATGGTGAAACCCTATCTGTACTAAAAATACAAAAAAATTAGCCAGGCGTGATGGCAGACGCCTGTAATCCCAGCTACTCCAGAGGCTGAGACAGGAGAATTGCTGGAATCCGGGAGGCAGAGGCTGCAGTGAGCCGAGATCATGCTACTGCACTCCAGCCTGGGTGACAGAGCAAGACTCCATCTCAAAAAACAAAACAAAACAAAAAAAAAACCTTTTTAGATTCAATGAGATGACACAGCGCAGATCATCCCTCAGCAGCCTGTAGTGTTTGAGATGACACAGCGCAGATCATTCCCCAGAAGCCTGTACTGTTTCCCACACACAGTGCACGTGAGGGGAGCGATGGAGGGTGGGTGTGATCCCTTCTCAAGTCCTGCTGCTCTGCTGTGTCCACTGCTGTCATCTCTCAGGGACTGTTTTGAGGACTGAATGGGATGTTGCCTGGAAAATACCTGGCACTTACTTGATTCCATAAATAACAGCTGGTCATACTCTCCATCTCCTTGGCAACCATTCCTGGTCTTTTTTGTCTCTTTCAGTCTAATAAAGTTCCTGTCGTTCAGCACCCGCATCACATGCATCCGCTGACTCCCCTCATCACCTACAGCAATGACCACTTCTCCCCCGGCTCCCCTCCCACCCACCTCTCCCCAGAGATCGATCCAAAGACAGGTAAGTCGTCTGCCACTCAGGCAGTGCTGCTGCAGGGCAGGCGGGCTTCTCTTTTGTGGGAACATAACAGCCCTTGAATCAGGCTGACCTGGGTTCAAATCATGGCTCTTTGTCTCAGGAGTCTTTGGACCTTGTCTGCTAACTTTAGCCTTGTCATTTTTTTTTTCATCTGTGCCTCCCCTGTACCTTCTCCACCATAGGGTCACGATAAGGCCCACAGGAATTAAATGCAGTAAAGCACAGGGCCTGGCTCCATAGGCAGTGTGTGGGGTGGCTCTGCCCAAGTCTAGCCCAGCTGTGGGCCGTGCTTCCCTACACCAAGACATGTTTGCCCTAAACTGAACATTTTTAAATAGATTCATCAGTCTAAGCAGACACAGAAGTGCAACCGTAAAGCAGTGAGGCCAAACTGGCTTTTATTTATTTATTTATTTAAGACAGTCTTGCTGTGTCGCCCAAGCTGGAGTGCAGTAGTGTGATCTCAGCTCACTGCAGCCTTGACCTCCCGGGCTCAAGCAGTCCTCCTCCCTCAGCCTCCCGAGTTGCTGGGACCACAGGCGCATGCCACCATGCCCTTGCCCAGCTAATTTTTGTATTTTTAGTAGAGATGGGTTTCTGCCATGTTGCCCAGGCTGGTCTCAAACTCCTGGACTCAAGCAGTCAACTCACCTAAGTGCCGGGATTACCGGTGTGCCACCATGCCCAACCTGAACTGGCTTTTTTTTCTTTTTTTTTTTTTTAACTTGCCCACCAGACCTGTCCATTCCAGGGAGCCACTGTCTTTATAGCATTCACACAGAGTTGCCAGGGGAAGGCAAAGCATTTTTGGAGCCCCTCTTTGGAGAAATAACAGTCACTACAAGTTACAGATAATGAGGAAGACACATGTGGAGGAGGAATCCAAAGTTTATTTCTCCATGAATGAGGCGGGCTTTCTAGAGACTTGGTTCACCAGTGACTCTTGTCATTGGTCTTGTGGGTCCTGTCCCTCTCTTCCAGGACGCTGGCTTCTGTATCACAGCCAGCTGGAAGATACTCTTCACAGAGATAGAATCCGTGCAGCTAGAGAGGGGGTGCATTAGTCCTGCCTCCCCTGAATATGTCCTTGACTGACTGGTGAGAGCTGCTAGGGAGTTGACAGAGGGCAAGGACAATGACACAAGCACCTGCTAGGCTCCAGAGCACCAGGGACATAGGGCAGGATGCTCCCATTTGATGTTCGTTAAGGTGCTCTGGCAGGGCGAGGGAACAGTCTGACATATCTCTCTTTGGAAGCAGGAATCCCCCGGCCCCCTCACCCATCCGAGCTGTCACCGTATTACCCACTCTCTCCCGGAGCTGTCGGACAAATCCCCCACCCCCTCGGCTGGCTCGTCCCACAGTAAGGAACCCACAGCCTCTCTTCCCCCTGCTCCCTCCTTGCGCTGAGCTCTGCCTCTGTGCCCTGCGCGCCCTGCACAGTGGAGCCCCCTCAGAGGCAAGCCCAGGACTAGGCCTCCCTGCCCCCGCCCAGGCAGCGTGCTCCCAGCATTACCTTCCCGCTTCCTTCCCATATTTCTCATCCCTTCTTCCCAAGTGCCTCTCTTCCTCTGCCCTGAGCTTTCCCAATATGCTGACCAGATTTCCTCCCCCTCACAGGCAAGGCCAGCCCATGTACTCCCTTCCTCCCGGTGGCTTCCGGCACCCTTACCCCGCCCTCGCCATGAACGCCTCGATGTCCAGGTGAGTCCCGGGGCTGGGGCTGTCCGCATGTTTGTCTTAGCAACCACGCCATTTCTGACCACGAAACAGCTTTTTCTTGCCAGTTAATGAGCAGGCACAGGGCTCACCCTCCCCCCACCTCTCTTTGATCAAGCATCTTCTCACGTCCCGCGCTCCCCACCCCCAGGTCAGAATGGAGACCACAGGATCACTGTCCCCATCTCTCCAACAGAAGGATTGCAAAGCCCTAGCACTCTGCCTCCTGCCATGGGCTCTGGCACTGAAGCATTTTGAGGACAGATGCTCCCCGACTTAGGATGGAGCCGCGTCCTGATAAACCCGTCGTACATTGAAAACACAACTTTCCCCTTAGAATATTTGCAACATATGATGGTTTTATCCAGACATAACCCCATCTAGGTCAAGGAGAGTACTGAATTAATATCGTTTTTGCACCATCGTAAAGTCAAAATATCCTAAGTCACGGACTGTCTGTATATCACACTGAAGCTAGGGACTGGGAGAAGATGAATTTTTCCTGAAATGATGTCAGGAGAGGAGACGGTGAAAGGGGATTTCTGTCTCAGGGACCAGCTCTACCTGACAGTGGAACCTCTGAGGACAGAGGAAAGCTGCCCACAGCCTAAGCCCTTCTTTTCCCCAGTATGCCCGGGCCTCTGACCCTCCTCCCCTTTTGTGTGTTTCATCCCACCTGCTTCCAGCACCAGATGGGCAGCCTGGGTGTTGGTGGGGAGAAGGAAGAGCCATTAAGCATCTCCCAAACCTGGTTTTCTAGAAGACGACAAATAGCCTTCTAGTCCTGAGACTCTGCCCCACGGACATGCCTGTGCCCTTAAGGCAGAGAGCCACCGTGTCCTCTGCTGGGTGGCAGGTATCCAGCCTGAACCCCTCTGTTGCCATTTGTTTCTATCCGGTGCACAGCCTGGTCTCCAGTCGGTTCTCTCCTCACATGGTGGCTCCTGCCCACCCTGGCCTGCCCACCTCAGGGATCCCCCACCCTGCCATCGTCTCCCCCATCGTCAAGCAGGAACCGGCACCCCCCAGCCTGAGCCCTGCAGTGAGCGTGTAAGTAAGCGGCAGCCTGGATTCAGGTGGGAGGGTGCAGGCTGTGGGGAGGGGTGGCCACACTCTGAGCAGCAAATGTCATGTACTCTTCTCTCTTGGTGTCACTCAGCAGGCATCACAGCCTCCCCAGCCAGGCCCTCCCTCTTCCTCGGGACTTACTCCCTCTGACCTTCTGGGTCCCTGTCCTTTCAGGGACATGGTGCATCTTCTCTCTTATTAAGGAAAGTTTTACTGTCAGGTCTCAGAGGCTGAAAGAGAACCTGAGAAAGCTTTTAACACCCCACCGTAAGATATATGAAAAGGTGAGGCCCAGAAAGGAGACAGTGTTTTCTTAAGGACTTGTGGTGGGCTGGTGGCCGAGCTGAGATGAGCACCAGGGTCCTTACCTTGCCCGTGTACCATAAAGATGGCAGGAAGCCAAAGTCAGTGCTCCCTGGAGATCCCAAGAGAACCCCCTCCCAACTTGGTTCTGCCCAGAGTGCCCCACACTGTGTCCTGTCACCGCCGCCAGCACCTGCCAGCTCCAGTGAGAGCTCATCTCAGCAACCCCACCATGCTCTGTTCCTCTGTCAGGAAATTGGAGAGTAGATTTTCAAAGAATCTGGCGTGGAGATCGTTCAAAGGTGGGAAACTACGGGAGGAAGGTACTCAGGTGTTGAGTGCAGCCATGGGGCCACTTGAATTAGCATCCAGGCAGCCCGCGCCCCTCCCCAGAGACAATCAGCGGTGTTTCAGTGACAGGTGGGGATTGATGAGTTGTGTGACACCTGACATGCTAACCTACAACCACGTGCCTTCCCAGGAAATCACCAGTCACCGTGAAAAAGGAGGAGGAAAAGAAGCCCCACGTGAAGAAGCCTCTGAATGCCTTCATGTTGTATATGAAGGAGATGAGGGCCAAGGTGGTGGCTGAGTGCACCCTGAAGGAAAGTGCAGCCATTAACCAGATCCTTGGAAGAAAGGTAAGACCTGCCCTCTCCCTCCAGGCCAGGGAGGCAGCGTCCCTGCATTGATGGCTCCGTGTGGTCTCTGACCCTCTCTCCCCCAGTGGCACAACCTGTCTCGAGAAGAACAGGCCAAGTACTACGAGCTGGCCCGGAAGGAGCGGCAGCTTCACTCGCAGCTCTACCCAACCTGGTCAGCCCGGGACAACTATGTAAGTGCACACTCTGGGCAGAGGACGCTCAGACCCCAGGAACAGCCTCTGCAAGAGGAGGAAGGGTGAAGGAAAGCAACTGCATTTATTTTTATTTATTTTATTTTCTTTTATTTTTTGAGACAGAGGCTCACCCTGTCACCCAGGCTGGAGTGCATGCAGTGGCGCGATCTCGGCTCACTGCAAGCTCCGCCTCCCCGGTTCACACCATTCTCCTGTCTCAGCCTCCCGAGTAGCTGGGACTACAGGCACCTGCCACCACACCCGGCTAATTTTTTGTATTTTTAGTAGAGACGGGGTTTCACTGTGTTAACCAGGATGGTCTCGAGCTCCTGACCTCGTGATCCGCCCACCTCGGCCTCCCAAAGCGCTGGGATTACAGGCGTGAGCCACCGCGCCCGGCCAGCGACTGCATTTATAGAGGACTCTTAAGATCAGGGAGAAGCCCATACTTCTCTAGAAATAAGGAAGGTGTTTTAATTCTCAGGAGGTCAACAAGTCCTGAGGACGGACTTCAGTTGATGCATTTCCCTTTGAACTGGACTCTGCCCTCGATTTCATAACACAGGGCACGGGGTTAGCTGTGGTAGGAAGAGTTGTCTCCAGCCACTCCTAACCCAGGGCTCAAAGACCAGTGTGTGAGCCTCAGGGGGCGTGTCTCTAAGCTCCCGGAAACCAAGCCAATTTTCGCATGCGTGTTCTTCTTTGCTTTTTTTCTGGTAAGAGGACCCACAGTTGCATCAAACTTTCAAAGGGACCTGGGACCCCTCAGAAAAGATCTAGAAGCACTGTTCTAGGGAGAGAAACAGAAAAACAGAGTCTGAAGGGCAGTGGAGGGAGGAGGCCTTCCAAGAAGGCCTGGACACCCGACCTGGAGGGGAAACGCGTTTGTAGGGGAGGAAGGGCTCCCTCTGCCTCCTCACGGGCTCCCACGGCTGTGATCTGAATTATCTCTCCACACTCTCCCTGAGGGATCGAGAGCAGTAAAGGGCAACGTCCTGTCTTCTCTCTGATCTGGGAGCCCCTGAGAAGCCAGCATTCTTCTCTCCCAGCTTACCTCTTCCTTTGGCTGTATTTTCCAGGGTAAGAAAAAGAAGAGGAAGAGAGAAAAGCAGCTGTCCCAGACACAGTCACAGCAGCAAGTCCAGGAGGCAGAGGGTGCGTCTCGGGGCACTGGCCTCTTCTCCTGCTTTTCCTTTTGTCACAGCCACACCTGCCCATGCTGTCTCTAGCTCCCTGATGGGTCAGGGCTTCTGCCTCGGTATTCGCGGGCGGGTATTATTACCCCTTTCTCGAGGTGGCCACTTAAGAGGCTCTGAGATGTGAAGGCATTTTCCCAGGCACTCTGCTTCAGTGGTGGTGGTAGGATTTGATCCCAGGACTTTGTCACTTCAAAGCCTAGACAATCTAATTCCATTGAAAAGTGAATCATCCTACCTGAGGGTTAATGGAATGAGGTTGAAATTGTCTTTGAAATACCCTTAGGAAGGCAGCACATGAGCCCCTGACATCCCACCTGTCAGTGGATCCAGGGGAGCCCGGGTTTCCTTGGATGTTTCTTTGGTTGAACACCAGAAAAAATTAGTTTGCTTGGGTTTAGGAGGCACTTTGTGTCAAAACCATGTATAAAATCTCTATATTACCAGAATCATGCCTAGCACAGAAAGATGCTCACACTGTGACGATTATTATTAATATTTAGGTCACGCCCCCCATCTCATGCTCACTCCAGGACAAGTGTATCGCTGCTTGCACGATGTAAAGTGCTTTCAATCTCTCTTCTTCATTCCTCCCTCCCTCCCTTTCTTCCTCCCTCCCTTTCACCTTCCCTCCCATTCTCCTTCCCTCCCTTTCCCCTTCCCTCCCTCCTTTTCTCCCTCCCTTTCTCTTTCCCTCCCTCTCTTTCCCTCCCTCTCCCCCTCCTTCCCTCCCTTCCCCCCCTCCCTTTCTTCTTCCCTCGCTTTCTCCTTCCGCCCTCCCTTTCTCCTTCCCTCCCTCCCTATTTCCTTGCCTCCCCTCCTCCCTTCCTTCCTTCCTTCCATTATACATAGGAGCGCACATGAGTGGAACCCGTACCTGCTACAGAACCCGCTGTCTGGCACGCTGTTCAGCAGGCATGCACTCTCTCTGACTGTATTAATACCATAAACCAAAGATTTCAAAGCAAACTGGAGATTCATCCCAAAAGTTACCAGCTTTAGGAAAGGAGGGTGGTCCTGTGAGACACTGAGCCGTCTTCTCTCCGATCTGATGCTGGGTGGATCTTCATCAGTTTGGGCGTTGCCTCTTCTCTGTGCTCTGGGTATTTGTGAATGCAGTTTCCTAGTCTTGAAAGCCTTGGAAGTAATGTCAGGTCCTCGCCAAAATCATCCCTGTGTCTCCAAAGCACATGTATCGCCAGGGCTGTTCCTCAGCCTCCTCCTCTCACAGAGCTATAGCTGCTCACTCTTTCTTGTATTTTCCCCCTAGGTGCCCTGGCCTCCAAGAGCAAGAAGCCATGTGTTCAGTACCTGCCCCCCGAGAAGCCCTGTGACAGCCCTGCCTCCTCCCACGGGAGCATGCTGGACTCCCCGGCCACTCCCTCTGCAGCTTTGGCCTCACCAGCTGCCCCTGCTGCCACCCATTCGGAGCAAGCCCAGCCCCTCTCCCTCACCACCAAACCAGAAACCCGGGCCCAGCTGGCTCTCCACTCTGCCGCCTTCCTGTCGGCTAAGGCTGCAGCCTCCTCCTCTGGGCAGATGGGCAGCCAGCCTCCCCTCCTGTCCCGGCCCCTCCCCCTTGGGTCCATGCCCACAGCTCTGCTGGCCTCTCCCCCGTCCTTCCCCGCCACGCTCCATGCCCACCAGGCCCTCCCGGTGCTACAGGCCCAGCCTCTTTCCCTGGTCACCAAGTCTGCCCACTAAGCTCCCCCCGACCCCTGCAGGCTGTCACATGACTCATTGAGTAGTAATGATTCAGAAGAAAAAGAAAAAGGAGACTTTATTGGTCAATATTTGACCACTCTGGACTGTTCTGTAAAGTGGCTGGTAACAACAGCACTTTACAGTTTGTAGATGTAACCAGTAGCTGATCTTAAGGCTTTTTTAAAAAACAAAACAAAACAACAAAAAAAAATCTTTATAAGAAAGAGAACTGAAAAGTAGCGTGCTATTCGTCCTGTAGGTGCTGTGGTGGATGGACCTGGGCAGAGGGCACTTCTCTCTCTTACCTCTCTTGCACTTTCTGTCTCCTGTCTCTTCTCGCCCCTGCCGCCTGCCCCAGCTTCCCCGACTCCATCTGCAGCTCTGCCATTGTGACATTTCCTGTTACCCAGCCCAAGTTTTCATCGTCTGCTCAATACCGTGGGTTCTTCTTCGTCCTCTGTCCTCTGCCCAGTGTGAGGCCATCACCATGTGAGAAGACATCTTGGCCTGATTTGCTGCCACCAGCGTCCCCTCCCTCAGTGGGCCCGAACTCGCCAGCCCCAGCTTTCAGTGGAGAAAGCGGTCCTCTGAAATGGTTTCCTCCCAACCCCCGCATTTAAAGGGACTCAAGGTGCCTGCCACTTCCTCAGCGAAGAAGTCTGTGTTCCTCCCCGTCCTTGCCAGTGGCGATCATCCCTTCACAATCCCAGAGTGGCAGGCGGGACCGGCCCCATGGTCTGGCTCCTGTCACCTGGGTCCGTGCCAGCACAATCTGCCAAAGTTCTAGAGACCCTGTTCCCTTCCCCATCACCTCACATGCTTCTTCTGTGTGTATTTCTTTTTGTTTTTATGGTTTTTGGAGCAATTTAAACTCCCAGTTGTTTATTTTCACAAAAGAAAATAAAATTGCAGTTGCAAGACCTTTTCTGAGTGTTTCTTTAGTGCTTTTGTTGAATCAAACCACCTGTTTGTTTCACTCCCAAACCCTGTGTTAGACTTTCGCAGATATGCAAAGGAAGATTGCCACTTGCCACAGGGGAATGTTAGGCATGCCTGACACCCTTAGAAAACCTGAACCCAGCTTCCTGTCTCAAATGTGCATGGGCCAGTCAGTGTCCATGACTGAGCTGCAAAGGGGGTAATCATTTTCACAGCTGATTTAAATGAATTTGCCGCCTGGAATGACATTCAGCTTATGCTTCTATCACCCATTTGACTCGTAATTGCCAAGATGTGAGGAAGCATCTTTTGGATACTTTCCATAGTATCTAGCACCACAATTAATTTTTTGTAACAGCTTTATGGAGATATACTTCAGCCATTTAAAGTTACACTTCACCCATTTAAAGTATACAGTTCAGCTGGGCAGAGCCGCTCTTGCCTATAATCCCAATGCTTTGAGAGGCTGAGGCAGGAAGATGACTTGAGGCCAGGAGTTCAGGACTAGCCTGGGCAACATAGCAAGACCTGATCTCTTTAAAAAAAAAAAAAAAAGCAACTAGCTGGGGATGGTGGCACACAAGCCTGTAGTCCCAGCTTCTCAGGAGGCTGAGGCAGGAGGATTGCTTGAGCTCAGGAGCTCAAGACTGCAGTGAGTTATGATTGTGCCACTGCATTCCAGCCTTCTCAACAGAGTAAGACTCTGCCTCAAACAAAAAAGGTATACAATTCAGGCTGGGTGCGATGGCTCACACCTGTAATCCTAGCACTTTGGGAGGCCGAGGCGGGTGGATCACCTGAGGTCAGGAGTTCGAGACCAGCCTGGCCAACATGGCGAAACCCCGTCTCTACTAAAAATACAAAAATTAGCCAGGCATGATGGTGCGCACCTGTAATCCCAGCTACTTGGGAGGCTGAGACAGGAGAATCGCTTAAACCCGGGAGGTGGAGGTTGCAGTGAGCCGAGACAGCGCCATTGCACTCCAGCCTGGGCAACAGAGCAAAACTTCATCTCAGAAAAGAAAAAAAAGTAGACAATTCATTGGCTGTATGTTCAGAGTTGTGCACCTATCACCAGTCAATTTTAGAAAGTTTTTGTCAGTCCCAAAGGAAGCCCCATATCCTTTGAAAATCACTCCACATTTTGCCCATCTCCCCCAGCCCTAGGCAACCACTAATCTACTTTCTGTCTCCAAACTTGTCTATTCTAGACATTTCATATACAGTCATGCATCGCTTAGCAACTGAGACAACGTTCTCACAAATGCGTCGTTGGGCAATTTTATTGTGTGAACATCATAGAGTGTAGTTAGAAAAACCTAGATGGTGTACACACCTAGGCTATATGGTATAGCCTATTGCTCCTAGGCTACAAGCCTGTACAGCATATGCTACTGTACTGAATACTGTAGGTGACTGTGACACAGTGGTGAGTGTTTATGTATCTAAACATAGAAAAGGTGGCTGGGCGTGGTGGCTCACGCCTGTAATCCCAGCACTTTGGGAGGCCGAGGCAGGTGGATCACTTGAGGTCAGGCAGGTGGATCACTTGAGGTCAGGAGTTCGAGACCAACCTGGCCAACATGTTGAAACCCCATCTCTACTAAAAATACAAAAATTAGCCAGGTGTGTGGCACATGCCTGTAATCCCAGCTACTTAGGAGGCTGAGGCACAAGAATCACTTGAACCCGGGAGGCAGAGTTTGCAGTAAGCCGAAAGCGCACCACTGCACTCCACCCTGGGCGACAGAGTGAGACTCTTTCTCAAAAAAAACAGAAACAAAACATAGAAAAGGTGCAGTAAAATCTGGTGTAAAAGATAAAAGATGGGCCGGGTGCAGTGGCTCAAGCCTGTAATCCCAGCACTTTGGGAGGCCGAGCAGGGTGGATCACCTGAGGTCAGGAGTTAGCGACCAGCCTGGCCAACATGATGAAACCCCGTCTCTACTAAAAATACAAAAAGTAACTGGGCGTGGTGGTGGGCGCCTGTAATCCCAGCTACTCAGGTGGCTGAGGCAGGAGAATTGCTTGAACCCAGGAGGCAGAGGTTGCGGTGAGCCGAGATCGCACCGTTGCACTCCAGCCTGGGCAACAAGATCAAAATTCTGTCTTGGGGAAAAAAAAAACAAAAAACAAGATAAAAGATGGCATAGCTGTATAGGGCATTTCCCAGGCATGGAGCTTGCAGGACTGGCAGCTGCTCTGGGTGCGTCAGTGAGTGGTGAGTAACCATGACGCTGTACACTTAGGCAACACTAGGTTTATAAAGAAATATTCTTCTTTCTTCAAGAATAAATTAACCTTAGTTTAACTTTTTTACTTTATCAACTTAAACACTTTTTGACTCTTGTAATAACACTTAGCTTAAAACGCAAATACACTGTACAGCTGCACAAAGATATTTTCTTTATATCCTTATTCTATGAGCTTTTTTCTAATTAAAGTCTTTTTTGGGGCTGGGTGCAGTAGCTTATGCCTGCTAATCTCAGCATTTTGGGAGGCCAAGGTGGGCAGATCACTTGAGATCAAGAGTTTGAGACCATGACCTCAAAACCCCAACTCTACTAAAAATATAAAAATTAGCCGGACACGGTGGCGGGCGCCTGTAATCCCAGCTACTAGGGAGGTTGAGGCAGGAGAATCTCTTGAACCCGGGAGGCGGAGGTTGCAGTGAGCTGAGATCATGCCACTGTACTCCAGCCTGGGCAGCAATGCGAGACTCCCTCTCAAAGAAAACAAAAACAAAAACATTTTTTTTTTTACTTCTTAAACTTTTTTGTTTAAAACAATAAAAATATAGCAAATACATAAACCAGTAACATAGTCATTTCGTTCATTAAAAAGTACTATAGGCCAGGCGCGGTGGTTCACGCCTGTAATCCCAACACATTGGGAGGCCGAGACGGGCAGATCACCTGAGGTCAGGAGTTCGAGACCAGCCTGGCCAACATGGTGAAACCTCTCTACTAAAAATACAAAACTTACCCGGGCATGGTGGCGGCCGCCTGTAGTCCCAGCTACTCGGGAGGCTGAGGCCAGAGAATCGCTTGAAGCCAGGAGGTGGAGGTTGCAGTGAGCCGAGATTGTGCCATTGCAACCCAGCCTGAGAGACAAGATCAAAACTCTGTCTCAAAAAAAAAAAATACTGCACATAATTCTGTGTGATAGACTTCTTTGTATGACTGGCAGTGCAGTGGGTGGCTCCACCAATGCCAGCCTCTCCTTCCCCTGCCCCATGTGGCTGGGTCTGCAGCCTGCTCGGCCTCCCCTCTCTCAGACCGGGGGAGCTGAGGGGGTGAGGTAGAGACGGCCCAGGGGCAGAGCAGGGGGGTCGGGCTTGGTGCACAGGCAGACTCTGCCTTTGCTACTTCCTGCCTCTCTCTCTGTGACCCTGACCTCCCTTCTCCCCTGTCCCAGGACCTCTGGGAACTGACACTGTCCTGGCCAGGCCCCAGCATCTCACCCAGGCAGCCCAGCTAGAGCCATCTGTCCCTCTTGCCCTCCATCTGTGTTCCTGTGTCTCTTCCTCCTGAACACAACCTGAGGGCCTCACAAATATTTAGTTACATGAACGAAGCAGGCCGGGCACGGTGACTCACGCCTTCAATCCCAGCACTTTGGGAGGACGAGGCAGGCAGATCACTTGAGGTCAGGAGTTTGAAAATAGCCTGGCCAACGTGGTGAAACCCCATCTCTACCGAAAATACAAACATTAGTGGGTGTGGTGGTACATGCCTGTAATCCCAGCTACTTGGGAGGCTGAGGCAGGAGAATCGCTTGAGCACGGGAGGCGGTTGCAGTGAACAGAGATCGCGCAACTGCATGCCAGCCTGGGCGACGGAGCAAGACTCCATCTAAAAATAAATAAATTTTTTAAAAAATGGAAAAAGCAGAGGAGCCAGGGACCCGGCATCCCTCTGGCACGGGAATGGGAAGACAGCAGAAGAATCTGTGGGGGCAGTTTCCGGAACACCGGTCTCAGGTCATCTGCTGAGGAGTGGGGAAGCCCAGCTGTTTAGGTCTGGGGAACATCAGGTGCCCCACAGTGGCTGTGGCCTCTGCCATAGTGTAGTTCTTCCCTCCTCCCTCCAGCTGAGTCCTGAGATGCCAAGTACCAGTCAGGCTGCCTGCCTTTGCTCACATGCATTGGCATCCCTCTGGAGGCCTTGTGTTCTGATGTCACACTAAGAATCATGCATGTTCACTCACTCCGTGACTGCATAAAAGTTCATCCTGAAATCAGGCTGGTAATGAGCTGCTGTTCATGTGTGGTCTTCATGGGGGGAACCCAGTCATGTGCTCCACACTTCAAGACACGAAGGGGAAGATGGGAGGCAGTAAGCTTGACCTTCCTGCAGGTGCTGAGCCAGCTCATGGGGGCTGAGGACCAGGGCTGGGCTTTACCTGCCTCTGAAGGGGCTTGGAGCAGAGGCAGGGGAGGTGGAAGAATAGGAACCTGGGGCAGTGTCCTTCCCAGGCAGGAGGACACAGAAGAGCAGGCCCCTGCCAACATCAAGTTGAAACAGCTGTAAAAGTGGCCTGGGCACAAAGCTGGCAACTGAAGATAAGGCTCAGGACACAGCGAGCGGTCACCCTGAGGCTCTCCTGGGAGCAGGGAGTGGCTGTCTCCGGCCATGGTCCACAAAGGCACCAACCACTCCCCTTTGCAGGTGTGAAGCAGCAGCTGGGGACAGTTCAGCCCGGCTTAGGCATGACCTCTGTTTTCATCTGCCTGCGAGGCACCAAGGAGGACCTGCATCTGCCGTCCACCAACTACTATGTTTACTATGACACGGACATGGACCAGGCGTAAGGTGCACGTGTGTGTGTGGCCCGTGCCTCCCTGCTTGACTCAGAGAACGAGCAGAAGTTATGGAATGGGAGGAAGTAGGCAATTTCCAATTTGCACCTGGAAGTTTGTCACACCAAGGCTGTGGCTCAGCTTCACCCCTGTGGGGAGTCCCTAGGGACGAGCAGTCCTTGCAGTGGTTCTGGGGTTTTGAGGACAAAAGCCTGGAGATCGCACCACACTCTTGTCACACGCAGGATGGAGCGCTACATCTCCATGCCCAGGGAAGAGGCTGCGGAACACATCCCTCTTCTCTTCTTCGCTTTCCCATCAGCCAAGGATCCGACCTGGGAGGACCGATTCCCACGGGGGGCTGCACGTCCTGGGTGAGGGGGTGGAGGGAGGGGCCGGGCAGTAGTAATATCAGCTCTGATCCCCAGGCCGGTCCACCATGATCATGCTCATACCCAGCACCTACGAGTGGTTTGAGGAGTGGCAGGTGGAACTGAAGGGAAAGTAGGGCAGTGACTATGAGACCTTCAAAAACTTCTTTGTGGAAGCCTCTATGTCAGTGGTCCTGAAACTGTTCCCACAGCTGGAGGGGAAGGTAGGGGGTAAAGTATTTGGGGTGGTGACGGACCTCATGGTGCTATTTCTGCCCTTTCCTTGAGACAGGGGAATTGGGCCCCAAGACATGAGCCCCAGGGAAGGACAGGGCACCCAACCCCGGAGTCAGTGAATGGGAAAGAGTGGAAGAGGGAGGGGAGCCAGGATCTCACATGCCTGCCCCACCCTTTCTGCCCTCAGGTGGAGAGTGTGACTGCAGGATCCCCACTCACCAACCAGTTCTGGCTGCTCCCCGAGGTGTCTGCTACAGGGCTGACCATGACCTGGGCCGCCTGCACCCTCGTGTGATGGCCTTGAAGGCCCAGAGCCCCATCACCAACCTCTGACAGGTATACTCACTGCCCCATGTTGTCAGGACCTGAGACCCTGGGCCCCTGTCGCCCAACGTCCTCTGTTCCTGCCCTCAGGCCCTGCTGTCCCCTGCAGCCTCCCATCCCCTGAGCAGGGCTGCCTGGGCAGGCTGTGGCCCCTGTCTGATTGGAGCCAGCTCTGGGTGGCCCTCATGTGGAGGGAAGAGCACCAAGGCCCCACCCTCCCCTGGGCCTGCCTGGGTGCACACTCAGGGGCCTCTGCTCTTGCCTCCTAGGCCAGGGTATCTTCACCTGTGGACTGGTAGGGGCCCTGCAAGGTGCCCTGCTGTGCAGCAGCGCCATCCTGAAGTGGAACTTGTACTCAGACCTTAAGGATCTTGTCTCTAGGATCTGGGCACAGAAGAATTAGTTCCATCAGGGAGGAGTCAGAGGAATTTGCCCAATAGCTGGGGCATTAGTTCCTTGCACATATAAACCACTCTTATTTGGTTCTGATGCCTGAAGAGAGGCCTAGTTTAAATCACAATTCCGAATCTGGGGCAATGGAATCACTGTTTCCAGCTGGGGCAGGTGAGATCTTTCCACCTTCTATAATATGCCATCCCTACTAATAGGATATTGACTTGGATAGCTTGATGTCTCATGACGAGCGGCGCTCTGCATCCCTCACCCATGCCTCCTAACTCAGTGATCAAAGCGAATATTCCATCTGTGGACAGAACCCCTGGCAGTGTTGTCAGCTCAAGCTGGTGGGTTCAGTTCTGTCCTGAGGCTTCTGCTCTCATTCACTTAGTGCTACGCTGCACAGTTCTACACTGTCAAGGGAAAAGGGAGACTAATGAGGCTTAACTCAAAACCTGGGCATGGTTTTGGTTGCCATTCCATAGGTTTGGAGAGCTCTAGATCTCTTTTGTGCTGGGTTCAGTGGCTCTTCAGGGGACAGGAAATGCCTGTGTCTGGCCAGTGTGGTTCTGGAGCTTTGGGGTAACAGCAGGATCCATCAGTTAGTAGGGTGCATGTCAGACGATCATACCCAATTCATATGGAAGTCCCGGGTCTGTCTTCCTTATCATCGGGGTGGCATCTGGTTCTCGATGTGCCAGCATCAAGGCACCTTCAGGGAGCTCGGTACCCGAGCCTCAATCAAGCCTTATCCTCCAAATATGCAGGGAAAGGTGACACAGGGCAGGGAAGGGTGACGTCAGGAGTCAGGGCATCGACTGGTAAGATTACTTCATTGTGTTGAGGCAGGCTGCAGGGCATTCCACACAATGGCACAGCAGAGGACAGCACAGGGAGGCAACAGAGTGTTCCCAGCAATGGCCCAGCTACTGAAAGCAGGCAGCCAGGCTGGGAGGAGTCAGGTGGCAAGAGAGTTGGTCAGGAGCAGAACATGGAAAGCCAGAGAAAGTGTGCAAAGCCCAGAAATGGCATCTGCAATTTACTGGTACATGTGTGTGTTGGATGGAAGGTGAAGGAAGGCTCAAAAGGCATAAAAAGGACCTTTCACTTATGTTAAACTGACATGCCAAAGGTCTTATTGGAGTTCATCTTAATATAATATTAATAAATTTATTGGCCGAGCGTGGTGGCTTACACCTGTAATCCCAGCACTTTGGGAGGCCAAAGTGGGCGGATCACGAAGAAGAGATTGAGACCATCCTGGCCAACATGGTGAAACCCCGTCTCCACTAAAAATGCAAAAATTAGCTGGGCGTGGTGGCACGCACCTGTAGTCCCAGCTACTCGGGAGGCTGAGGCAGGAGAATCGCTTGAACCTGGGAGGCGGAGGTTGCAGTGAGCCAAGATCATACCACTGCACTCCAGCCTGGTGACAGAGCAAGACTCTGTCTCAAAAATAAAATAAAATAAATAAATAAATAAATGTATTAAATCCATTGCTTTAACATTTTGAAATTTATTTTGGTTTCTGTTCAACAAAACCAAACCACATTGGGATGGCATTTACAGAAGCTCAGAAAAACATTATGCACTGAAAAATACTTCTCATTAGACCACAACAAGCTTTAAAAAAATAAAATTAAGTAATTATAGTTAAGTTACAAAAAGCTGAAAGTATAAAACATTGTGGAAACAGTGACCATCTATTAACTGGGAAAACACAAAAGAAGAGAAACAATTTCAACCATTAATCATTTATCAAACATGAAGTCTGGTGCATTAAAGGAATATCTATCAGAGGGTGAGGGGCTGGCTTACTGGCAGTTTGACATACTATACAGCTCAGACCCAAACCCTTCACAGAGAGACTCTAAGTGTACATCTGACTTGCAGAACTAGACGAGTTGAGTCACTGTTAGCTCTGGATATACCGTTAAATTAAACCTCAAAATCTCTCCCCAGGACTCTTGCTCAAGCAAGTCACGCCAAATCCAACCTTCCTAACAGGGGTTTTCAGAAAATGGCCTGCAGAAGCACAGGATCTGGTGCCTCACAGTTTCCTCCATGCTGCAATGCTCTAGTTCTCATCACGCCCATAGCATCTGGCATCAGGTTACCCTGTACAGTCAACGGCCATAGAAGTCGCCAGCAGGGAAATTCCAGAGGTTTAGAATTCTATCAGCACATGTGTCACTGGAAGCCATCATGGGAGTACTATGTCAGAGCGTATGTAACTAGCTGTCAGGTCTTTCCCCGTTGCCTCAGCCTTTCTACACAGACTGGCCTTCAACTTCCCCTGAGTCCAGAAGTAGACTCTTTCAGCAACTCTATTCAGGAATCTGCAGCAGGAAAACTGCTTCCTCTATTAACATCTATGACTGAAGCACAGATGTGTCTAATAGAAATCACCCTTCACCCAAAAGCTGGGCGCAGAAAGGGAAGCCCTTAGCTGACTATAGGAGGTGCCTCTTGTGGCTCCACGTGCTTCTTACACACCACCCCCCAGCTTGAGCGATGCCTCAGCCAGCTCACCCTCATCCACACAATCGCTAGAAAACATGCTTCAAATATTCTATCTTTGAAAAGACACCATGCAGAAAATAAGCTTTCCTCTGATGTGCGGTATTTTCTTCAATGCTATTTCTTTCTTTTTTTTTTTTTTTTTTGAGACGGAGTCTCGCTCTATTGGCAGGTTGGAGTTCAGTGGCACGATCTCGGCTCACTGCAACCTCCGCCTCCCGGATTCAAGCAATTCTCCTGCCTCAGCCTATCTAGTAGCTGGGACTACAGGTGCACGTCACCATGCCCGGCTAATTTTTGTATTTTTATTAGAGACGGGGTTTCACCATGTTGGCCAGGATGGTCTCGATCTCTTGACCTCGTGATCCCCCCGCCTCGGCCTCCCAAAGCGCTGGGATTACAGGGGGAGCCACCGCGCCCGGCCTTTCTTCAGTGCAATTTCTAAAGAGAAACTTAAATCCTGTTGTATTCTTTCAACACAAGCAATGATACTTCTCAGAGTCTGCTCAAAAGCTCAGCTCTGTGGACTCCGTGACAAAATGTACGCGTCCACTGCCGACCCTCTTGGTTTCTGAAACCAACCTTTCTTCCTGCTCTCCTCTTTAAGAGCAAACCCCAACATGTATAAGGTCACAGCAAGTGGTAGCCAGGAAAAGCTGTGGGACCCCTCATTTGAGTCACATCCATATGGCATGGAGAAAGAAAACCTCTCTGCCAGAAGGAACTGAACTCTGGAAGTCCTAAGGAAGGTCACCATGATCAGCAGATAGGAAAGCATTGCCAAGGGCTGTCCCTCAAGAGCTTAGTTTTCTTAGGGAGACCAGAAAGACATCAGATCCTGACTGCCCTGTTTTGCTCAAGTTCTGAAATGAGTGGCATGATGAAGAGCTGGTGGAGCTGAGGGAAAGAGTCAACCATGTGGGGTGGGGTAGTGAGGAAGGTGTATGAGGAAACAAACTGGGCCCTGACGAAACAGGCGGATTGGGGAAGGAGAAAGAAGGAAGGGAGAGAAACCTAACCAAAGAAACATGGGAAGCTGGAAAGTCGAGGGCACAGCCGGAATAAAGGCACAGATGGGCACCCCACAGGAGGGGCCTTGGCCAGGTTGGGATGCAGAGAAAAACAGGCAGGAGGGTGTCAATCTATAGCATCCTGAACCCCAAAAGGTCTGTAACTGGATTCTCTAAGCCTTGAGAAGTTCACACCAAAGCTTCAGACCAGGGAAAATATTTTGGAAAGATCAGTCTTTCCAAGAGTGAGCTCCTTTCCAAGAAGCTGGACAGGAAACCCAATAAATGTGGATCTGAAAAAACAAAATCCAAGAGAGAAGCAAAATGGGCTGGGGGTGTGCAATAAGAGAAGCAAGGAAAATGGAAAGACTGTAGCTGAGGATCTTTTATTAAAAAAAAATGGATGGGACTTTGGTGATGAGAGAGAAAAAGGGCAAAAGTCTGCAGTTAGGAATTTAGGTGACCGAAGACTGTCCTAGACAGTTGGGAGGGACAGGCTGATGGACAGAAGAGAGAAATTCCTTTCAATGACAACCAAGCTGAACTATTCGATACCAGCAGAACTGGGTTCTTTAGGGATTAAGCCAAGACAAAGACTTGGGAATCACTCACTCCGAGGATGAAGAATGGGTTAATGGCTGAGGAGACAGTCAAAGGAATAGAGAGGCCTGGCTTTGAGGGCCTCTTCACCACCAGCACAAGATAAGGCAAAGGACCATTTGTCAGAGACACCAAGAAAGGGGAATTTCCATTTGGATGGTCAATAGTGTCCAGTTCTGCCAAGGACAAGACTAAGCTTTGAGAAAAAGCCATGGATTTGGTGATTGGATAACTGGTAACCTTTAGAAAAGTTTAGTTGACAGACAGAGACCGAAGTGAGTTAGTAAAAGTCATGAAGAGAATGAATGGCAACTTAAGGGAAGCAACATACTGGAGAAGTTGAGCAGCGGGATGAATAACAAATAGGACAGATGGGAACAGAAAAATCTGGGTGCATACGAAGGTGGATGGAAAGGAGCTGGTACAGATGGGCACAACCAGAAAACATGAGGAGGGGAAAGGAAGGGAAAAGGAAGGCAGGCAGGGAGAGAGACGTGAAATAGCCACAGTCTTAGGGGATGCTAGAGAAGCCTAGAAGATTCCTCAGGTTGGTGCAAAGTATTATAAGACTAACGCATCAGTACAGAGAATGACCCAAGAAGGGTAGGAGTTCATTCCTTACCTTCATAAAGTAGGCTATCCGCCAAGAATGAAAATGTCAACTCAAAGCTATGGGCTGTTTTAAGCAAGGTGGAAGATAATATAAGAAGCATGGTCCTTTCTTCAGACTTACTGCCTTGACAGCACAGAATTCATCTTATTTCCCTCATCTCCCAAGTTATTTGTATTTCCCTGAGATCAGCTCAGAAACAACTCTCTTTAGGCTCTCTACAATGCGGTAGAGCATGATTAGAAAAGATAAACCTTCAAACAATAGTGTTGTCCAAGACACTACCCTCACTTATCCCAGGGGAACCCACGGAATTTCTTCATTTGTATTAACTCCTGACATGGCATGGAAGAAGAATTTTTATCAAATACCCTTGGCATCTTATATCAGATTAAAGGACCATTAAATACACTGAGGTAAAATTGGCAGAGAGTATAGTTTCTATTAATAAATCTAAGTCTATTTTGTCTGTTTTAGGCAACAAAGGCAAAATGGACTTTGTGGGAAATGTATCTCATAAAAGCCCTTTGGAAAAACTGCAGACCAAAACCAAAACCCTCCTTCATGTTTTCTCGCATGAAACATAAACTTGCCCTATTTCAAAAAGTTCCTACTGAGTATGATTGTGTGAAAGATCACACTACTTCAAATCATATTTATTTTAAAAATCTGTGATGGGACAGTGGCCTCACTGCCAGGAAGCCCAAGTTCTGTTTTATGCTCGGTACAACTAAGTGGAAGTTGATTCACTTTGTCTCAAGCTACATAAAATAATCAGAAAATCAAGAAGATCTCATGCTAGACAGGTTAGACTTGCACCCAAAAAAGCATCTTTTTTTTTAACCTGCTGTTTTGGTTTGCTGCTGAAGTCTTTGAAGAGAATTATGTATTCAAAGTAGCTCTTTGCCCATTGGCATTTCCCCATCTTCTATGTCTTCTGTAGGGCACATCCCCCCCAAAGTAAGAGGCCTTAGTAGAAAAGCACTTCCACCTGCAGTTTTCCCCTAGGTCTGCAGAGAGAAACAGTGCAGAGTGCAATGCCACAGTCAAGGACCAACTTTCCTACAGAGCCCGGGCCCCAGGGAGGGTGGTCAGCAGCGCAGCCTGCCCAGGCTGGGATCTCCCTTTGGTCATAGCCGTGTTTCCATATACCCCTCCACTCACCCTCAGAGGAGGAACGGATGGAAGCCACCAGCATAAATAAAGGGAACACAGAAGAACAATGTCACCAAAGTGCAGGTGCAAAGCCCAAAGCAGCCCCCTACCTCTGCCAGCCCAGACCCGCCACTAAATTCTAGAGGAGGGTGTCTCTCAGGTCACAGTACTTTTTTCTTCATTTCTTTTGATTTAGAAACAAATCAGCAGGGAGGACAAGGTTCTCAAGGACAAAAAAATCAAAGCTGAAACGAGAGCAGCACAATCCATTGGTGACGTTCATCTTTTTCCAGAGGAATATACCATTCTGTTAGGACTTAGGGGAAAAAAGATCTTTTAGGAGGTGCAGGGAAAACATTCAGAATTAAGACATACTGACCCACCACCACAGAAACAGCAATTAATTAAAATAGCACACAAAATGATTTTTAAAGTTTGAAATGAAACCTAACACTAGAAAGATATACACTTGATGGAGAGAGAGGAATCCTGGCTTCTGCTTCATACTGTTCTGTACTGTTGTGAATTATTTACATGTGTTTTTTGTTGGTGGTGGTTTTCTTCTTTTTTGAGACGGAGTCTTGCTCTGTTGCCCAGGCTGGAGTGCAGTGGCATGATCTTGGCTCACTGCAACCTCTGCCTCCGAAGTTCAAGCGATTCTCCCACCTCGGCTTCCTCAGTAGTAGCTGGGATTACCATGCCCAGCTAATTTTTGTATTTTTAGTAGAGATGGTATTTCACCATGTTGGCCAGACTGATCTAGAACTCCTGACCTCAGGTGATCTGCCTCCCAAACTGTTGGGATTACAGGCGTGAACCACTATGCCCAGCCACATGTGTATTTTTTTAAAAATCATAAGCCATGTGTGGTGGCTCACGCCTGTAATCCCAGCACTCTGGGAGGCTGAGGTGGGTGGATCATTTGAGGTCAGCAGTTCAAGACCAGCCTGGCCAAAAGGGTGAAACCCCATCTCTACTAAAAATCTAAAAATTAGCTGGGCGTGGTGGTGGGCGCCTGTAATCCCACCTACTCGGGAGGCTGAAGAGGGAGAACTGCTTGAACCCGGGTGGTGGAGGTTGCAGTGAGCCAAGATTGTGCCACTGCACTCCAGCCTGGACGACACAGCAAGACTCCGTCTCAAAAACAAACAAACAAAAATCATAAAAGGGGGAAAACCCTTAAAGTCAATTATCTGAAAAGGCAGTAGTCCAGAGCTAAATTGTAAAGCTAGCCTACTGGACTAGTTAGCAAAGATATTCTGAGCTCAGTGGCTCGTTCTGTAGCTAATATTGAGTTGTGCAAGAGAATCGTGTTCCCTGCAGGAAGTCTGGGAACAATTCATAGTTGGGCCACCAATGGTTCTTTGCCAATGTCCTGGCTGTTGCTATGCTGAAAGCAGAAGGAAGGGTGCATGCTGGTAGCAACGCAGTGAGAGTACAGTCTTCCTGCTTAGACAGGTTGTCTTTAGAGAGACCCTTGCTTAGCTCTGCTGCCATGGGGTGGAAGGAGGGCTTATCTGTCTGACAGAGGAATGGATTGGCTGTACTCAGGAACTCCAGCCTACGGTGCTTAAGCCAGGCTGATGTGGGGAGTTGGAGGCCTATGTGCTTCCAGGCTCGTGTTTCCAGGGAGCACAGTCTAGCACTTTACCACACAAAGTGTGGATCCAGTGGCATTTGGTTTCACCTGGGAACTTCCTAAGAATGTAGACACAGGCCAGGCACGGTGGCTTATGCCTGTAATCTCAGCACTTTGGGAGGTCGAGGCGGGCGGATCACCTGAGGTTGGGAGTTCGAGACCAGCCTGACCAACATGGAGAAACCCATCTCTACTAAAAATACAAAATTAGCTGGACGTGGTGGTGGCGCCTGTAATCCTAGCTACTCGGGAGGCTGAGGCAGAAGAATCGCTTGAACCCAGGCAGCAGAGGTTGTAGTGAGCCGAGATTGCACCATTGTACTCCAGCCTGGGCAACAAGAGCAAAACTCCATCTCCAAAAAAAAAAAAAAGAATGTAGAAATATAGGCTCCACCCCACATCTAATGAATCAGATAATGCTTTTTATCAAAATTCCCCAAGGTGATTCAAATGCCTATTAAAGTTTATGGAGCGCTGGCAGAATGCAGAAAGCTCAGGACTGGGAGACTAGGGAGTTGCTATCAGGTCCTGAGTTTGCCACTAACTTGCAGTAGAAACTTAGCGGAAAAAAAAAAAAAAGAGTGTTTCTGCGTGGGCCTATTTCCTCATCTGTGAAGGGAGGTAGCTGCTGTAGAGTATTCCAAGGTCTCTGCTAGCTCTAACGTCACAGATATGTGTATCTAGATGTTTCTAGTTTGTTGTCTAAAAAGGGCGAATGCAACAGCAACAGCAACCGCATCCCCAGAATCAGCCACTGCTGCTTCATGGCAAATGCAAGCCCACTACTGGGTCCATCTGACGTTGCCTATCCCTCCTATCCCTCCCATGGACCTGGCTCCTCCTTCCTTACCTTCTGGTCCAAACGTTGGTAGTCACTGGCCTTTGGCCGCCGGGTGACTTTAGATCTTTTTCCTTCCAGGACAAAAGCAATGATCTGAGGAAAGGAAAAAGAAAATGATTAACAGGTGGCTCTGTAATGACATAGTTCAGTCTCTGAACTCAGAGGCAGTCACCTGGTAGCATATTTGTTAATGACCCTGACTGTAGAAAGAGCAGTACACTCACAGAGGTCTATTTAAACTATAACCATTTTAAGAAAGACAGAGCCTAATTACATCAGAATCCTTTGTATTGCTTAATAGGAAATAACAAATAGAAGGCTGTCTGAGCTCTAGCGTGTGGGAGGAAGTCTGTTTGATTTATTCAAAGGTACACAGTCAAAGATCTATCAACTCCTTCCTAGAGATATCTAGGATATAGGACATTCCTTTAAAAAAAGTCATAATCAGAATTTCCTATCTACAAATGTACTTTTTCACCCCACGATGCTACATCAACTACATTCTTTATCAATCTCATTTCATGACTAAGGTTACCCTGCATAATGGACACTTGGACATAGAATAAGAAATACACTTTTTTTTTTTCTTAGAGGCAAGGTCTCACTCTGTCACCCGGGCTGGAGTGCAATGGCGTGATCATGGCTCACTGAAGCCTCGACCTCCCACAGTCAAGCCATCCTCCCACTTCAGCCTCCTGAGTAGCTGGGACCACACACGTCCACCACCACATCTGGCTAATTTTTTTATTATATGTAGAGACGAGGTCTTGCTATGTTGGCCAGGCTGGTCTCGGACTCCTGGGCTCAAGCGATCCTCCTGCCTCGGCCTCCCAAAGTGCTGGGATTAGAGGCAGGAGCCACTGCACCGGGCCAGGAATGCACATTTTTACTAAAGGTCTTCCCCTTTATTCTTTATAGCCATAGGCCTTATGGCCAGAATTGGACTCTCCAATTTTAAGCAGGTTACAGAAACTAGCTTCTAAATGTTGGGGGCTCAATATGAAATGCAATCATTTTGTCATTAGAGTGGTTGCTAATAAACAGACCAAACCCTGATGAAAAAGTAACAGGTGTACGTGTCTGTGCAATTTCTGGGCTTTCTTCTAATTATTATTAATTGCAGAAGTCCCTGGGCTCTTTGGTCCTGGTATCGAAGACGCAGTAATTGAAACCATTCTTTGTGCCACTGCTGATGGAAGAGAGAATGTTGGGAAAGGAAGCTAGAAATGACATATCGTCTCAAGAAGGGAAATAGGATGGAAGGTACGTGCTTTAACTGTCAAGTACTCAGGTCCTCTGAGGCTGTGAAGGACCTAAGTGCAAAGTTATGGGAGGAGATTCCAAGTCAGGTCAGATCCTAATAATGTCCTAACTTGGCTCCTAATGCAGTAGCAGAGGACACTCAGAGTAAACAGGTGACAGGATGAAAACACGATTAACAAAACAAGAGTAAAGAGGCCTAATAGGGCCTGAGGAAAAAACTGAAGTTTGTTTTAAAGTCCCCAGTGCTCACGGGCATCTAGTGACGGGATACCCACCCACACCCAAGCTTCCAGGGTGCTGGAAACCCCACTCCCCTCCGGAAGGCCGCTGTCGACTTACCTTCCGCTTGTTGTGATGAGCGATATAGAGGACAGCCACAAGAATGGCTGCAGTCACCAGATATGCAAAGAAGTGGCTGCTCTCCGCGCTGCCATTTCCAGAACCGTTCGGATAAAGGTCATCCTTCTCGCTACCCGTGGAATCCGAAAGTGTCCCTTCACGGTTCTCACTGGAGGCAGAACCGGACATCTTTTCTTTCTCTTCTTTGGGCGGTGAGCCCTCCTCGGGTCCTGTATCATCATCTTCAGCCTCTTTGGGCTCCACATCCTCAGTAGGCTCTGAAGACTTAACTTCCTCCTGCGGGGGAGAAATGAGGTCAGTTTCCTCCCCAGATTCGGTTTTGAAAGCATGAGGAGAAAGCTTCCCTTTGTCAGCAAGCTGGTTTGTGTCAGCCTTGGGGAGCTCCTTGTTATCAGAAGGGTTGGAGATGGGCTTGGAATGGTCTTTCCGGGAAGGCTGCTCTGGAACCACCTTGTTAGGGCTGTCTTTTGAGGTCTGCTCCTCCGCACCCGACTTGCTGGGCCCGTCTATTGGGCCCTGCTCCTCTGCACCGGACTTGTTAGAGCCGTCTTTTGGAGTCTGCTTCTCCGCACCCGACTTGTTAGGGACGTCTTTTGGGGTCTGATCCTCCGCACCCGACTTGCTGGAGCCGTCTTTTGGGGTCTGGCCGTCCGCACCCGACTTATTAGGGACATCTTTTGTGGTCTGCGCCTCCGAACCTGACTTGCTAGGGCTGTCTTTTTGGGTCTTTGCCTCCGCACCCGACCTGTTGGGGCTGTCTTCTGGGGTCTGCGCCTCCGCACCCGATTTGCCAGTGCTGTCTTTTGGAGTCTGCAGCTCCGGATGCGACTTACTAGTGCTGTCTTTTGTGGTCTGCGCCTCCGAACCCGACTTGCTAGTGCTGCCTTTTTGGGTCTTTGCCTCCGCACCCGACTTGTTGGAGCTGTCTTTTTGGGTCTTTGCCTCCGCACCCGACTTGTTGGGGGTGTCTTCTGGGGTCTGCGCCTCCGCACTCGACTTGCTAGGGCTGTCTTTTGGAGTCTGCGGCTCCGGATGCGACTTGGTAGAGCCTCCAGGCCGTTGGCTCAAGCTGGGGTGGGTGGAGACGTTTCCTGCAGAAGGCCGTACTCCAGCTTCTTCTTGCTTGACGCTTTCGGTGGCCAAGAGCGGCACGGCTCCTGAAATAGAAAAACGAGTTAGCACCGGAGAAGGGCAGGCGGGAAGAAGGAACTCCTCAGAACTGGAAGAGATCGGGAGCAGCGGGGGAATGGGGATTGGGGGGTGGGGCGGGAGACGATGGCGAGCGGAGAGGTGGGTCGGGTAGGGAAGAAGCGAGCCTAGAGGTGACCTGCCCAGGTGAGAATGGGGGATCTGGGGGCAAGAGTGGGATGCGGGATGGAGGGTCTTACCCGCCGCTGCGACGTTCAGGAGGACCAAGGCAACCACGAACCGCATCCTGCTCGGATAGCGCTTCCGCCCTCTAATGCTCTCGCGAGATCCGCGCGCGGGGCCCCTCTCCAGTCCCGCCCCTGCTGCGCGCGTCTCTCAGTCTCCCGCTGCCGCCAAGACGAAGGGCGGGATTTAGGGGGCAGCTGCTGATGTCGGCGCTCGCCTTCGGCTGCTTCGCTTACTGTCGCCGAGTGGGAGGCGAGCCTCTTCTTCCTGGTTTCTCGTCTCCACCACAGCCACAACAGTCTGGCCCCCCGTTTTTCGTCCCCTCCGCCTCGTACTTCCGAGACCTTACAGGCAGAGCTGGAGCTCCCTCGCCTCTCGCACTGGCCGCGGAAGTGAGGTCACTAGGGGCAGGCTCCTCTTGGCCACCACCATCGTGTGCTTGCGTTTCTATCCTCTGCTTTTTTCGTGGTTCCCTCCTGGCCGTACACAAACGTGCTGTGCTCTGGTCTCTCCCATGTGGGAATAAATCCATCCGATCACCTGCAAAGCGTTGCCTTCGCATCCTGGCCCTCCTCCTTCCCGACTCCACGGAGACGGTGTCCTTCCAGGTCGCCAAACATCTTTTCCAAAAAGTGCATCCTTTTTCTGATACAGAAGCAGAAAACAAAGCCTGACTCCTACCCTTCCGGGATAATCACTATTAATGTTTTAGTGTATTGTCTGCCCTCTAAACATTTGATGTTTTTGAATAGATAATACATTATAATGTTTCAGAAATGAAAACCGGATTTTAAAGTAAACAGACTTTAGAAAAGTCTTCCTACTCCTCCACAGGTTACCGCTTACATTAGTTTATTATGTTTCCATTTAGTTTTGTTAAAAAAAAAAAAAAAGGACTCTTTCCCTTCTTAATTAGTGTATTTCTCTTTTCCTCTATGCATATTTATTTTCTCCCCATATTGGGATAATCAGGTAAGTGGTTTTGTATCTCACCGTTTACAGTTACTGTTATGTTTATACATTAAATGTTTGAAATCACTTTATCAACGATTGCCAGGCTTGGTGCTTTGGAGACAGTGATTTAAGAAATGATAGGTCTTATATGAGATTACATCAAGTTAAAAAGCTTCTGCACAGCAAAGGAAACAGTGAAGAAACAACCTACATAATGGGAGAAACTATTCGCAAACTATCCATCCGACAAGGGATTAATAACTAGAATATATAATAAACTCAAGGAAAAAATATAATTAAATGGGCACCAGCCGGGGCAACATGGTGAAACCCCATGTCTACCAAAAATACAAAAAATTAGCCAGTCATGGTGGCCTGTGCATGTAATCCCAGCTACTCAGAAGGCTGAGGATGGAAGGATTACTTGAGCCTGGGAGGTGGAGGTTGCAGTGAGTTAGCCAAAATCTTATCACTGCACTCCAGCCTAGGCAACCATCTCAAAAAAAGAAAAAGAAAAAAGAAAAACATGGGCAAAGGACCTGCTGAATAGACATATCTCAAAAGATGACATACAAATGGCCAACATAGAAATGGTATATGAAAAAATGCTCACTATCACTAATCATCAGGGAAATGCAAATCCAAACCACAATAAGAGATCATCTTAGCCCCAGTTAGAATGACTGTTATCAAAAGAAAAAAAAATACAAAATGGTGACAAAGATAAGAAGAAAAGGGAATGCTAATAGCCTGTTGGTGAGAATGTAGATTAGTACAGCCATTATGGAAAACAGTATTGGCAGGGCATGGAGGCTCACACCTGTAGTCCCAGCACCTTGGGAGGCTGAGGCAGGCAGATGGCTTGAGCCCAGGAGTTCGAGATCAGCCTGGGCAACGTAGCAAGACTCTTGTCTCTATAAAAAAATAAAGGAAAGCAGCACAGAGTTTCTCAAAAACTAAAAATAGAACTGCCATATGATCCAGTATTCCCACTGCTGGATATGTACAAAAGAAAGGAAATAAGTATATCTAAGATATCTACTCCTGTAATCCCAGCACTTTGGGAGGCTGAGGCAGGGGGATCACATGAGCCCAGAAGTTCCAGACCAGACTGGGCAACATGGCAAGATCCCATCTCTCTTTTTTTTTTTTTTTTTTTTTTTGAGACAGGGTCTTACTCTGTCACCCAGGCTTGAGTGCAGTGGCACGATCTCAGCTCACTGCAATCTCCATCTCCTGGGCTCTAGTGATCCCCCACCTCAGCCTTCCAAGTAGCTGAGACTAGTGGATCTCATGGAAGTAGAGGTGGTTACCAGAGGCTGGGAAGGGAAGATGGGAGGAAAGATGAAGAGAAGTTTGTTAATGGGTACAAAAATACAGATACATAAAAAGAGTAAGTTCTGTAGTCAGTAATACGGTAGGAAAATATAGTTAACAGAAACATTGTATATTTTAAAAGAAAAGAATTGTAATGTTCCCAATACAAAGAATAGATAAATATTTGAGTTGATGGATATCCCACTTACCCTGATTTGGTCATTACATATTGTATACCTGTATAAAAATACCACCACATGTACCCCATAAATATGTACAACTATATAAAAAAAAATTTTTTTGGATGGAGTGCAATGGTGCATTTTCGGCTCAGCACAACCTCTGCCTCCCAGGTTCAAGCGATTCTCCTGCCTCAGCCTCCCGAGTAGCTGGGACTACAGGCATGCGCCACCATACCTAGCTAATTTTGTATTTTTAGTAGAGATGGGGTTTCTCCATGTTAGGCTGGTCTTGAACTTCTGACCTCAGGGGATCCACCATCCTCGGCCTCCCAAAGTGCTGGGATTACAGGCGTGAGCCACTGCCCCCGGCCCTATATCAAATTTTTAAGGTAGGTATTAACTTCATGGAGCATGCAGTTTGCGGTACATAAATATTAAATATCTACACAAATGTGTGTATGTGCATGCACATTCCAAGAACTGCCAGAAAGAAAATTATAGAAACTATGAGATCATTTGAGGAAGGGACCTTTAAGATGAGGACCAAAGGATGTAGCTATGTCCCAGGTACATACTGGGAAGATGAAGGGAAGAGGAGGATGAGCTTTCCTGGCTGAGTGTACAGCATGTAGTAGGTTGGTACAAAAGCAATTGCGTTTTTGCTGTTTGACAAAAACAGCAATTACTTTTGCACCAACCTAATACAATGGCCTGCAGACAGGTGGGGACCTGGTATTTTGTGTAAGTCTAAAGACTATGATTGTCAGGTAATAGAGAACAAGGAGAAAGGCAGGAAAGAGGCTGGAGCAGAGCCAGGTTAAAGAACAAATGACCTGAGAATTGTCTAGAACATGAATCTACTAAGCACAAAAAGTACAACAGAAAATAAGGCAGTTAACTTTGTGGGTTTTGTTTTGAGATGGAGTCTCCCTCTGTCGCCCATGCTGGAGTGCGTGATCTCAGCTCACTGCAGCCTCCGCCTCCCGGGTTCAGATGATTCTTCTGCCTCAGACTACTGCGTAGCTGAGATTACAGACACCCGCCACCACGCCGGGCTAATTTTTGTATTTTTAGTAGAGGCGGGGTTTTACCGTGTTGACCAGGCTGGTCTCAAACTCCTGACCTCAAATGATCCACCCACCTCAGCCTCTGAAAGTGCTGAGATTACAGGCGTGAGCCACTGCGCCCTGCTGTATGCCAGTTAACTTTGATTGAAATGTAAACTAGTCCCTCTCCTGCCAGAAAGAACTATAGCTGCCAGGGGAAATAACTCCTCTGGAGTCTACTGAGGGCAATATTTGGCTTACATGATATGCAGTTCTAGTCAATCAGAGTTCTTCAGAATTTCAAAGAATAGTGCATATAGTGGCATATAATTTTCAGGAACAAGTGCTTTATTTTTATTTTTATTTGTTTATTTATTAATTTGAGACAGGGTCTCACTCTGTCGCCCAGGCCGGATATTTTTTAATTTAAAAAACAATTATGTTCTCAATATGTTTCTCTGTCATAAGAAAATGTCTCTCACACATACACTCATTACTGAAGAGAAAATAAGAATCACAGGAAGTGAGAAATCTTTTGCCAAACTATTTAGAACCTTGACTCCACTTAGGCTAAAAGAAATGAATTGGTAAATTAATTTGTTTCTAAAAGAAAACTCTGGTGAGGTGCAGTGGCTCACACCTGTAATCCCAGCACTTTGGTTGGGAGGCCGAGGCTGGCTGATTGAGCCCAGGAGTTCAAGACCACCCTGGGCAACACGGCGAAACCCCGTCTCTACAAATAATTTTAAAAATGAGCTGGGCGTGGTGTGCACCTACAGTCCCAGCAGCACTGAGATGGGAGAATTGCTTGAGCGTCATAGGTGGAGGCTGCAGTGAGCTGTGATCAGGTTACTGCACTCTAGCCTTGGCAACAAAGTGAGACTCTGTCCCAAAAAACGGAAAAAAGAGAAGACAAGAGAAAAAAAAAATTCTGGCTGGGTGCGGTGGCTCAAGCCTGTAATTCCAGCACTTTGGGAGGCCGAGGCAGGCGGATCATTTGAGGTCAGGTGTTCCAGACCGGCATGACATACATGGTGAAACCCCGTCTCTACTAAAAATACAAAAAAAAAATTTAGCTGGACATGGTGGTGCATGCCTGTAATCTCAGCTACTCGGGAGGCTGAGGCAGAAGAATCACTTGAACTTGGGAGGCAGAGGTTGCAGTGAGCTGAGACTGCACCACTGCACCCCAGCTTAGGCGACAGAGCAAGACTCTCTCAAAAAAAAAAGGAAAAGAAAATTATTTCTACCTCCCCTAAATAAGTGTTTGACTAACATTTAAAGATATTGGCTTATCAAGGGTATGTGTGTCTGGTGAGGGAACAGTAAATTATTAAGCCTGACCTGGTGTCCAAATTACTAGACAATAGAGGAAAGGAGTCCAAATGATGCAGAACTCATGGGGCATGTCCAGGGTTTTGTATTTTATCTTAACAATAATGGTACCGCTAGAGTTTTAAGTAGAGGAAAGATAGAATCAGAATTGGGATTTTTTAAAGACAATCAAATTTAGCAATGGGGTGTTATATATTAATACAAAGTGTAGTGATACTAATGTTAGTAAGTTCTGAGAACCCAATACCATCAGACCAGCTAAGGGTTGGGAATTTTTATTATTTTTTATTTTATTTTATTTTTGTTTTTAGACGGAGTCTCACTCTGTCACCCAGGCGGGAGTGCAGTGGCACAATCTCGGCTCACTGCAACCTCCGCCTCCTGGGTTCAAGCAGTTCTCCTGTTTCAGCCTCCCGAGTAGCTGGGATTACAGGTGCCCACCACCATGCCCAGCTAATTTTTGTATTTTAGTAGAGGCAGAGTTTCACCATGTTGGCCAGGCTGGTCTCGAAATCCTAACCTCAAGTGATCCACCCACCTCGGCCTCCCAAAGTGTCGGGATTACAGGCGTGAGCCACTGGGCTCAGCCAAATTTTTAAATATTACTCTGGTTGTAGCATGAAGAACTTCAGTGGGGAGGTATGTCTGGAATTGGTGGGTTCTTGGTCTCACTGACTTCAAGAATGAAGCCGCGGACCCTCGGGGTGAGTGTTACAGTTCTTAAAGGCGTGTCCAGAGTTTGTTCCTTCTGATGTTCGGATGTGTTGGGAGTTTCTTCCTTCTGGTGGGTTCATGGTCTCGCCGGCTCAGGAGCGAAGCTGCGGACTTTCGCGGTGAGTGTTACAGCTAGCTCTTAAGGCGGCGCATCTGGAGTTGTTCGTTGCTCCCGGTGGGTTCGTGTTCTCGCTGGCTTCAGGAGTGAAGCTGCAGACCTTCGCGGTAAGTGTTACAGCTCATAAAGGCAGTGTGGACCCAAAGAGTGAGCAGCAGCAAGATTTACTGCAAAGAGAGAAAGAACAAACCTTCCACCGCACAGAAGGGGACCTGAGTGGGTTGCCACTGCTGGCTGGGGCAGCCTGCTTTTATTCTCTTATCTGGCCCCGCCCGCATCCTGCTGATTGGTCCATTTTACAGAGAGCTGAGTGGTCTGTTTTGACAGGGTGCTGATTGGTGCGCTTACAATCCCTGAGCTAGACACAAAGGTTCTCCACCTGCCCACTAGATTAGTTAGATACAGAGTGTGGACCAAAGGTTCTGCAAGTCCCCACCAGAGTAGCTGTACACAGAGTGTCGATTGGTGCATTCACAAACCTTGAGCTAGACACAGGGTGCTGATTGGCGTGTTTACAAACCTTGAGCTAGATACAGAGTGCCTATTGGTGTATTTACAATCCCTTAGCTAGACATAAAAGTTCTCCAAGTCTCCACCAGAGTAGCTAGATACAGAGTGTGGATTGGTGCATTCACAAACCCTGAGCTACACACAGGGTGCTGATTGGTGTGTTTACAAACCTTGAGCTAGATACAGAGTGCCGATTGGTGTATTTACAATCCCTTAGCTAGACATAAAGGTTCTCCAAGTCCCCACCAGACTCAGGAGCCCAGCTGGCTTCACCCAGTGGATCCCGCACTAGGGCCGCAGGTGGAGCTGCCTGCCAGTCCCATGCCGTGCGCCCGCACTCCTCAGTCCTTGGGTGGTCGATGGGACTGGGCGCCGTGGAGCAGGGGGCGGTGCTCGTCGGGGAGGCTGGGGCCACACAGGAGCCCACGGAGGTGGGGGAGGCCCAGGCATGGCGGGCTGCAGGTCCCGAGCCCTGCCCTGCGGGAAGGCAGCTAAGGCCCAGCGAGAAATTGAGCACAGCAGCTGCTGGCGCAGGTGCTAAGCCCCTCACTGCCCGGCCGCTAGGAGTGCAGGGCCCGCCGAGCCCACGTCCACCCGGAACTCGCGCTGGCCCGCAAGCACCGCGCGCAGCCCCGGTTCCCCCCCGCGCCTCTCCCTCCACACCTCCCCGCAAGCTGAGGGAGCCAGCTCCAGCCTTGGCCAGCCCAGAAAGGGGCTCCCACAGTGCAGCGGCGGGCTGAAGGGCTCCTCAAGTGCCGCCAAAGTGGGAGCCCAGGCAGAGGAGGCACGGAGAGCGAGCGAGGGCTGTGAGGACTGCCAGCACGCTGTCACCTCTCAGAGGGAGGAGTGAATTTAAGAGTTAAGAGACTGATGCAATAGTCCAAGTAGGACTAGTATAGGGAAAGTGAGAATGGAGGGAAGTAATTGGACTCAAGATAAATGTGAAGGTAATACTAACAGGCCTTGAAGACGGACAGGGTGTGGGGGAAAAGGAGTGATGGTGAAGAAGGTGTGGCGGTGTCCTTTCCCTGAGGGAAGGAGCACTAATGGAGAAGCAAGTCTGATGGGGGTGGGGCATAGAAAATGAATTTGCTTATGGTTAATTGCTTCTGTGTACTGTGGACCATGAGACAGCCAGGTGAAAATAATCTAGTTGGAAATGTAATCATGGAGTTCAAAGGTAAGTATAGGAACAATTTTTCTAACTAAATATTGTTCAAAACAGGATTGTTAATGGTTTCATAAAAAGTAATCTATTAGTTGATCATAATTGTGACAGTTCTCTTGCTATTGGACATCCGTATTATTTTTAGTTTTCTATTGTTAGTTAACTATTGTTAAGTACTGGTTAGGTGCCTTTTAAGGTAAGACAAATGCTTAGAAAGATTAAGTAGCCCTGGTAGAGTGGCTCATGCCTGTAATCCCAGCACTTTGGCAGGCCAAGACGAGAGGATCCCTTGAAGCCTGGAGTTTGAGACCAGCCTGGTCAACAAATTGAGACCCTGTCTCAATTTTAAAAATTTAAAAATTAGTCTGGCTTGAGACCAGGAGTTGGAGATTACAGTGAGCTATGATCTCTGCATTCCAGCCTGGGTGACTGAGTGAGAACCAATCTCTAAAGAAAAGAAAGAAAGAAAGATAAAGCAATTCTATTATTTTGCCAAAGCTTTGATAGCAGTGAGTATTATTAATCTGCCAAACAGATAGAAATATAGTCCTTAAGTGTTATTCTTTAATACTTATTGCACAAGTAATTCACATGACCGTGGACGAGTTACTTAATTACTTTAAATATTTGTTTCTTTATTATTATTATGTTGAGACAGGGTCTCACTCTGACACCCAGGCTGGAGTGCAGTGGTGTGATCTTGGCACACTGCAACCTCTACGTCCTGGATTTGAGCAATTCTCATGCCTCAGCCTCCCAAGTAGCTGGGACTACAGGTGTGTGCCGCCACACCCAGCTAATTTTTGTATTTTTAGTAGAGACAGGGTTTCACCATGTTGGCCAGGCTGGTCTCAAACTCCTGACCTCAAGTGATCCGCCCACCTTGGCCTCCCAAAGTGCTGAGATTACAGGTGTATGCCACCACGCCTAGCCTGTTTCTTCACTATGAAATGGAAATTAAAATGTTAAGAATTAGATTATTCATGTAAAATATAGTGTTTAACACCATATGTAGCATATAATGCTCTAAAATTATTACTGTAATATGTTAATTATAGAAAAATTATAAAACAAAGATGAACCAAAGTAAGAAAGATATTTCTTTTTTTTTCTTTTTTTTTTTTTTTTTTTTGAGACCGACCATAGCTCACTGCAGCCTTGACCTCCCAGGCTCAGGTAATCCTCCCACCTCAGCCTCCCAAGTAGCTGGGACTACAGGTGCATGCCACCACACCTAGCTAATTTTTAAACTTTTTGTAGAGACAGACTATTGCCCAGGCTGGTCTTGAACTATGTTGCCCAGGCTGGTCTTGAACTCCTGGGCTCAAGCAATCCTCCCACCTCAGCCTCCCAAAGTGCTGCAATTACACATATGAGCCACCACACCTGGCCAGAAAAATATTCTTAATCCAGAGCTATTATCATGAATATTTTGTTGGTCCTCCTTTCCTATAGTAATATGTGCATATGATTGTTAACCAAAAATAAAGCAAGTTATAAACCCATATGTTGGCTGGGCACAGTGGCTCACACCTGTAATCCCAGCACTTTGGGAGGCCGAGGCAGTGGATCACTTGAGGTCAGGAGTTCGAGACCAGCCTGGCCAACATGGTGAAACCCCGTCTCTGCTAAAAATACAAAAATTAGCCGGGCATGGTGGCAGGTGCCTGTAATCCCAGCTACTCTGGAGGCTGAGACACAAGAATCGCTTGAACCCAGGAGGCAGAGGCTGCAGTGAGCCAAGATCCTGCCACTGCCCTCCAGCCTGGGCAACAGGGCGAGATTCTGTCTAAAAAAAAACAAAACAGGCCAGGCACAGTGGCTCACACCTGTAATCCCAGCACTTTGGGAGGCCAAGGCGGGAGGATCGCGAGGTCAGGAGTTCAAGACCAGCCTGGCCAAAATAGTGAAACCCCGTCTCTACTAAAAATACAGAAATTAGCCGGGCATGGTGGTGTGCGCCTGTATTCCCAGCTACTTGGGAGGCTGAGGCAGGAGAATCACTTGAACCCAGGAGGTGGAGGTTGTAGTGAGCCGTGATCTCGCCGCTGCCCTCCAGCTTAGGCAACAGAGTGAGACTTCGTCTCAAAAAAAAAGCCAAAAGAAAACCTTATGTAAAATGTTTGCCTTGCAGGCCTTTAGTGCTATACCTAGTCAGGTCACTTATCTTCTGGGACACTATCTCCTTGTTTTCCATTGTTTATTTTCTCCACATCCTTTGAGATCAACATACAGAAATCAACTATATTTCTATAACTTTGCAATGGACAATCTGAAAATGAAATAAGAAATAATTGCATTTGTGAATAGTATAAAAAAATCCATAGAAATAAATTTAACCAAAGAATTGCAAAATTTGTGTTGTGAAAACTACAAAACGTTGAAAGAAATTAAAGAAGACCTAAAGAAATGGAAAGATAGCCTATATTCATGGATTGGAAGACAGAGTTTTGTTAACATGGCTATGCTCCCCAAATTGGTCTACACCCAGTCTCTATTAAACACAGTGTCTATTAAGATTCCAGCTGGCTTGGTGCAGAATCGACAAGCAGATTCCACAATACATATGGAAATGCAAGAGGCATACAAAAGCAAAAACAGACGTGGAAAAGAACAAAGCTGAAGAATTCACACTTCCCAGTTTCAAAACTCACCAAAAAGCTGGAGTAATTAGGGCAGTGTGCTACTGGCAAAAAGACATAAAGAGAAACATCTTTGTTAACTACCTCAAGAGGTCAGCTTCACAATTTAGCGCTGGACTGCTAGCTTCTCAGATAATCAGCCTTAAGGAGTTTCCCCTCTTCATTATAACTTTTCTTTCAATTTGGGGGAAAAAAAACTACATGTAAATAATGCAAAATAATACAGAACAGTGTGAAGCAGAGTCAGGATTCCCATCTCTCCATCAAGTGTATTTCTTTCTAGTGTATGTTTGATTTCTAACTGACTTTAAAAATCATTTTGTGGGGCCAGGCATGATGGCTCACACTTGTAATCCCAGCATTTAGGGAGGTCTGCAGGTAGGAGGATTGCTTGAGCCCAGGAGTTTGAGATCAGCCTGGGAAACATAGCAAGACCCCATCTCTACACACACACGAGGTTTTGCCATGTTGGCCAGGCTGGCCTCGAACTCCTGACCTCAGATGATTGGCCGCCTCGGCCTCCCAAAATGCTGAGATTACAGGCATGAGCCACCACTCCTGCTTCACAAACTCCATTTTGCCTTTGGCAGAGGACGTGTTTTCTTTCTTCATGCCCTCTGGATATGATAGAGGTCCCCAAGCTTTTCCTGGCTACCACTTGCTCTGACCTTATACATGTTGGGTTTTGCTCTTAAAGAGGACAGCAGGAAGAAAGGTTGGTTTCAGAAACCAAGAGGGTTGGCAGTGGATGTGTAGATTTTGTCACGGAGTCCGCAGAGCTCAGCTTTTGAACCTCTGAGAAGTTTCATTTCTTGTGCAGAAAGAGTACACTTGAATTCAAGTTTGCCTTTAGAATTGCACTGAATAAAATACTGCACACTAAAGGAAAGCTTATTTTCTGCATGGTTGTCTTTTCAAAGACAATATTCGAAGCATGTTTCCTAGAGATTGTGTGGATGAGGGTGAGCTGGCTGAGGCATCACTCAAGCTAGGGGTGGTGTGTAAGAAGCACGAGGAGCCACAAGAGGCACCTCCTATAGTCAGCTAAGGGCTTCCCTTTCTGCGCCCAGCTTTTGGTTGAAGGGTGAATTTTTTTTTTTTTTTTTTTTTTTTTTTGAGACGGAGTTTCGCTCTTGCCCAGGCTGGAGCACAACGGCACGATCTCAGCTCACCACAACCTCCCTGGTTCAAGCAATTCTCCAGCCTCAGCCTCCCGAGTAGCTGGGACTACAGGCATGCACCACCACGCCTGGCTAATTTTGCATTTTTAGTAGAGACGGGGTTTCTCCATGTTGGTCAGGCTGGTCTTGAACTCCCGACTTCAGGTGGTCTGCCTGCCCCGGCTCCCAAAGTGCTGGGATTACAGGCGTGAGCCACCACGCCCGGTGAAGTGTGATTTCTATTAGACGAATCTGTGGTTCAGTCATGGATGTTAATAGAGGAACCTGTTTTCCTGCTACAGATTCCTGAGTAAAATTGCTGTAAGAGTCCACTTCTGGACTCAGGGCAAGTCGAAGACCAGTCTATGTAGAAAGGCTGAGGCAACTGGGAAAGACCTGACAGCTAGTTACATATATTCTGACATAGTCCCCCCATAATGGCTTTTAGTGACACATGTGCTGATAGAATTCTAAACCTCTAGAATTCCCCTGCTGGTGATGCTGGTGTCTTCTTTTGTGCTTGACTGTACAGGGTAAACTGATGCAGAATGCTGCAAGTGTGATGAGAGCTAGAACGCTGTGAAAACTCTTGCTAGGAAGGTTGGGCTCGGTGTGACTTGCTCCAGTAGGAATCCTGGGTAGAGATTTTTAGCTGCAATTAAACGGTACATCCAGAGCCAAGGGTGACTCTCAACTCAGGTAGTTCTACAGGTCAGGTGTGAATTTACCAAATCTCCCAATTTGTTTATTTGTTTTGTTTTGTTTTGTTTTTTTAGAGGAGGGTCTCGTTCTGTCACTCTGGCTGGAGTGCAGTGATCACAGCTCACTGCAGCCTCAAACTCCTGGGTTCAAACAATCATCCCACCTCAGCCTCCCAAAATACTGGGATTACAGACATGAGCCATTGTATTTAGCCAAATCTCCCAATTTAGAAACTCCTCTGTAAAGGGTTTGGGTCTGAGCTATATGTTTGGTCTTTTTTGTTTGTTTTGTTTTGAGACGGGGTCCCACTCTCTTGCTCAGGCTGGAGTGCAGTGTCACAATCTTGGCTCACTGCAACCTCCACCTCCCGGGCTCAAGTGATCCTCCCACCTCAGCCTCCTGAATAGCTGGGACTACAGGGGCACACCACCATGCCCAGCTAATTTTTCTGGGGGTGGGGTGGGGACTTTCTATAGAGACAGGGTCTTGCCATGTTGCTCAGACTGGTCTTGAACTCCTGAGCTCAAGCAATCTACCTGCCTTGGCCTCCCAGAGTGCTGGGATTACAGGCATGAGCCAAAGCACCCAGCCCTGAGCTGTATGGTACTTCAAACTGCCAACACGCCAGCCCCGGACACTCTGATTGGTATTCTTTTAATTCATCAGACTCCATGTGCAATAAATGACTGAGTGTTGAAACTGTTCTTTTTTGTTTGCCCAGTCGGTAGATGGCCACTTTTTGTAACTTTTTTTTTCATTCAGGTTTCTATTTTTATTCAACTATAAGCAAACAGCACAATTAATGCAATGTTCAGCAACTCCAGACCAGCTTTTCTTACTCCCGTGAAGAATGATCAGTTTAACAAACACCGATCTAAGGTTTCCTCCCAAGCTGTCAGCGAGCGCTGCTGCCGGTCTAGATGGCCATGTCCCAACAACAGCAGCGCCACTCTCCCTCCTGCTTCTTCCAGGATTGCTCTTTAAAGGGACCAGAGCGACATACTGATGCCTATTGAGGCATCTGAGATGCACCGTGTTGGGGGTTAGCCTCAATGCCAGCCTCTGGTTGTCTAGGTGAGTGACATCACCATAAAAACACATTGTGTACCATTCTGGACTCAGGATCACAAAGGCAGAGGCAACCAATCTTTTTTTTTTTAAAACCTTCCTTAAAGATTCTTTGATGCTTTGCTCTATCACTGTAGACCTGGTTTTTTCCCCCTAGTTTTTTCTTTTTTACATTCTGGGTTGCTATTTTCAGATTAACAATTTGATGACCCCATCACAGTACCAAAATATCCCCCAAAATGAAGTTCAAATTTGATCAAAACATAAATCAGAGTGAGTGAGTAAAATTATAAAGGCCAGGCAGCAGGAAAAGTCACCCTCAACCACCATCTGACTGGTCAGGTCTCACCTGTGCCAAGGGGGGCAGGAAGAGGAGAAACCTATTATACATGCAACACTGAACTGGGGAACATGGCTTGGGGCCTCCAGAACAGTTCAGGTCCCCAAGCTAACCCACTAGTTCCCAGAGAGTTGCTCGTACAGTTTGGGCACATAGTCGTCCCACTCAGCCTGGTAACACGTGCCAGCCACCGGGGCCCCGAGCTCGTACTTTTTACGGAAGGACACCACCTCAAATTTGCCACGGTGGTCTCCAGATCGGTTGCTGAGGATGGGCTCGTCACACTTTAGTGGCCTGTCCTGCTCATAAACCAGCCAGACATAGCGGTGGAGACCTGTGCCCTTGGGAGGCCCCGAGCCCACATAATCGGAGAGGAGTGTGTCACTGCTGATGTCATTGCCCTTCATGTTGACCACCAGGAAATGATGCCATTCTCTGTATTTGGGATCCTTCCTGCTGGGAGCATCAGGGTCTGTCAGGACCAAGGTGTAGAGCTTCCCTGAATCAAGACCATCCCACTAAATGCTGGTGGGTCTATTCTTAACCTGGGTGGGCGTCAGCACTTTGCCCAGCTCGTCCACCACCGCCCGGGCGTAGGTGACATGCAGCAGGTGCTGTGACCGCTCGTCCATTTCTCGCAGGCTCAAGGGCCCGGACCACTTGCTGAGGTCCACCGGCATGGCAAGGCCAAGCAGAGCATGCAGCCGGGAGTGCCGCGGTAGGCCAGGTGCGGGCGGCAACAGCGACATGGAGAGCTCAGCACACTGGCCTGGGAAGGCGCAGACCCCACTTTTTGTAACTTTATAATTACTTAATTTTATTTTTTTAAAGCTTATTTTGGTGTTATTCAGTATATAGTGTTTTACTGAGCTTCTGCAAATGCCATCACAATAATAGTTTTGTTTTCTTGAACAAAAAACCAAAATAAATTTCAAATGTTAAAGCAATGGAATCAATAAATTTATTAATGTTACATTAACACGAACTACAAAGAGACCTTTCGTATGTCTGATACCAAAGACATAACTGAAAAGTCATTTTTCCAAACCTTGAGCTTGCATTCACCTACCTGTCTAACCCTCACATGTGCTAATTAACTGCAAATGCCATTTCTGGGCTTCACACACATTCCGTGGCTTTCCCTTTTCTGATGTGACTTCCCTCCCTTACCCCACACCTCCCTGCACTGTCCCCTGCTGTGCCCTTGGCTGGAATGCCCTGCAGCCTGCTTCAGCCCAGCAAAGTATTCATCTTACCAGTCCATGCCCTGACTCCTGATGTCACCCTTCCCTGCATCACCCTTCCCTGTGTATTTGGTGGATAAGGCTTGATTGAGGCTCAGGTACTGAGTCCCTGCTGGCACATTGAGAACCAGCTGCCACCCCGATGATAAGGAAGACAGACCCGGGACTTCCATATGAATTGGATATGATCATCTGACATGCACCCTACTAACTGATGGATCCTGCTGTTACCCCAAAGCTCCAGAACCACACTGGCCAGACACAGGCATTTCCTGTCCCCTGAAGAGCCACTGAACCCAGCACAAAAGAGATCTAGAGCTCTCCAAACCTATGGAATGGCAACCAAAACCACGCCCAGGTTTTGAGTTAAGCCTCATTAGTCTCCCTTTTCCCTTGACAGTGTAGAACTGTGCAGCGTAGCACTAAATGAATGAGAGCAGAAGCCTCAGGACAGAACTGAACCCACCAGGTTGAGCTGACAACACTGCCAGGGGTTCTATCCACAGATGGAATATTCGCTTTGATCACTGAGTTAGGAGGCATGGGTGAGGGATGCAGAGCGCCGCTCGTCATGAGACATCAAGCTATCCAAGTCAATATCCTATTAGTAGGGATGGCATGTTATAAAAGGCGTAAAGATCTCACCTGCCCCAGCTGGAAGCAGTGATTCCATTGCCCCAGATTCGGAATTGTGATTTAAACTAGGCCTCTCTTCAGGCATCAGAACCAAATTAGAGTGCTTTATACGTGCAAGGAACTAATGCAGAAAGACATTATGGGTAAGTCAAGGGAGATGCCCCAGCCATTGGGCAAATTCCTCTGACTCCTCCCTGATGGAACTAATTCTTTTTCTTCTGTGCCCGGATCCTAGAATCAAGATTCTTAAGGTCTGAGTACAAGTTCCGCTTCAGGATGGCGCTGCTGCACAGCAGGGCACCTTGCAGGGCCCCGACCAGTCCACAGGTGAAGATATCCTGGCCTAGGAGGCAAGAGCAGAGGCCCCTGAGCGTGCACCCAGGCAGGCCCAGGGGAGGGTGGGGCCTTGGTGCTCTTCCCTCCACATGAGGGCCACCCAGAGCTGGCTCCAATCAGACAGGGGCCACAGCCTGCCCAGGCAGCCCTGCTCAGGGGATGGGAGGCTGCAGGGGACAGCAGGGCCTGAGGGCAGGAACAGAGGACGTTGGGCGACAGGGGCCCAGGGTCTCAGGTCCTGACAACATGGGGCAGTGAGTATACCTGTCAGATAGAGGTTGGGGATGGGGCTCTGGGCCCTCAAGGAGGCCATCACACAAGGGTGCAGGCGGCCCAGGTCATGGTCAGCCCCGTAGCAGGCACCTCGGGGAGCAGCCAGATAGAACTGGTTGGTGAGTGGGGATCCTGCAGTCACACTCTCCACCTGAGGGCAGAAAGGGTGGGGCAGGCATGTGAGATCCTGGCTCCCCTCCCTCTTCCACTCTTTCCCATTCACTGACTGCAGGGATGGGTGCCCTGTCCTTCCCTGGGGCTCATGTCTTGGGGCCTGATTCCCCTGTCTCAAGGAAAGGGCAGAAACAGCACCGTGAGGTTCGTCACCACCCCAAATACTTTACCCCCTACCTTCCCCTCCAGCTGTGGGAACAGTTTCAGGACCACTGACATAGAGGCTTCCACAAAGGAGTTTTTGAAGGTCTCATAGTCACTGCCCCGCTTTCCCTTCAGCTCCGCCTGCCACTCCTCAAACCACTCGTAGGCAGTGGGTATGAGCATGATCATGGTGGACCGGCCTGGGGATCAGAGCTGATATTACTACTGCCCGGCCTCTCCCTCCACCCCCTCACCCGGGACGTGCAGCCCCACCTGGGAATCGGTCCTCCCAGGTCGGATCTTTGGCTGATGGGAAAGCGAAGAAGAGAAGAGGGATGTGTTCCGCAGCCTCTTCCCTGGGCATGGAGACGTAGCGCTCCATCCTGCATGTGACAAGAGTGTGGTGGGATCTCCAGGTTTTTGTCCTCAAAACCCCAGAACCACTGCAAGGACTGCTTATCCCTAGGGACTCCCCACAGGGGTGAAGCTGAGCCACAGCCTTGGCGTGACAAACTTCCAGGAGCAAATTAGAAATTGCCTACTTCCTCCCATTCCATAACCTCTGCTCATTCTCTGAGTCAAGCAGGGAGGCACGGGCCACACACATACACACACACGTGCACCTTACGCCTGGTCCATGTCCGTGTCATAGTAAACATAGTAGTTGGTGGACGGCAGATGCAGGTCTTCCTTGGTGCCTCGCAGGCAGATGAAAACAGAGGTCATGCCTAAGCCGGGCCGCACCGTCCCCAGTTGCTGCTTCACACCTGCCAGGGGGAGTGGTTGGTGCCTGTGTGGACCATGGCCGGAGACGGCCACTCCTTGCTCCCAGGAGAGCCTTGGGGTGCCAGCTCTGGCACCTGCCTGAGGCATGCCGGGCCCCTGGCCACTCTGCTTCCTTCATTTAACTAAATATTTTTGAGGCCTTCAGATCGTGTTCAGGAGGAAAATTCATAGACAAGGGAAAATTGTAACCAGACAGTGAGAGGGGGGCGGGAGGGACAGATGACTGTAGCAGGGCTGCCTGGCCAGGACAGTGTCAGTTCCCAGAGGTCCTGGGACAGGGGAGAAGGGAGGTCAGGGTCACAGAGAGAAAGGTAGGAAGTAGCAAAGGCAGAGTCTGCCTGTGCACCAAGCCCGACCTCCCTGCTCTGCCCCTGGGCCATCTCTGCCTCACCCCTTCAGCTCCTGAGAGTCTGAGAGAGGGGAGGCCGAGCAGGCTGCAGGCTCAGCCACGCAGGGTGAAGGAAGGAGAGGCTGGCGCTGGTGAAATCACCCTATGCCCTGGAGACAATCACAACTGCCTTACCACCCAGTCCCCATGCGGAAAGCCAGGACCTCGCTTTACCCCCCAGCCCGCTCTGCTGTCCCCTTCCCCGGCTCCTCAGGGAGCAGCTCCCGGGCCCACCCTCTGGGGTCAGGGCTCCTTCCCCTGCTCTCTAGCTCCTGCACCAGTCAAGGTTTCCGCCATACCATATCCGGAGCTACTCCATGCTCTCCAGCTCCCGCCCCATCCTGAGTCCTTCATCTGGGCCCCTCTCTCTCACCCCTGCTGGGTTACTGGTCCCCTCTTCCCAGCGGCCTCCCTTCCTCAGATCCAGTTACATGAAGGTGGCGGGACCTCTTAGCTGCGTTGGCTCGGCGGCTCTGCTCCCTGTGGGCTGCCTGCTCTCCTGCTTCTCTTCCTGAGGCCTCTTCTCTGGAAGCCCCCTCAGCCCAGAAGGGTGGGAGGAGCGGAGCTTTCAAATCAGACCAGCTACTCTGCTCAGCCCTGCCCCTTTCAGCTGAGTGGCCTCAGGACTGTAATTAATCTGTATGGGCCTCAGTTTCCCCAACATTAAATGCTAGGGTTAGGATGATGTTAGAGGTAGCGTTCTCACCTTGTTGCTTAAGGACAATCAGAGGGCCGGCCAAGAAGAGGAGAAGCATGACCCACACGGAGCAGGTTGGCTCCAGAAGGGGACACATTGGGGAACCTGCAAGAGGGGCAGTGCAGACCCGCCTTTTACCTGGCAGGCAGCGGGCGTTCCCCGGCAGTAGGTGTTCATAGGTGTTGAACAGTCCTGCGTTGGAGACCACGATGGGGCAATAGATGTTCACCAGCTCATGCCCCTTCTTCACACTGACACCTGCAGGCACAAGAGCTTGGCTGAGGGTCTGTGAGCTCTGGGATGAAGAGAAAGGCCCACGGCCCCCATGGATCTCTCTCTGCCTGTGCCCATTTCTCAGACCTTGGAGTCCAGCTACCTAGACTCAGGCAGGGCAGGCCCCTGGGAAAATGCACAGTGAGTGAGTATCTTCAGGTGCTTTCACACTATCCTACAACTGCTTGGGCTTACTTTCCCTAGCTCTGTACCCACCTGTGTGTGTGTATGTTTGTATGTACTCTGTGTTTGAGCCAAATCCCAGACAAAGCTCAAGGGCTAAAGACCTTCCACTGGAAATCCAGGCCCTTTTCTCTGCTGCCAGAGTTGTTTCCAAATACTCTTTAATACCCTCCAATCGGGGCTAGGCACAGTGGTTCATGCCTGTACTCCCAGCGCTTTGGGAGTCTGAGGTAAGAGGACTGATTGCTTGTGTACAGGAGTTCAAGACTAGCCTGGGCAACATAGTGAGACCCTGTCTCTATAGAACAAAAAAATTTAAATTAAGCTGTATGGAGTTGTGCACACCTGTAGTCCTATCTCCTCAGCCAGAGGAATGGGTTCAGCCCAGGAGTTAAATGCTACAGTAAGCTATGATGACACTACTGCACTCTAGCCTGGGCAAAAGAGTGAGACCGTGTATCTAAAAAAAATGAATGAATGAATGAATGAATAAAATAAAAATAAAACCCTGCAATGATGCCTCATCCTGGATAAGAGAACCTCCAAAATCTTACAGCAGCCTGTGCAATGTGGTCCCTTCTGTGTGTCCAGCTCCATCCGTCTCTGGTCACTCTCACTAAACTCCCACTAAACTATTAGGCAGAACCAATATCAAACAGCTGAGAGTCAACCATTTCTTACCTACAAAAATGGCAGTTTCTTATTGTTCGACCTAATACTTCTGGATGCCTGAAAACACCCAGCTCTTTCATATCTCCACACCTTTGCACATGCTGCTTCCCATTCCTGGAATATTCTCCAACCTCATCTGCTTGCTAGCTTCATCTCACCCTTTATTACTCAGCTCCAACACCTGTGCCTCCAGGAGGCTTCCCCTGTTCCACCGTGCTGTCTGTTATCCCCATCCTTAGCACACGCCTCCAGATGGCAAGTAAATGAATGCTTTTTCTTTTTTAAGATGAAGCCTCGCTCCGTTGCCCAGGCTGGAGTGCAGTGGTTCAATCTCAGCTCACTGCAACCTCCGCCTCCCAGGTTCAAGCAATTCTCCTATCCTGGCCTCCAAGTAGCTAGGATTACAGGCTCCCAGCACCGTGCCTGGCTAATTTTGGTATTTTTAGTAAAGACAGGGTTTCACTATACTGGCCAGGCTGGTCTCGAACTCCTGACCTTGTGATCCACCCACCTCGGCCTCCCAAAGTGCTGGGATTACAGGCGTGAGCCACTGCGCCTGGCCCTGGCTAATTTTTGTATTTTTAGTAAAGACAGGGTTTCACTATGTTGGCCAGGCTGGTCTCGAACTCCCAACCTCAGGTGATCTGCCTGCCTTGGCCACCCAAAGTGCTGGGATTACAGGCATGAGCCACTGCGCCCGGCCTCTTTTATCTCTATCTTTTATTACCTAGCACTTGAAAAACAAACAAATATATCTGGATTGTATTTAACTCAACTGATACCTTGCTTCCTGGACCCCTTTCAGCTGAAAGGAGAACTTGTTCATGGACATCAGAGAAAACCTTGCCCAACCAACAGCCACCTCTCTCTTACCACCCGGTAACTTATCAGTCTCTCCTACTAATGGATTCTCTCAGATCACTGATGGCCTTTTCTCCTTCATTTTTCATTTTGCACTGGGCCCCCCACTTATCACCTCCTTGAAAGGTTCCTCTGATAAATGCATGTCTACATTAGCCCAGTTTTTCCCAGGCCTCTTTTTGTCTGCTTCCCTGGCTTCTTTAAGCACCCATTAGTCATAGATGGCCTATTCTGTTTAACAGAGTCCTTCTTGCACAGACCCTCTATTCCAAGAGTTCATTTATACTGGGATTCTGAGTCCCTATGCGGGTTACAGCATCAACCTGAGCCAGGGTAATAACGTTCTGGGCCCCACTTTACAGATAGAGGCAGGGAACCTTGCTGGCCTCCATACTATCCTGTGGAATCCAAGGTTACTCATTCATTCTATTGGCCACTGAACAGCATTTATTGAGCCTCTAATATGTGCTAAGATTTATAGATACAAAGATAAAAGACAGTCTCTACACTCAAGAAGATAGTCGGCTGGTCTCCGTGCCTGACGCCTGTAATCCCAGCACTTTGGGAGGCCAAGGTGGGCGGATCACAAGATCAGGAGATTGAGACCATCCTGGCTAACACATGGTGAAACCCCATCTCTACTAAAAATACAAAAAATTAGCTGGGCGTGGTGGCGGGCACCTGTAGTCTCAGCTACTCGGGAGGCTGAGGCGGGAGAATGGCATGAACCAGGAGGCGGAGCTTGCAGTGAGCCGAGATCACACCACTGGACTCCAGCCTGGGCAACAGAGCGAGACTCCAACTCAAAAAAAAAAAAAAAAAAAAAGAAGACAGTCATAGATTACTGGGTAAATAATTTTATCTATTAAATAAATAAATAAATACTGTTCTTTGGGGACCATGCAATCCTTTATTTTTCTTTTCTTTTCCTTTCTTTTTTTTTGAGATGGCGTCTCGCTCTGTCGCCCAGGCCGGAGTGCGGTGGCGTGATCTCAGCTCACTGCAACCTCTACCTCCTGGGTTCAAGCAATTCTTCCGCCTCAGCCTCCCAAGTAGCTGGGACTATAGGTGCGTGCCACCATGCCCAGCTAATTTTTGTATTTTTAGTAGAGACGGGGTTTCACCGTATTGGCCAGGCTGGTCTCGAACTCCTGACCTTGTGAGCTGCCCGCCTCGGCCTCCCAAAGTGCTGGGATTACAGACGTGAGCCACCATGCCCGGCCATATTTTTGTTTTTTTTTTTTTAAAGAGACAGGGTTTAACCATGTTGCCCAGGCTGATCTCAAATTCCTGAGCTCAAGTGATCCTCCCATCTCAGCCTCCCAAAGTGCTGGGGTTACAGGCTTGGACCACTATGCCCGGCCAATCCTTTATCTTTCCTGCTTCCTTTTTATTTCTGGACTAATCACTATCCCTGGACCCTGCTCTGGGGCAGATTCTCACCTTTAGCCTCCATGAGGAGGTCAGTTCTCCTACTCCTTCTGGTCTCAGGGAGACCCCAGGTCTCGCCCACACCAACCCAGGGACCCAGAAGGGCAGGGCGGGGCAGGGCTCTCACCACAGGCTTTCCCAGCTGAGTCCAGCAACACACTCTGCACAGTGGCCTTTGTGAGGACAGCGCCCCCAGCCCGCTGAATCACAGGGATGGTGTGGAAGGCAATTTCACTGGAACCCCCTCGGGGATAAAAGCCTCCTTTCATGTAGTGGTTGACCAGCAGGGCGTGCATGGAAAAGGCACTGTGGTTGGGGGTGACACCTGCAGAAGCAAGGAAGGGTGGTGAGCTGGCAAGAGAAGGCACCAGCACCATTCAGAAAGGAACGTGGAATTCTGTGAGATAACACACAGCCCAGTCTATCCGAGGAACCACATGTTCCTCAGGGTCCAAGGCAGCCAGAGGAGCCTTTCCATCTAGACATGGGGTACCTTAGAGATCTTGGCGCCAGTAGGAATACCCCCCCTGCAAACTGCCATGCTGCCAAGACCAAGGAGGATAGTGTTGCTTGAATTGAAAAATCATCCAAGGCATGGATGAACAGAATTTTGACCAAGGAGTCCAGCAGGTGGCCAGACTTCTCATCCACAAGCTCCAGAGGGCCTGGGGTTTACACTGCTCCATATCAGTCAGCCAGGCAGGGTCGAGAAGAAAGATTGAGAGATGAGAGGGCAGCCGTTCCTCCTCCAGAAGCTGCCCAGAGCCCAGGCCCAGTACCCACCGTAAGTGGGGAAGATGTAGCTGAGTACTGCCTGGAGCTCAGAGGAGGCCCCCAGCTGCTGCAGGACCTCAGCCAGGCTCTGGGTGGATGCTTGAAGGAATGGAGAGAAACGAGTCAGCAGCCCACACCTGTCGAGGAGCTGAACCACGGGCAATGGGAGGAATTTCAACAGGATGGCATGAGGGGCTCCACTGGATACCACCTGGGGGAGTGAATGAGGACAGCAGGCCTCACCTCTAGAACCGCTTTGACAGAACTGCTATCCCCATAGCCTGGACCAGCCCAAGAATCCAGCAACACTTACCCCTGACTGAACTTTGCTGAATTTGAATATTTTTAAAAAATCTATACTCTGTGAATTTTTCCCATCCTACACTCGGATGAGTCCTTTTTTTGCTTTTAATTTTCCTGCTCAAATTCCTTTTCAAAAATCCCAATCTGGTCTCGGATGCAGTAAAAAGGAGTAGTGATCTGATGTCATGGAAGCCAGCCTAGTCAGGGAGGAGAGCAGGGCATCCCCAGAGGCCAGGGTGACAGCAGCAGCCGTGGAGCCAAGGCTCCAGAGAGAGAGAGACAGAGAACTGGATGGACTTGGGTGGAGGCTGAGCTAAGAACAGATGTGACTCTTCCTCCCTTCCTGCCTCCCGCACTGCACTCTCCACCCCCAGTGCCTCCACTAATAATAAAGAAACCCAGCCTTATCGAGAACAAACTCTGGGTCCTCAGCATGTCCATGTTACCTTAACCAGCTTTATATACTTGTCAATGATAGCTTCCTCCTGTGGAAACTTCTCCTTGAGGCCCTGAATGTAGGCTTTCTCTCCACTGTACATGGGGTACTCCTTTCGGCCATTGGGCCCTTCCAGTACCATGATGTCAAAAGGAGAGGACAGGGGAGCCCAGTCCAGCTGCCCTTCAGTGATCTGGTCCAAGATAAAACGGCCAATGCTGCCCTCTTCCATACGCCCAATGTAATGGATTCCTGTTGGGAGATGGAAAAACAAGGTAGTAAAGGGATATGGGGATTGAGCCCTGGAAAGGTGGCTGAGGAAGTGAGGTGGAAGAGTTTATCTGGCCTGGCCAAGTTCACGCCCAGAGTGAGCTGCTCACTCTGTCTGTAGGGAGGTGTCACAGCAGAAACCGCCAGATCGCTGCCCGATTCAACTCCCAGTAGCTATGCTGTCACATAAGAAAACTGCCCAGAGGCTGGGCACGGTGGCTCACACCCATAATCCCAACACTTTGGGAGGCAGAGGGAGGTGGATCACTTGAGGTCAGGAGTTCGAGACCAGCCTGGACAACATGGAGAAACCCCATCTCTACTAAAATACAAAAAAATTAGCGGGGTGTGGTGGCCCACTTGGTGGGATTACTGAGTGTAATCCCAGCCACTCGGGAGACTGAGGCATGAGAATCACGAACTCAGGAGGCAGAGGTTACAGTAAGCTGGGATCACACCACTGCGCTCCAGCCTGGGTGATGAAGTGAGACTCTGTCTGAAACAAACAAAGAAAAAAAGTACCCAGAGAGAAGATGGCACTTCCAAAACAACAGAAATGCTCAGTATCACCCCACAAGGGCTGCTCCAAGCCTCTTCAACATACAGCCATGCTCCCAACCCTTTTCCACACAAGCCTTACCTGTGTCAAATTCAAGGCCATTCTTTCCAAAGGTATGACAGCAGCCCCCTGCCTTGGTATGTTGTTCCAGCACCAGGACTCGCTTGCCAGCTTTAGCTAGAATTGCAGCTGCAGCCAGGCCCCCAAAGCCACTGCCAATTACCACCACATCCAGCTTCTCCGGCACTTGGTTGGCTGAAAAAGCTACAGCAGAAGGGCCAAAGGGTGGGTTTCTCAGGCAGGGGCAGGGAAATAGCAAAGATAGGGAAACCAAAGAAGACTTCTCTAGCTTGTACAGTGCAAGAAACCTCTAGAGTGGTTTGGCACAGAACTCTTGACTAACATGTTTCAAACATTTTACCTGGGAATACTCAGAACCAGCCAGGCAGATTTGGGGTTTTGCTTATTTGTTTTTTGAGACAAGGTCTCACTATGGCCCAGGATGAAGTGCAGTGATGTGATCACAGCTCACTGCAGCCTTGAACTCCTGGCCTCAAGCAATCCTCCTGCCTCTGGTTCCCGAGTAGCTGGGACTACAGGTGCATGCCACCATGCCGGGCCATTTTATTTTTATTTTTATTTTTATGTGTTTAATTATTTTTTAAGACGGAGTCTCACTCTGTCACCCAGGCTGGAGTGCAGTGGCGCAATCTCCGCTTACTGCAAGCTCCGCCTCCTGGGTTCACATCATTCTCCTGCTTCAGCCTCCCGAGTAGCTGGGACTACAGGTGCCCACCACCACGCCCGGCTAATTTTTTTTTTTAATATTTTTTAGTAGAGATGGGGTTTCACCATGTTAGCCAGGATGGTCTCGATCTCCTGACCTCGTGATCCGCCTGCCTCGGCCTCCCAAAGTGCTGGGATTACATGCATGAGCCACCGCGCCCCGCCTATTTTATGTTTTATAGAGCCAAAGTCTTGCTATGTTGCCCAGGCTGATCTTGAACTCCTGGCCTCAAGTGATCCACCCACCTCGGCCTCCCAAATTGCTGGGATTACAGGCATGAGCCAACACACCAGCCCACAAGCCGGGTTTCTTTGGAAGATGCAGGGTCTGCAAGCAATAGTGGAATAGCTGGGTCTTATGGTGGCTCTTCCAGGTCCTGATGAAAAGGCTTGGGCAGGACAGAACTGCTCAGAGGCTGCAGCTCTGAGAAATCACAGCACCAGCCCCTCCCATAGGGAAGGTCTGGGGGCAGTGCTGAGGGAGGCAGCACCTTCTCAGAAGACAAAACTGGATAGCAAGTGGTGCTATATGGGTACTTCCGACACAAGATCTGTTCTTTAACAATCACTGGCAAAGAACTGAGATCTGGGATGTTTCAAGATACAAGAGAACTTGGCAAACTGCTTATTTTTTTAATGTTTTTAGAGAGATCAATAGTAAAAAAAAATTTCACATGTAAGTATATAAGATAAATACATGAAACAAGTGTCACAATGCAATACTTAGTGGAACTATGTATAATGCACTCTGATATTTTCTATTCTACTGCATTCTAAAATACTAGTTGTGGCCAGGCGTGATGGCTCACGCCTGTAATCCCAACACTTTGGGAGGCCGAGGTGGGCGGATCGCTTGAGGCCAGGAGTTCGAGAGCCTTGACAACATGGTGAAACCCTGTCTCTACTAAAAATACAAAAATTAGCTGGGCATGCCCACTACTCGGGAGGCTGAGGCAGGATAATCACTTGAACCCAGGAGGCGGAAGTTGCGGTGAGCGGAGATCGCGCCACTGCACTCTAGCATGGACAATAGAGCGAGACTCTGTTTCAATAAATAAATAAATAATGCCAGTTGCAACTCACTAAATTGATTTCATAGCCCACTAATAGATCACAATCCGGTTTGAAAAGCAGTTAAGCTAGTCATCTCATTTTTAGACCAGCCCAGGTAGGTGCTAATGGTTATGCAGCAAATTAGTGACAGAGTCCAAGCTAAAACTCAGTTCTCAGAAGTCCAGATGATTAGTCCTTCCACTTAGAACAGTACTGTCTCCGATTGTGTAGCAAGATATGACACGGAGAATTCTAAAATTTACAAGTGAGAGGGACTCCGTAGATCAAACAGGTGATCCATTATTTTTTAAAGCAGCAGAACTCTTTAAACTCTAGAAGCAACCACAAAATATGTTTTAAAGATGAGAGTGGAGAGCAGGCTCTGAGCCTGAGGCGCCTTGTTGAACCTCTGCCAATGTTTCAGAACTAGGGTTCAATCCTTACGATTTGGGACCATGCAAAGCCTGTTAAATCACCGGACGGGCAAAACGCAATTTCCTACGCATTTCTGTGCTGCTCCCCCACACCCCTGAGCTCGCATGGGAGGGTAGGTGAAAAAGTTAAGGTCCTGGAACCAAGTGGAGGAATGAGTCACGGGGATTATCAGTTCCACGAGCCACGGGGATTACAAGTGGCAGGGCGGGTGCCAACACCTTGCAAACCAAGGACAATGACCACACCCTTGGGACTACTATTCCCGGGGCCTACTAGGGCAAAGGCTATCGACAGTGTTGCACACTAAAGCGGGGCTCCTCCACGTGCAAGGAAGCCCTCCTAGTACTTTACATATGGGGAAACTAAGGCCCACGTCTGGTAGCGGCTGCCTTGGCAAAATGAGAACCCAAATCTGTGAGAAAGCCTCGAGTGCAGCCCCGGACCCCAGGGTCCCTCCTGCTACCTTGTTTGAGAACCTTCTTCCTGGCCTCCTTGTCAGTTACCAGGGGCGCTGGGGGCCGTTTGACATCTTCGGAGAAAGGATTCGGGGAGCTGCCAGAGAATAGTCCCAAGTAAACTTTGCAGAGGACGGCCAGCAGCAGCACAGCCAGGAGCAGCACCAGCGGAAGCCACATCACGCCGGCGTCGGGTCGGGTAAATGGGACAGCTCCGACTGCGCTCAGCCTCTAGGACTGTGGCTCCGCCCGGGCTAGTTCGCTCTCCAGTCAGGAGGCGGAGGCAGCTTTGAGCACTGATTAACCAGCCAGCCAGCGAAGAGCCAACTCTCAGGTGATGATTGACCCTCCCGGCTCTCCGTACTTCTTTTGGGTTTCCATTGCCTACTGGGAAATGTAGTTCTCGGGGCCAGGGGAGCCGGCACGGAAGCGGCTGTGCGCATGAGCAGATGAGGCCTAGCCGAGGCGGCGGGACCCCCAAGTTTGGAAAGCTCTTTTAACGGTGAGAACGCGTTAACACTTGCCAAGGGGAGTGGTTGGTGCCTGTGCGGAGCTAGCAGCCGGCCTGAGGAGGGAGGGAGAATGTGATCCGGTGGAAATTATCACTATGGGGCGAGACAAGGCCGAGAGTTGTAAGACTGAAAGAGAATCCCGACTGGGAGACAGGAGTCCTGAGTTCTGGTCCTGGCTCTGCCCTGGACTCGCTGCCTTGAGGTGTTAAATTGCTTTCCTCGTCTTACGCCTCCAGGCTATGCGAAAGTTCTGTCCAAAGGCTGCTCACAGCCCCTGTCTGACTGGTTGTCATGATGAATTGAGCTCTCTGTTACCTGCGCATCACAACCGGTGAGCGTCTGTCTCTGTGCCCCTCAAAGTGGCCCATAGTTTTGTCCTGGGGGCCCGCCTGGGACGGAGTCCTCTATGGCGGGTCCCTAATGACACCCCATCCGTGGGGAACCTGGGGGACGGGGAGCCGCCCATGGACAAGCATGGTGAAAGGATCAGCTAAGGGCCCATCTAATTTAAATTCCTATGCAGAGAATCTAACCTCCAGCAAGCAGTTGAAGAATCATACCCCCTCCTTGCCTAAAGAGGGTGCATAATGAATACTTGATTGGAGAAGGATCCATTTTTACAGGAAGGCCGTTTCCTTAGGTCCAACTATCAGGAATTTGCCTTTGAGTACTTCCTTGTTTAATGGAATTGTTGCTCTTTTCTTCTCTGCTACAGATAGTAACTGTCCCTACTGAAGGCCCCAGGAGTGCTCCAGCCAGGTGTGGAAAGCTGGTCACGATTCTATGCTACTTGGTTCATTTTCTACACAGCAACAGAAGAGCCCTCCTGAGATTGCTATTACCATACCCGCCTGTCACCTTGCCAAGGCTGGCCAATGTGTGTTTTGTCATAGGCTGTCATGGAGGCCATGATGGAGGAAAAGGAAAGGGGAGGCAGATGTTGAGGCCCCAGAGGCCACAGTGAGAGCAGTTTAGTTCCTGGGGTGCCAGGACTAAGGGGGCATTGCCCTGTCCCCCGGATTACAGTGAGCCACATGTCAAGCCCAAGAGCCAGGAGGTATTCTTCCTCTCAGTGTTAATAATCAAAGCATCCTGACACCAGCAGCCAGTTTTTATGGCATCCTGGAGGGCTGACCTCATAGAGAGGCTACCCTCCTTCCTTAGTCACCCAAAGTTGTGAACTATGATTGTCAGTTGTGTGTGGGCCATCTGCCCACTTAGGATGCAATTTTTGATGTGACAGACATTCCGGATGTCCAATTCCCCTGTGATGAGGTATGAGCCTTGTCCAGCCCTTTTCCTGAGGGAAGCAATGTCAGATGAAAGACTTAGAATTGCCCAAACTGGCTAGCCAGCTGCCACATGCACAGTATTGCTGATAACTGAGAAAGGTTAGAACATCGTGTTGCATTTTGAATTTCTACCATTGTTGGAACCAGGTCTAGTATTATAAGCCCCTGACCCAGCCTGTGTGTGAGGCCTAAACAAAGCCTGAGCACTTCAGCTAAGACCACCCACCAAGGTGACACCTTTAGCCTCACGCCTTTGATAAGCTGGCCCAGGTCCCAGTAACTCCATTGTCAGAAACAGACCCCATCCCTTCTAGTGGTGCTGCTGCCTTTTGGACACAGAATCCAGCTCACAGTCCCCTGTGTGGTCCCCTTTTGGCCATCCTGTGGCTTGGGTAGTAAGAGGTAAGCATTTGGCTGAGGCAAGTTGTTCATTCAGAATAAATTCACAGCTGCTTAAATTTTGTCAACAGGCCGAGCGTGTTGGCTCATGCCTGTAATCCCAGCACTTTGGAAGGCCGAGGCAGGCGGATCACGAGGTCAGGAGTTCAAGACCAGCCTAACCAACATAGTGAAACCCCATCTCTACTAAAAATACAAAAATTAGCAGGGTGTGGTGGCGCACGCCTGTAATTCCAGCTACTCGGGAGACTGGGACAGGAGAATCGCTTGAACCCGGGAGGCGGAGGTTGCAGTGAGCCGAGATCGCACGGCTGCACTCCAGCCTGGGCAACAGGGCAAGACTCCAACTCAAAAAAAAAAAAAAATTGTCAACAGAGGCATAACTGAATGGTGAAACCAGTTTTCTTTTTCAATTTCTTTTTTTTCTTTTGTGCAGAGCTGAGGCTTCGAAGACCTCAGAGGACTTCTCTCAGCACTCACAGAAACCTCCTACACCCTCGGATGGCACAAAGGGACTGTTTTCTTACTCTTAGTCTGAGTGACTGCCAAGGAAGGCAAAGGTAGAGCAACTGGATCTCTGGCTCTCCACATAGCTTCTGATCTCAGACCTTACTAAAATGCTTTCTGGGCCCAAGGACAAAGCTCACATGAACAAATGATTTTGAGTCATGAATGAAAAATCTTGCTCTTTCCATAGTAAAGAAGAATTAAGAGATGGACAGGTAAGCATGCACTCTTATTTGGGAAAGGTGGTGTTGGTTTGAGATATATCATTAAGTATAGTAAGAATATATTAAGAGAATATTTGGAAAAATTTAGAAACCCTCATTATAGTTCTCTTTGTTCTGTAAGAAGGAGCTTCTATTCACCTCAGGGTCAATTGCTTTTCCTAATAGCTTGTTTTGTAAGTGAGTTATGAGATTTTTGTTTTCTTTTTGCTTGGGTAGTGGGGAGAATTTCATTGAGGAATCACCCAAGAAATCTGTATTTCATTGATTTGGATCATTACCTTACTAGCCTCTTCCCTGTGAAACGCTTGCTTTGGCCTGATCATCCTCAGGACTCAGTTCAATGTGATATGTCTTTGTATGAGCCGGGCAGCTAACCCTACATGCCTTACCTTTCACACTACTTTGCCCACCCAAAAATGGTCTTAAATGGAGGCTGTGGGATTCAGTGGCCAGACTGGGACAAAGCCTTTGCTTTGGGTCTCCAGAAAGATTTTCTTCACTGTAGTAATATGCGAACTGTTCCAAAGAGGGAAGTCTTTGGACACTGGAGGGGACTGAATTGGAGAAGGAAAGGAAGGATGAAATGAATCTCAGGTACACAGATGCCTGCAGGAAGTTGTTCAGCACAATGAATCACCAAATATTTTAGAGATAAAATTTCAACAAAAATTTGAGAAATATATTTTGTGCTTAGTACTGTGCCAATGGTTGTGAAACATATAAAAGAAATATAAGAGCCTGGAGGCAGTGGCTCACGCCTGTAATCCCAACACTTTGGGAGGCTGAGGTGGGCAGATCACTTGAGGTCGGGAGTTGGAGACCAGCCTGGCTAACATGATGAAACCCTGTCTTTACTAAAAATACAAAATTATCTGGGCATGGTGGTGCATGCCTGTAATCCCAGCTACTCAGGAAGCTGAGGCAAGAGAATCGCTTGAACCCAGGAGGCGGAGGTTGCAGTGAGCTGGGATCACACCATTGCACTCCAGCCTGGGTGACCAAGTGAGACTCTGTCTCCAAAAAAAAAAAAAAAAAAAATGAAAAAAGAAATATAAGAGAAGGTCCTTATGCAGGCCTTTTGCAGAGGAACTTTTGCTGCATACAAGGGTTACTGGACTTAGAGGTGTGAGACAGCATTGTAGCCCCAGCTAGTAAGGTAGGTTGCCTTGAGTAGGTGGAACTGACCTTGATCAGAGAAGAGAGTGGAGGTGTATTCTGGAGGAAAACTACATGAACAAAGGGATGGAAGTGAGGAGAGGGATCTGCAGCAGGTGTGTTGATTGCATTACAGTGGGAAATAAATGCTTAGCCATCATGAGCTCCTTTACCAGGGAGCTTGGTCAGCTGTGAGGTGTTTTGGCCTCCATCCTTGCATCTGGAACATGAAGAAATGAAAGTTGTGTTTAATGAGCATTAGTTGGAAAGGCAAAAAAAAAAAGCAGAAGGATTAGAGTAACAGGATGATCTGGGATTCCAGGGCCTTGGCATAATACATTCACATGGTTCAAAATGCAAAAAGTACAGAACGATATATGTATTGTGAAGAAACCACCTTCCACCCTTGTCCCCCCAGCCACTCAGTTTTTCTGCTGGAGACAAAGCTACTGCTTCCTTGGGTATAACTGTGAAAATGGTCTCTGCAGAGACAAGCAAATGTGCTTATGTACTTTTAAAAAATAAAATGGTAAAATAGTGTATAGACTCTGTCCTTTGCTTTTTCACTTAATACATCACGGAAATTGTCCCATATTGCCTGTAAAGTAAAGCACTTTCTCATTTGTCTTTATGGCCATATAGTATCTCACTGAGTGAATGTGCTTTTATTTATGTAAATCAGCCCATTAATGAACATTTAGGTTTTTCCAGCCTTTCCCTATTATAAACAGTATGACAAAGAATCACACTATAAATGTAAACATGTCGGTTTTGCACATGGATGAATATATCTGTTAGATAAATTACTAGAATGCAGTATCAGGCCCCGCATGTACAAAACATGTATGATTTCATTAGGTACTATCAAGCTGTAGAGGTGGTAACAGTTTACTCTCCAGTGTGTTATGCACTCTGGCCAATGTACATGTTATCAGACTTTTTGATCTTTGATAATCTGACTAATGAAACACAGTAGTTTTACATGACTCTTTTTTTTTTTTTTTTTTTTGAGATGGAGTCTTGCTCTGTTGCCCAGGCTGGAGTGCAATGACGCGATCTCGGCTCACTGCACCCTCCGCCTCCCAGGTTCAAATGATTCTCCTGCCTCAGCCTTTCGAGTAGCTGGGATCACAGGTGTGCACCACCACGCCCGGTGTGCTAAAAATACAAAAAAAATACTTTTTTGTATTTTTAGTAGAAACAGGGTTTCACCATGTTGGCCAGGCTGGTCTTGAACTCCAGACCTCAGGTGATCCACCCACCACAGCCTCCCAAAGTGCTGAGATTACAGGTGTGAGCCACGGTGCCTGGTGACGTTTTTCTGTTTTGCTTTTTTTTGTTTTGTTTTGTTTTAATGAGTGAGGTTGAACATTTGTTCATATGTTTAAAACCAATTTGTGATTGTGCAGGATGGCTCGTGTCTGTAATCCCAGCACTTTGGGATGTCAAGGTGGCTTGAGCCCAGGAATTTGAGACCAGCCTGGGCAACCATATGTAGACCCCATGGCTACATGGGCATGGTGGTGTGCACCTGTGGTCCCAGCTGCTTGGAATGCTGAGGTGGGAGAATCCCTTGAGCCAAGAAGTGAGTGAGCCATGATCGTGCCACTATGCCCCAAGTGGGGCAACAGCGCGAGACTCTATCTCAAAAAAACCCACATGGAGAAACCCCGTCTCTACTAAAAATACTCTACTAAAAATTAGCAGGGCGTGGTGGCGCATGCCTGTAATCCCAGCTACTCAGGAGTCTGAGGCAGGAGAATCACTTGAACCTGGGAGGCATAGGTTGAGGTGAGCCGAGATTGCACCATTGCACTCCAGCCTGGGCAACAAGAGCAAAACTCCATCTCAAAAAAAAAAAAAAAAAAAAGCCACCATTTCAGTTACCTTTTGTGTAAACCATCTATATCCTTTTTCTAATGTTTCCACTGGGTTGGTTTTTCTTTTTTTTTTTTGAGATGGAGTCTCACTCTGTTGCCCAGGCTGGAGTGCGGTGGCGTAATCTCAGCTCGCTGCAACTTCCACCTCCCAGGTTGAAGCCATTCTCGTGCCTCAGCCACCTGAGTAGCTGAGATTACAGGCATGTGCCACTACATCCGGCTAATTTTTGTACTTTTTAGTAGACATTGGGTTTCACCATGTTGGCCAGGCTAGTCTTGAACTCCTGACCTCAAGAGATCCTCCTGCCTTGGTCTCCCAAAGTGCTGGGATTACAGGCGTGGGCTACCACACCCGGCTGGTTTTTCTTTTTTGCCTTAATGATTTTTTTTTTCTCTG